>NC_000006.12:30060000-30363030 GCF_000001405.40 Homo sapiens
GAGAATAAAAACTGTCTACGACAATCAGCTCAACAACACGTCTCCCTTTGTAAGACAGAATAACAAGCAATTTCACAGTTAAATGATAGGGCTTGTCACTCTTCAGCAGTTTGCTGAGTTTTAACCCTTTCACTATGGCGTTCTCTCCATTATTACAGAGAAAGGCAGATGGGAGCCTCTCCCAGCGAAAAGACTACAGCTTGTGTCCTTCATAGGAGAAAACAGTGATGGCTCCAGAACTTTTATATGAATGAACTTAGCACAGCTATCAGAGTGGATGGTGGTGGGAGGGCTAGCAGGAAACTAGTAAACAACTACAAGCTGCCCCTTCAGGGAAAGTTTCTACTTGGAATATAAGTTACAGATTAATGAAAATAGAAAGATTTCCCAAAGATACTTATTCTCATGTTTTATAAAAGATCAGGGAAATGTCAGCTGTCCACTTAACGGATGACATAATGAATTAAGAGTTCGATAGGCGGCAGGCACAACTAAAAGCCAAACTCGACCTAAGTCTTATGAAATCCTACTTAATGAGCTTTCTTGACTACTGCTAGCCTCACTTATCTGGCAGGAGTCGAAGGAGAGGAAGCCCCAAGCTCCTCTGTTCCACCACCTCCAAAGTCCTGAACCCCTTCTCAAGTGTACCACTTCATCCCTGCTTCCTTTCGTCCCGTGGGACTAAGCATTCCTCGGGCCTTCACTCTCACCACTTGCTGTCCCTCAAAAAGCCGACTCACCCCTTTCCAAGCGCAGTGAACCGTCCGCAAAGCACGAGGCCGGTTGCGAGCTGCAGAAAGCCCACGCTCGCCAGCGGGACCCAAGGAACGCTAGAACTATACGTCCCAGAACACTTAGCTTTGTTTTTAACTACGGTGCAGCCGCAAAAGGGAAATACCGGCTCAGGACCCAGGGGAGTTGTAGTTCTCTAATCCAAAGAAATCATTATTTGGCAACGTACGGTTTTCAGGGGGATATACCCCGCGACTGCGTTCCTGTAGGATGTGAGACAAAGAGAATAAATATCCCAGGATTGGGTGCTGGTGGGAAAATTTGCTGGAAGCGCAGCATTGGTTACCAATTTTGTGCTCAACCTCTCAGTACCAGGGTGAAAGTGGAGACGCAATCTCCCTTGGAAGACGTTAGTCTCCATCTCTAACGCTCCCGAGACACGGTTCGCAATTAATTATGACGTCACAGCCAATCGTCAACGCGAAAGCCTGACGCTCTAGCCGGCTCTATCTCGCTGCCCCGCCGCGGGCGCAGAGCTGGCGCTCTAGCCCACGGAGTTGGTTAACTCCTCTCACCGGCCCCTGGAAAGGGTTCCAAGTCCTTTAGTACCCGACGCTGTCTGGGAATTCCGGGCGTTTCGGCTCCTTGGTCGCAGAGGCAGGAGGCGTGCGTGGCAGGAGGGTTCGGGTTATATACTCCTAGGTCCTGGGACAGAATAGTTACGACCTCTGGGACAGGAACTCTTCTCTCTTTTGTTAATAAACTTCCAACTCCCTCCTCAGACCCGACCGCATGTCTGTCATGGACCTCGCCAATACTTGCTCCAGCTTTCAGTCGGACCTGGATTTCTGTTCAGATTGCGGCTCGGTCCTGCCTCTGCCCGGGGCTCAGGATACGGTCACCTGTATTCGCTGTGGCTTCAACATCAACGTTCGGGGTGAGAGGCTTGTACGCAGGGGTCCTGGCGGAGGGCGCAGGGTCGGAAGCTTGGGGAACTCAAGATCGGTTGGGTTGAGGAGGGGATCCTAGAGCAGGACATCAGGCGGTTGTACATTTGGTCTAGCGATGAAAACTGAGGGAAAGGATGTAGGGCCTCCTGGCCTAACCAGCCAGGGGAAAGGGGAGGTTTCCGGTGTCAGCTCTCTCTGGTTGTCTCCATAACCAGTTCTTACTTGCCTGTGCAGACTTTGAGGGGAAGGTTGTGAAGACTTCGGTTGTGTTCCACCAACTGGGGACAGCCATGCCTATGTCGGTGGAGGAAGGGCCTGAGTGCCAGGGACCTGTGGTAAGCTAATGAGATCAAGAACTGGCTCCATAAGGTGGGTAGGAAAGAAATGGAGGAGTGATTGCAAAGCTCTGGAGAGTTTTGTGCCCAATTCCAAGAGGGAAAAGAGATGTAAACCATCGACGTTTGAGAGGCGTGATCGCCTGATTCCTGTGGGAAGTAAGGGGATATGACCAGGCCTCCCTAACCCACCAGTTTCTTCCCAGGTTGACAGGCGCTGCCCTCGATGTGGTCATGAAGGAATGGCATACCACACCAGACAGATGCGTTCAGCCGATGAAGGGCAAACTGTCTTCTACACCTGTACCAACTGCAAGTGAGTATTCTTTCCCCTCCCTCTGCTCAGTCTGTTTGCTAACTAAACAAATCCAGTGATTTATTTTTTTGTACGAAATGGCCGTTTCCCTTGGTCCCATCCCTTATTTCTGTGCAGTTCTGGTAATAGGGAGATTTGTAGTTGTTTTTTATTTTTTTAAGTTACACTTTTTTAAACCTTTTTATAACCAGTGAAATAAACCTTTTAGGATTTTTTTTTTTTTTTTTTTTTTTTTTTGACAGGGTGTCGCTCTGTCACCTAGCCTGGAGTGCAGCGAGGCAATCTTGGCTCACTGCAACCTCCGCCTCCTGGGCTCAGGTAATCCTCCCACCTCAGCCTCCAAAGTAGCTGGGACCACAGACACATGCCACCACGCCTGGCTTTTTTTTTTTTTTTTTTTTTTTTTTTTTGTATTTTTAGTAGAGATGGGGTTTCTCTATGTTTCCCAGGCTGGTCTTGAACTTCTGAGCTCAAGTGATCCACCCACCTCAGCATCCCAAAGTGCTGGGATTACAGGCATGAGCCACCCCGCCTGACCTACTTTTAGGATATTTAAAAGGAAATGAAGAAAAAAAAAACAACATAAGAAGCAGGTATTGTTTAGTGGTCAGCATCTTATACTGCAGTCTTCAACCGCAGTCAAGGTAGCTTTCTTTGGAGAGAATTAGTCACACATGACTTAGAGAACATGGGCTTTCTGAATGCTTTTAAGACCTCATTTTTGTCTTTGGTGTTCTGCAGTCACTATAGTATATCAAAATACGATTTTCTTTTATTCTGTTTGGGATTTGTTGGACTTTCTGAAACTGAGAGTGGACTTTTTTTTCATCAACCTTGGAAAATTATCAGCCATCATCTCTTTTAATATTCTCTTTCCCCCATGTTCTCAGTCCTCACATTCTGGACCTCGAATTAGTTACTAGAAAGAGGTTTCTCTCTTCTGTCCTCCATTTCTCTCACCTTCTTTTCATATTTTCAATTGCTGTTCTCTTTATGCCACCTTCTGAGTAATTTCTTCAGGTCCCTCTTCCATGTCACTAATTCTGTCTTCAGTTTATTTCAAGTATTATTATTTTTTACTATTGTTATTATTTTGAGTTCTATTTAATTACTTTTCAAATCTCCTTAATTTTTAAATAATTATCAGTTCTTTAATCATATTTTAAATTGTTCCTTTTATTATTCTTTAAATATATATTTAAAATATTAAATATGGTTATTATATTCTATGTCTTATAATTCTGATATCTGCGGATTTTGTGTGTCTGATGCTGCTGTCTTTTGTTTCTGCTGTCTCTCTCATAGTGCTTTTTTTCTTTGTTTTGTGATTTTTGACTATAAATTCGAGTTTTTTAGAACTTGAACTGTAGGAATTCTTTGAGGCCTTGGGCGAGTGCTGTATTCTCAGCATTTGTGTTTCTTTTCTAGGTGCCTTGAAGCACTATCAAGCTGGAATTACTTTAAATAAATTCTTGGCTTCATGTTTTTTGGAGCAGACAGATAGTATGAATTTGAGCTGCAAATCCATGTAAGGGCTAGCTTACAGTTAGAAATTCTCAGGAGAGAGTTTTCTCTCTTTCTACCTACTGAGACAGTCAAATTCCCCTTCTATAGAGTTGAATTTTTTCTTTTCTTGTTCACTTTTACAAGAAAGGGCAGCCTTTTGCAGTTCCCAAATTTATGCACGGGATCTCCTATCAGACCTTATACATTTTGTCCCTCATTTCCTATGCTTCCAGTGACTGTCAAAACAGTATAAAGGGCACCATAGTGTCACTGTCACGTTTCATAGGGACATTAGTTTTAACTTCCCTGTCTGGATTTCTGGTTTTACAGAACTTTTAACCAGTGTGCAGATTGCCTTTACTTTCTTGCCATCTCATCAAAGGATTAAAAATATTCATAGTCAGATATATCTTTTAAAAGTATTTTTTTCCTATCACTGGTTGTCATTTTACCAAAAAAAAAAAAATTTTTTTTAAATAAAAAGAAGATTTTTTTTCCCAGCGTGTGGCTTGCCTATTTTCTTAACCCTCTTTAAATGAGCAGAAGTTTTAAGTTTTTATAAGGTTCAGCTTATCCTTTTTTTTTTCTTTTACAGCTAGTGCTTTCTGTGTCCTAAGAAATCTTTGCTTTGAGGTTATAACTCATTGGATATATTTTTAATCCCAGAATTTTTAGTTGTCTTGGAATTAGAATTGGAAGTTTGTTTAGGGGAGCCAGTCCTCAATGATGTCATAAATAAAAGTCCTTCCTTGATTATTTGATTGCATATCTTATCTTATACTACTAGAAACTCATCTTTTGGTGAATATAACAAGTCCTTTCTTTCCTCATAGGTTCCAGGAGAAGGAAGACTCTTGACCTTTTTCCTGGGCAACTCTACAGTCCCTCCCTCCTTTCGGAAGGTGAAGGATACTGGGTTTTTAGATGCCTTGTCCATCCTGTCTGGTTGCAATGTTTTGCTCCCAGAAGAGAATCAGATCATCATGTGGGGATTACCATTGTTCCTGGAGTACTCCTACCCTTAGTTGAATTTCCTTATTAAAGTTATATTTTTCTATAAGACCCTGACATATGTATGTTACTTATAATCTGTCTTATTCCAAAAGGAATTTAAATGAGTTTCCAGAGATATATTTATATGAAAAAGAAAAGGGGGAAAAATTAGGACAAAAAAGTAGAGTCAGGAATGAGGCTAATATAAACAAAAAGCAATTGTAAGTATTGCCATACTATTTAAATCTATTTGGTTCCTGAGTTTAGGTTAAGAAAAACTAGGAATTTGGATAGTGAGACATTTAACAGAAATTTTAACCAGATCTCTTTAGCATATAAATTTGGACAACAAAAAATCTGATACTAAGTAATGCCACTAAGTGATCACTATAGGTGAGTATTTTATTAGTATTGAGATAAATACAATACACAGTTGACCCTTGAACAACACAGGTTTGAACTGCTTGAGTCTACATATATGTGGATTTTCTTCTACTTCTGAGACCCATAAGATAGCAGCACATTTAAGCCCTCCTTTTCCTCCTCCTGAGCCTACTCAACATGAAAATGTGATCCACTTCTACTTAATGAATAGTAAATATATTTTCTTTTCCTTATGATTTTCTTAATAATGTTTTCTCTAGCTTACTTGATTGTAAGATTATATGTATTATAAGTATATAATACATATACAAAATATGTGTTAATCAACGGTTTATGTTATTGGTAAGGCATCTGGTCAACAGTAAAGTTTTGGGGGAGTCAAAAGTTATATATGGATTTTTGGCTGTTCAGAGGGTCAGCACCCCTTACCCCCATGTTGTTCAAGGATGAATTGTATATCTATTATAATAGATTCTTACATAGAAAGAAAGAAAAAAGTAAAGTCACAAGGAATCCTACTCCACAGAGATAACCAAATTATACTGTATATCTGTGCTTGTGTATATGTATGTGGCTCTGTATATGTGTGTTGCTATATATGTGTTTGGTTTTTTTAATGGACTAGACATGCTGAACTATATCTTGCTTTTTTCTGTTTGAACTAAAAACTTTCAAGGGGAACAAATGCATACTCAGGTCCCGCATTCCTTGGCTCAAATAGTGATCAAGGGGTTACTGTAATAATTATCATATAATTGTGTGGCCCTTTATATATATTCAGAGCTCTCAAACATAGCTATCTTGTTTGACCCCCACAGCAACCTGGAGAATGGGCAGGGCAGTCTTCCCCACTGTACGTTTGAACTGTTCTGGCAGTTGACTTTCCTGACCCACTCCTGAAATCTGAAACAAACCTGTTCATGTTTCTACCCTACTTTAAGCCTTTCTCTGGCCCATAACAGTGATTGGATTAAGCTTAATTTCTTAGCAAAGCATACAGGTTCTTCCATATAACCACTGCCTACCTGTCAAGCTTCATCTGGCACTCCCTCAGATCCAAGCGGTACAAAACTCCATTTCCTGTAGTGCACACATCTACAACTTTTTAAGCTGCTCTTCTAAAAAAACCTACTTGTCGGCCTTCCTGGTTCTTGTTTTACCACTTTCTTTTGCTCTCTAAGAAACGTGCATATATTTTTATAAAATAGCCTATACTGTAATTTACGACCATTTCTCTGCTTCATCCTACTCATCACCCCAGAGAGAACGAATATGTTGGCAGTATGTAACTACATTCAGATTTACAAATCAGACATGGCATTTGTTAATGCCCCAGTGTTTCATATTTTTGTTAGTTTTCAGCATGCCTGTCTTTCCTACTAGAGCTAAAAGGCAGGGTCTGAGCGTCTTACGCGCCTCCATCTTCAAGGCGTAGCACAGTGACTGAAAAAAACTGACGTTGAACGTGCACTAAACTGAACTGCTCAAACACCTACAGGCACAGGGCGAGGGGTAGAACCACATCGCTTGACTCTTAAGTGTGTTTCCAACTGCTCCCACTTCCCGTTTTCTTTAGAGAAACCCAGACCAAACAAGGAAAGGGAAATAGGCCACGGTAGGGTCATTACTATTGCTCCTTAAGCTTCCTCGCCGGTCCACCTACCCAGACAAGGCAAACGGAAATCTGCAGCAGGACTCAGCTTGGTGCACACAACTCCGCCCTCGCCACACCCACTCTGCAGCGTCTGGCCCGGCAATACCCATCTGGGCGCCCCTCCTGCTTCCTCTAGGCTGTGAGTACGCGTGCTGCCCCAGACTCTCCCTCCTCCACCCACACCCGCAGTGACACCCCTTCCGCCAAATTTGTTTCTCTTTCTTTCAGCGCCTGCGCGCTGTCACGTTACGGCGGAACTAATCCAGCGACGCCTGCGCTTTGACGCATTTGGTGCCGTGGAAGGGAAAAAGGGGGACTGCAGTATGCGTCACACCCGGAAGCGGCGAGCCGGAAGTGGGGTTAGCCAGGTTATCCCCAGGGGTGGAGAAGCGGAGGCCCAGGAGGAGGGGGAATAAAGAAGGTGGAGGATCCTGGCTACCACTCTGAATCCGATACCGCTTCTCTTAGACCTCAGCGACAGAAAAAGGGAAGGGTGTCTCATCCCCCTTCCTCCTCTCCTCCCTGTCCTGAGCCTTAGCCATGGCCGAGGCAGGGGCTGGGCTGAGCGAGACCGTCACTGAGACAACGGTTACCGTGACAACCGAGCCCGTGAGAAAGGCGGGGGGGCGGTGCTGTTTAGGGGTCTGGGAGATACTGGGAGGGAGGGGACAGGGATTAGAAGAGTTGTTGGAGGAGCTAGGCCTAGGGATATGGGAGGTGTGGGGTTGAATATCTAGGGCTGGGAGAATCGGAAGGTATTGGAGCTATTTGGAGTGGCAGAGATGGTGCAGGAGGCAGGTCAAGGAACTTGTAATAGGGAGGTACAGTTAGGATATAGGTGTTGCTGCTTGGGGTGGTTATGTGTGTAAGTAATAAACGAAAGGGAAATTGAGGATTAAGGAGCCAGGAAGATGTTGGGAGGAAATCAAAGGTAGTGTAAGAAAGCATGGTTGGAGGCCAACTTATCAATATTATCAATATTGATATTCGAATAAATATTTATTGAATGGATGAATGTAAAAGGAAGTGGCAGGAATGAGGAAACAAGAAAAGGAGATGAAAAGAGGTATTTTGAGAAATCAGAGAGCAAAGATGTAAATGGAGAAACAAGAAGTATTTATCCAAAAACATGTTAAGTTGCCTTCAAAGGGAGAAGGTTGCATTGGGCTTAATACTCTTGGATTAAAGGAAGTTTAGTAATTAATAGATTAGTAATACTTGCTACTAGAGATGCCAGGATGCCAGAGAATAGGTGGATAAGAGGTAGGGAGGGCTGGAGCTTGAGAATGAGAGAGGTTTTGTTTGTTTTTTTAAGAGAAAAAGAATAGGGGATCTGGAAAAAGGAAGGGAGATCAAAGATTAGGTGCTGGGGACTGAAAAATAATTTTCATGTATTAATACTACCAAGGATGATTTGGGGAGGAAGACGGAGAAACAGCAAGGATTATATTTTCCTTTGAAGAGTTGCTGGGACCTTTCCTAGGTTAGGAATTGTGTCTTCTCTTATACTGGTGGTATAAGAACAGGAAATAATACTTATTCCTCAAGGGACTATCTGAGGTAAAAGACCTGTTCTGTTTTATCTTCTGTCAGCTCCTCTGGTGCTATGCCTATGGTACTGATTGAGCTAAAGAAGAAAAGAGAGGAGGTTCCCTGGGAGGGAGTGGGAAAGGTTAGTAAGAGGGGACTAGATAGGTATGCTCATCCTTAACCTTCTAGGAGAACCGGAGCCTTACCATCAAACTTCGGAAACGGAAGCCAGAGAAAAAGGTAGAATGGACAAGTGACACTGTGGACAATGAACACATGGGCCGCCGCTCATCCAAATGTGAGTAATTGTTGGCCCGCAGTAGCCCTGGAGTTCTGGCTCCCTTCAGCATATCTTGTATCTACTCATATCCACTGGCTTTCCAGAAGCCCCCAGATGTTCATAGTTCTGTCACTTTTTTGGTGGTGCTGTGGTATCAGGGAAAGAGGTAGGGAAGGGCTAGAACTGGAATTGCCTAGGTCTGACAGCAAGAAGTGTCAGAGGTGGGAGAAGTGGGGCTTTGAATTCGTGGCTCTCTAAGAGGACAAGAGGGGTGGGGCCTGAGTCCCAGAGGGTGGGCCTGGGGAAGCTGGATCCTGGAAGGTAGGAGAAAATAGGAATTTTCACTGAGTTTGAGTGGGAATGGAACTGACTATATATCTTACCCTTCCTCCTCTTTAACTGGGCTCCTCCCTCTAAATCTAGGCTGCTGTATTTATGAGAAACCTCGGGCCTTTGGCGAGAGCTCCACGGAAAGTGATGAGGAGGAAGAAGAGGGCTGTGGTCATACACACTGTGTACGTGGCCACCGCAAAGGACGGCGTCGTGCAACCCTAGGACCGACCCCCACCACCCCTCCCCAGCCTCCTGACCCTTCCCAGCCCCCTCCAGGGCCAATGCAGCACTAAATCCCTCTCTCCTCCAGCATTCCTGTGTCTGTCTGGCCCTAAATGTATCCATGTGGCTACTTCTCCAGCCCCCTCCTTCCCTCTCTTCTGCCTGATAGAGGGAAGAGGAAGAGGAGGACGAACAGAGATCCTGAAATTCTGACTTGCTGCTATTCCAGAACCCAGCCTCCTGGGTTTCCCCAGTCCTCATTTTTCCTCCCAATACCCACCCTTCTCTCTCGAGGGATCTAGGCACCTTGGTCCCAGTGTCTTCCTTTTGTTCTCACTGCCAAACTGCCTGTCCTGGGATCTAGTTATCTTGGCCCTGCACTCTCAACATGAGTAGCGAACACTTAAATTGGGTTTTCAACAGTCCCAGCTTTCACTGCCAGGGTCCCAGTCAGATTCCAGGAATTTGCGCCCTAACTTTGCTTGCTAATCCTGGTTTAGAGCTATCCCACTAAAATATTTAATCCTAATTCTTAGTCCTTGCCTGTGAGATATGAGGTCTTACAGGAGACCTCAGAGCTCCCAGCCCTTCTCCTCCTGCTAACCCTTCTCACACCCTCAAGAGGAGTTAGAAAAGAGGTCCTTGTCATTCTCACCTCTTATGGAAAATGGAATAAGAAATAATCATATCCTTTCTTCCCACCCTTCTCCTGTTATTTAGGATTTCTGACAAAGCTGGCTTGAGATTGGTCACTTAGAGCCGACTGTCTCCTCTGCCTTTTGTTTTTCAGCTTCAGAGACAGATCCAATATAGTCCCAGGGACCTGGGTCTCTGGGAGAGGAAGGAAGAGGGAGGGAGCAAAGAGATTGGGGTATGTCCCCTGTAGTACACTCTTACCTCTTACTTCCTAGACTTTGATTTCTCCGGCAGCCCAGATGTTCAGTTCTCTTGGCCCCTCTCTACCCCTTACTGGGATCCGGTTTTCATTTTCCGGTCCTTTTGCCATACACAGTTACAGAGATCAGTCAAATCCATACCACCACTGAGATCTCATTTATTGCCACAGATGCACAAAATAAATAACCCAAAATCACAAAATGTGTTAAATATGGGCCCATTTATACTTATGGGGAAGGGTGTGAGACTATACACAAGGATGAGTTTGGAGATGTCTGAAGTATTCCCAGGTTGAGGAGGAGAGAGGGGAAATAGCACCATTGGTTCCTTTCCGTGAGTATGTGCGGGGAGAAGTTTCAAGAAGGTTCTTATGGAAAAAAGGCTGTGAGCATAGAAAGCAGTCATAGGAGGTTGGGGAACTAGCTTGTCCCTCCCCACCCCCAGATCCTGCAAAAGAGGTACAAAGCTTCCCAGAGGGCCACAGGGCCCAGACCAGAGTCAAGCCTCTTGTTTTAGGAGAAACCTCAGTGGACAGGCAGGGTAGCCCAGTCCTTAGATCTGTGGGGAAGGCCCTGAGCCCTTCTGGAGCTAGGAGTGGCAAGAGTGGGAGTCAAGTATTTGACCAGCAGAGCCTCTATGTAGGAATCATGGTCACTTTACCAATACTGATGGGGAGGGCCTGTTCCCCATTGCAGGCCTAGAATGGTTTGAATGGGAGAAGTCAGGAAGTACTGTAGTAGCTGTAGGGGAGAGAAGATTCTGAGAGCCAGAAGGCAGGAATGGATTTGGTTTTGAGCAGGGACGTGGAAACGTGGAGACCAGGTGAGGTCTCATTATTTTGGGGCGAAAATGTGGGTTGCTATTAATACTCCTGCAATGGGCGTGTGAATGTGTTCCCAGAAATGAGTGGGGAATTCCACCCCCAAAAAGCAGCTGCAGGGCCAGTGGCCGGGCCAAACTTCTAGTTGGAGACGAGACTCAGCTTTCCGCTGGTACAATGCGGAGCGGAGCACGAGGGTCGCAGGTGCAGAACAGCGGGAAGATGCGCTCCCCCAGGGGGCCAGGCGCCTGGAAGGCGTAAAGCAGGTCGAGTGAGCGGCCGTCGTAGAAGGCCACGCGGCCCCGCTCCCAGTCCAGGTCCACGCGAATGCGCCGCGGCGGGGGCTCAACACCGCCCAGCAGGGTGGGTTCGGGTGCCGTGAGGGCCCACAGGCGGCCGCCGCGGCCCTCCACGGCCCACACGGCCCCCGCAGGGCACAGCCTTACGCAGCCCTTGCGTTGCACTGATTCCCCGGCCGCGCCCACTGCATAGTGGCTCTCCTCGTCGTCCGCATCCTCCCCAGAAGAGTCTCTGCAGGAGGCGGCGTCCGCAGTCTCCACCTCCCAGCAGTGGCGGCCGGCCCCGAAGCCCTGCGCACCCAGCACAGCTGGGAGCTGATCGAAGCGCTTGGGGCCGTCAGGGGGCGCGGGCGTCCCTGGTGGGGCCAGTTGTACGCTGCGGCGGTCGGCGGAGATGAGCAGGCGGCGGTGTGCGGTCCCAGGGTCCAGGGTCAGGTCGGCTGGAGACGGGGAGGCAGGGAGAGGACCTCATGAGAGAGTTTTCTAAATCACAGGCGGGGTAGGGTGGAGAATAGTCAACGAAGATCACGTAAAAGACTGAGAGCTAGTGACCACACAACAGCTCAAAAGGCGACTGCAGGACCAAAAAGAAGGAAGGCATATGAAGAGCAGACCTGGGCAATATCAGACCTTGTACTGATGCACCACTTCTGTAGAATTGGACCTGGGGAAGGATCATACTGGCCCAGTGCAGGGAGCACAGCAGGAAGATCAAATGAGAGGTTGTCTCGTTTGTGGGGTTGGGGGAGGAAGAGTGAGGCTGATCTGACTTCGAGGGAGGAGTAAGGACTGATACCTCAATCTGCATCATCTGGGGTGGGGCATGGGAGCTGGGTCAGCAAAATGGGGAAGGTTCATCTAAAGAGAAAGTCGTACTGATACTGGAACCTCAAGTAATGGGAGGGGCACAGGGAGGAATCCAAGGTATCCTGAGAAACCAGCCCACCCACCCACAGGAATTGGGGGGTGGGGTGGACAGTCCTATTTCTGTAGGGGTTGTGGGGCAGAGGAGGAGAGCAGGTGGTGATAGCCAGAGACCAGAAAAAGAACCATTGGCCTTATATGTATGGGGTGCTTTGAAGAAAAATTTCTGGATTAGGGGTGTCAGAAGCAATCTGGACTGGGCAAGATGGTGGATGACCAAGATGGTGGACCACCTTCTCTAGGCAGTTTAAAGAAGGGTAGAGGCACCCTTCTTCTTGGGAGTGAGTGAGGAAAGAAGGGTCAAGGAGATGCTGGGGTCCCCTTCCAGGGAGGAGTGACGAGAGGTGGTGGAAGCAGAGATTTTTGAGAGGCACCTAACCTTCAGGGATCTGTTGTTTGAATGTATGAAAAAGGAAGAGGGAAAATGGCTGGAATATGAGGAATCGAGGATAGACATTGTTATAGGCTGAACTGTGCCCTCCCCCACTCCACACACACACACAAAGATAGGTTGAAGTCCTCCAAACCTCAGAATGTTACCTTGTTTTGAAACAGGATCTTTACATAGGTAATCAAGTTAAAATGAAGGTCATTAGGGTGGGCTCTAATCCAGATTGCTGACTTACAAAAAGAGGAAATTTGGACACAGAGACAAATGCATACAAAAGAAAATGTGCAGACCTATCACCCAAAGAACATGTGAGGCTACCAGAGGCTAGGAGACAGGCATGGAACAGATTCTGTCTCATGGCCGTCAGAAGGAACCAACACTGCTGACACCTTGATTTCAGACTTCTACCTCCTGAACTTTGAGATAAATGTCTGTTGTTTCAGCCACCTACTTTGCGGTGCTTCATTAGAGCAGTACTAGGAAACTAATGCAGACATCAAAAAGGACCTGATCACTTTTTAGGGCTAAAAGGAAGAAAATCTAACACAGACTTTCATTCAATTCCCTTCCCTCCCTTCTTCTTTCCTTACCTGTCAGTCTATGAAGCATTTTTTTGACCACTGGATAATCTTCAGGGAGATCATCCTCTGAATTAGATGACTTGGATGTTGGGACTTCAAATCTACACAGATGAGGGGAAGGGTCAGGAAATCAGCCCTCTGATCCTAATGCCCCCACGCATACCCCACTCACATCTCTGGAGGAAGAAGGGATGAGACTATACCCCAGAAAACCTGCCTATTAATGGGAACAAAGGTGTGGGCCCAGTGAGAACGTGATGGCTATGGCAGCTGGTGAGAAAAGGAGGGAACAGAAAAGTGGAACTCACCGTCTCCATGTCTTCCTCATATCCTAGGATGGGCAGAAACAAACATGGATGTGAGCTCTGGGCTTCATTCCCTGGGGCATCCTTCCCTATCTCTCCCCTCCTCAGGTGAGTTCTGTCTGAGTTAGCAGTGTCCCTCCTCACCTTTCAGAGTGATCTCACCTCTTTACACACTGTGCTCCTTTCCCTCTCATTCTCCTCCTTCACCTTTCATGATCCCTCCTTCCTCTCACCCCATCACTTTTCCCTCATCCTCCTAACTCCATCCCCACTGTCCTCCCCCTTTCCACTCCCCAAGGGTTCTCAATTCTCTTTTCCCAGGCTCGTCCGTGACTGTTTCTTGTCCTCAGAGCCCTTGCCTTCCTTGCTGCCTCCTCAGTCCCATTCTCTGTCTCTTTCAGCGGCCCCATCCTTATCTACCTTCCCCAGTGCATCCCAGAAAAACATCTGTCCCTTCCTCCCTCCATCACACAGACCAAACACACACCCAGAGCCCTCGGGCTAAGAGTTGGTATATAAAAGCCTTACAATAAAGCTGCTTCCCCTCTTGCAATAAAAGCCCAGTGGCATTTATTGGGCCCTTTGCTTTGTGTCTCTGGACCCTGGCCAGGGAGGCAGCTAGACTTGAATGTGTCCCAAAAGGCCCAGCAGATCCACAGAGTACTATGGGAGCCAGGAGAGGGCACTGGATGCTCCCCTCCAAACACTGGGATACCGACCCCTCCACTTCACTGTCTAGTGCTGATGGCTGGAGCAGGCCGATATGGTGGAGCGGGGGAGAGAGAAACAATTTGCATAATTGTGCCAATTACTTTCAGACTAATTAGGTCTATGAAGACTTCAAAGGGCAGAAGCAAGACCCAAGACCAGCTTGGCTGCTGGGAAGAAGCCAGTCAGGAGTCCCAGACGCCCAGGGGTCGGTCGGGCAAGGGAATGGGCTGGTTAGTGGCCAAGGAGCCGGGGCCCAGGAGAGGCGCGGGGGGTAGATGGGTGGTAAGACTGGGATGTGGAGAGGAGCCAGAGGCCCCAGCGGCTGTTCTCCCGCACCTCGCCTCCACCCCTGGCCGCTCCTGCCTGGGGCCTTGGGAGGAGCCGAAATAACAATAACAAACAACACAGGGCTTAGCTTGAGCCAGAGTCCGAGACCAACCCCCACGACGCTACGGGGAGGTTTGGATATGCCCCAACCCCTTGCTCCCTTCCTCCATCCTCTTGTCAGTCCCCTCCTCCCCAGCTTTTTCTCCGCCCCCAACCCACCAGCCCAGCCTCCTGCTCCCGCTCCTCTAAGCAGGTTCTGCCCTCGCCCACCATCCTCCCAGGACCCCTCCTCACCCTCAGCTGGGTCGGCTCTCCCTTCCGCCCGCCGCTCCCTCCCCTCCGCCAGCTCTCCTCCTCCCGGGCGCCTGCGGCTGCCCTGCCAAAACTTCTGCAGTTCCCATGCCCTTCGCGGCGACTCCAGGGCTCTCCGCGTTCTATCCGGTACCCCTTCTCTGCCTCCCCAGTCTCTTCTCTCCAGCCCCTCTCACAAGGCTCAGGCATCGGTCCAGCCTCCTCCCCTGTGGACCAAGTGTCAACTCCATCCATCGTCCTTCCGGGCGCCTCTCACCTTGAGGACCCAGGGTCCTCGCCCCCTCATCCTTTGCTTTTCTCTCCCCACCCCATCCTTTGCCTAAACTTCCACAGGGCCTCCGGCTCCAGACGTGCCATTCCCGGCTTCCCCGGGAACCTCCCGCTTCCACCAACAACTCCGCGACGCGCGCCCAGCCTCACCTCTCCGGGCAGGTCCAGGCAGCCCATGGTGGGGATGCGCCCCCCTCGGCGTCTCCCCGCACGGGCCCCAGGCTCAGCCAGCTTCTCTCGCAGCTCGCGGCTGATTCGCACCTCCACCGCCAGCCGCACATTAGACCTCAGGCTGCGGCGGGGACACGGCAGGCCGCAGCAGGGACAGGCGGTGGGGGAAGCCTCGGTGCCGGTCGCCGGCGGAGTCCCCCAGCGGCGGGCCAGACACGCGCGGCAGAAGCTGTGCTCGCACGCCAGAAGCACCGGGTCCTCGAAGGAGCCCCCGCACAGAGGACACGTCGCCAGCTGCTCCAGACGCTCCACCAGCCCCGGGCCCAGCTCGGGCGCATCCATGGAAAGCCAGGATCTGGACGCCGCCCCTTCCGCGACCACCGTGACCGCCTTCGAGCGCGCAGATGGCGGGCCGCCCCTGCTGCTTGCTGTGTAGATGCCCTTCTCTCCGACTCCCGCATTAACTTTTGCCGCTTTCCGCCCCTCTCCTGGGATTGCCTCTCTCTTCAACCAGAGTCTCAGTCTCGTCAAATCTCTCCACCACATCAGGCTTTATAGGGAGGGAGGAGGCTCCCACGGGAGGTAAACACCAGGCCTTGCGTAACGCCTCATCTGGTTCTCCTGCTTCCCGGGTAAGGTTTGGGGGAGCAGGGAGGGGAGAATAGCACACCTGGTTCCCAGAGCCTAGGAGGCGGTCACTAGAGGGCGCTCTGGGGCGGGGTAGCCCTGTGTGGGGAGGGTAGCCCCCTGTGACCCCCCGAAGAGCCCCAATTTTACCTTCCCCTCCGCCTGTGGTACGCGCATGGGCCGGGTGCCCAGGCTCACTCTTGGCATGTGCGCCCACATTGCCAAGGTGCGAGTCATTCCAGGTGGCTGGCACACCTACATCTGGGGGCTGGGGGCCGGAAGCACAGATCCTGGTTTGTGTGGCTTTGGCAAGCCTCTGAGTGTTGATGTGTGGTTTTCATTCCTGGTGCCTCTCGCCTTTCCATCTTCCTTCCTTACCTATTAAGGGCTTAAGGGCATTCTGCAGCTCTGGGGTAAGGGGTGGGGAGCAGGCGCCCACACTTCGGCCTCAGGGAGTCGGGGCAGAGCTCTTTCAGCTCTACCTCTGGCCAGCTCCCAGGGCCTCTCCTTACTTTCTTCGTAAGTCTCTCTTTCTGGTTCTTTCTCTCTGTTTTTCCCCGTGTGTGATTTTATTACCAGTTTTCTCTTTCCTTCCTTCTTTGGAATGTACCCGGTATTATCTATTTCAACTCTGGTAGTTCACAGAGGCCCAGAGAACTGGAATAGCCAAGGTCACATAGCAAGGGAATGACCAGAAGTGGAGCCCTACCCTGGTCTTCTGACTTGTGTTCTTGCTGTGAGTCAACCCTGCCTTTTTCAGTTGCAGATCCCTGGGACCCCCTCCTGCTTCCTGATTTTTTTCTGGTGTTCCTTTGTGCCTTCATTCCTCACCTCCATTCTCTCTTTTTCTCCTTACCTGCTCCTCTCCCCACCTCTCCTCTTCCTCCCTGCTCCCTCCTCTTCCTAGCTTCTCTACCCTTCCAATGCCAGGCCTAGCTAACTGGATACTCATGGGGGTTTGTGCATAAGTAAACATCCAGATGTCTACAACTATGATCACCCACACTGTTATATAACATGTGTCTGCATCCATCAGTGTCCAAATGCCCAAATGTGCACAAACTTGCAGACAGAAGCATTCATGTAATACAAACATCACAGCTAAATATAATGTGTATGAATAGCCTCATATGCATTGAATATCACTGGGATAAATGTCCAGTATTATTTAGGAACAGACGGACATGCTCAAAGAAAACAGGCAAAGAGACAGATACTCTATCATCAGTTTTATTATTAATAAGAATAACAGTATAACAGCAGTAAGTCTTTATGGAGCAGCAGGACTTTATTAGGCACCCCCTCCAGGCACTCTTCTTCTGCCTCCCCCATACTTATCGGGGAGACACTCAAATATGACACCCTGATAAACAAACCTACACAAACAAACACACGTACATTCATCTTGGAACAACCCTCCCGGCTCAGTGCTCATAAAACACACAGATACCCAAGCATAAGACTACAGTTGTGACTGAAATCTATTTTGTAAAAGATGCACTTCTATGCTCTGATAGGTAGCATAGAGAGATAGCAGCATGAGAAGTGATCGGCCTGACATTGCTGGCTTTGGAGACTGAGGCAGGAAGCCACAAGCTAAGGAAGTGGGTAACCTCTGGAAGCTGCAAAAGACGAGGGAATGGATTCTCTAGCAGACCATTCAGAAGGAACCTAGCACTGCTGACACCTTAATTTTTGCCCAGTAAGACCCATTTCAGACTCTGAACTACAGAATAATAAAGTAACAAATGTGTATTGTTTCAAGCTCCTAAGTTTGTGGTAATTTGTTACAGTATCAATAGGAAACTAATACACAAGATTGCCTTTTCTCCTCCAGTCTCTGACTCTCTGAGTCTGTTTGCACTTCTGTGTTGTTGCACCTTCCAGTTTGTCATATTTTCTGGATGTCTCTGCCTCTCTTGACCTTCTTTTCAGTCTCATGTTATCTCTTTTCCTTCATTGTCCTGGCTTATCCCCAACTCCAAGGCCTCTCAGGATCTTTTTGGATCTGGGCTTGAAGTACTGGAGAAATGTCTCTGAGACTCCTCAAGAACCTCAATTGTCACCAATCCAAGTGCCTTGCTATGGCCCTCATGGGCTTGTCAGCGGTTAACAGCTTCAGTTGCACATTAGAATTATCTGGGAAACTTTAAAACTCCTGATGCCCAAGTGACACCTCAGACCAATTAAACGGACACCCTGGGGGTGGGTCCCAGGTGTCAGTACTTTTAAAAGCTTTCCAGATGGTTGCAGTGTTTAGCTAACAGGAGAACCATGGTCTTGAATGACGGCTGTTCATGTGGGCTGGTCACTCCATTTTGCTCCTTGTGCTCTGGCTGCAGTGCCTTCTACTTCTCGTTCCCCGAGCCACTGCTGGTGCGGCTGCACCGCCTTTGCACTCACTGTTCCCTCTGCCTGGGCCCCTGCTCCTCCAGAGCTTCACATGGCTTTCTCCATTTTCTCACTCATGTCTCAACCCAAAGGTAACATTCAGAGAGGACTTCTTTTACCACTTGTATCTCAAGTGGTCTTTCTCAAAGGTATTCACTATCTCTTTACCCATATTTATTATCTTCATGCTATTTATTACTGTCTGCAGTGATCTATTTATGGACTTTTGATGTGTCTCTGTCCAATAGAAGGTGAGTGAACAGGGACCTAACCTTCATGTTTGCTGCTGCTTTCCCTGCACCTAGAATAGCACCTGGCACACAGTCAGCCTTAATAAACTTAGGTCCAGTTGTTGAATTGCTCATTACACTGATTGGACAACCTGAGAGGGTCATTTGATTGACTCTGCTTAGACCTTCTTATCCTTCTCAACCAATAGTCATGCCTCACTGGCAGATGCCAGGCATAGTGCTGGGAAACGCTCAGGTGTTATAAGACATATGGTGCTCAGTCTGGCTAGGAAGTTCATGACTAGTTGTCATTTGCCTTCCATAACCAGATGGTGAGGATTCCTGCTAACAAAGCATCAGCTCAACCTTTACGTCCAGGTTACAATGAGTTCATACCTAATGGTTCCAGGACACCAGTAAGGGAAAAGGCATTTGGAGACAGACTCTGCCTGGAAACATCTCACTTCTCAAGACCTTCTCCCTCCCTTTCCAGAATCCCTAACAACTCTATACTTGATGCTCTAATCACCACTGAGTTCATTCTATTTCCAGAGAGCCAGAAGGGTGGATGTGATTTTACGTGTGTCAGCTTGGCTTGGCTTGATCCAGTTGACCATGACGGGATCCTGTCTCTCTGCTAGGATCCACATCTTCCTTCCTTAATGTAGGTGTCTCCTAAATAACTGTTCCCACCCCTTTCCAACTCCTTCCAGGATTCCTACTTGTGGTGTTGTGGAGTGTGACAGCTTGATACCCATGCATGGCACTAGGGAATGTCAGAGGTGGGACAGGCCTTGACCCATCCCTTCTTTTCCTTCTCTTCATTTTTTTCTTCTATCCTTTCATTTATCCTTCAGTCTCTCTCCTCCATATTAGCAACATCCTCATGCTTTTAAAAGCCCCACTAGTCTTTAGAAGCTTTCCAGAGGGAGAGATAAGTATGATAGAGGAGTTTGGGAGACTGATCACAGGACAGTCATGGTCCCTGCCCTTAGGAAGTGTGATAAGGCAGGTAAAGTGTATCCATCATCAACAAAATTTAGCATTACTGAATTAGGGTGTGTAAGAAGGCAGATAAAGTGTATCCATCATCAACCTAAATCTGTCATTACCAAATTTTAAAGGTGCAGTGACGGGGGAAGAGTGAGGGAGGATTCTGTTGACAGATTGAAGGACAAGTGGGAATCATTTCAGGAAGTCTTCCAGGAGGAGGTGACCTGTAAAAGAAGTGAAGGTTGTGTTGACTGGAAGAGAAGTGAAAAGGCCTGAACAAAGAATGTGAAGCATCTCTGGGGAGAAAACTGGATTGGGAAAAGAAGGGCTAGGAGGTAAGAAATCAAAATGAAGGAGACCATAATTCTTTCTCAATTCCCACTCACTATGCCCTTCCCAAAGATTTTCTTCAATCTTGATTGTTTCTATAATGACTCATTTTTTTAAGGACTTGGATGTTTACACTGTGCTTTAACATAGCTGGAAATTCTATTAGACCAGAGCAGTTTTCCTATGCAACTACTCCAAGGACTCTGAGTAAAACTTGCCCTGATGGGGGAGGCAGTTTTAGGAGGGGTGGCTTGAGGCAGGGATAGAGGAAGAATATCCAGCCAGATTAATCCAATCAATCTTGATACTCAAATACATGACTATGTTATAGAAATGTCACCTTCATAGTCCATTCTCTCATTTAACCCTATAATAGCCGTGAGGCCAAGTCCAGCCATGTTACACTGAGGCCCCTGGGATTCTGGCATGGTAAGGGATTTGACTAGGCTCAAACAGCCGGCAGGAGGCAGAGCCAGGACTGAAATTCAAACCTGCTGGCTCCAAAGTCTATATTCTTTTCCTTAAATATTAATTTCTTTCTTTTGAGACTTTACTTTCTCTTTTCTGTCCCTCCTGGAAGGCTCCTTCCTTTCTCTCCCTTTAAATCCCTGCTTAGGGCTAACAGTTTCTCTGAAATGTTGCCCATCCTTCAAGTTCATGTAGGTGCTCACTTATTCTCTTTCCTTCCAACAACCCACCTATCAATGTCACTAATATTTCTATCCATCATTTAAATTCTCCCCTAAATGTTCACTATTTGTCTTCTCAGTTTTCTTATTTATTTATTTATTTATTATTATTATACTTTAAGTTTTAGGGTACATGTGCACAATGTGCAGGTTAGTTACATATGTATACACGTGCCATGCTGGTGCGCTGCACCCACCAACTCGTCATCTAGCATTAGGTATACCTCCCAATGCTATCCCTCCCCCCTGCCCTCACCCCACAACAGTCCCCAGAGTGTGATGTTCCCCTTCCTGTGTCCACGTGTTCTCATTGTTCAATTCCCACCTATGAGTGAGAATATGCGGTGTTTGGTTTTTTGTTCTTGCGATAGTTTACTGAGAATGATGATTTCCAATTTCATTCATGTCCCTACAAAGGACATGAACTCATCATTTTTTATGACTGCATAGTATTCCATGGTGTATATGTGCCACATTTTCTTAATCCAGTCTATCATTGTTGGACATTTGGGTTGGTTCCAAGTCTTTGCTATTGTGAATAATGCCACAATAAACATACGTGTGCATGTGTCTTTATAGCAGCATGATTTATAGTCCTCTGGGTATATAACCAGTAATGGGATGGCTGGGTCAAATGGTATTTCTAGTTCTAGATCCCTGAGGAATCGCCACACTGACTTCCACAATGGTTGAACTAGTTTACAGTCCCACCAACAGTGTAAAAGTGTTCCTATTTCTCCACATCCTCTCCAGCACCTGTTGTTTCCTGACTTTTTAATGATTGCCATTCTAACTGGTGTGAGATGGTATCTCATTGTGGTTTTGATTTGCATTTCTCTGATGGCCAGTGATGGTGAGCATTTTTTCATGTGTTTTTTGGCTGCATAAATGTCTTCTTTTGAGAAGTGTCTGTTCATGTCCTTCGCCCATTTTTTGATGGGGTTGTTTGTTTTTTTCTTGTAAATTTGTTTGAGTTCATTGTAGATTCTGGATATTAGCCCTTTGTCAGATGAGTAGGTTGCGAAAATTTTCTCCCATTTTGTAGGTTGCCTATTCACTCTGATGGTAGTTTCTTTTGCTGTGCAGAAGCTCTTTAGTTTAATTAGATCCCATTTGCCAATTTTGGCTTTTGTTGCCATTGCTTTTGGTGTTTTAGACATGAAGTCCTTGCCCATGCCTATGTCCTGAATGGTAATGCCTAGGTTTTCTTCTAGGGTTTTTATGGTTTTAGGTCTAACATTTAAGTCTTTAATCCATCTTGAATTAATTTTTGTATAAGGTGTAAGGAAGGGATCCAGTTTCAGCTTTCTACATATGGCTAGCCAGTTTTCCCAGCACCATTTATTAAATAGGGAATCCTTTCCCCATTGCTTGTTTTTCTCAGGTTTGTCAAAGATCAGATACTTGTAGATATGCGGCCTTATTTCTGAGGGCTCTGTTCTGTTCCATTGATCTATATCTCTGTTTTGGCACCAGTACCATGCTGTTTTGGTTACTGTAGCCTTGTAGTATAGTTTGAAGTCAGGTAACGTGATGCCTCCAGCTTTGTTCTTTTGGCTTAGGATAGACTTGACGATGCGGGCTCTTTTTTGGTCCCATATGAACTTTAAAGTAGTTTTTTCCAATTCTGTGAAGAAAGTCATTGGTAGCTTGATGGGGATAGCATTGAATCTGTAAATTACCTTGGGCAGTATGGCCATTTTCACGATATTGATTCTTCCTACCCATGAGCATGGAATGTTCTTCCATTTGTTTGTATCCTCTTTTATTTCCTTGAGCAGTGGTTTGTAGTTCTCCTTGAAGAGGTCCTTCACATCCCTTATAAGTTGGATTCCTAGGTATTTTATTCTCTTTGAAGCAATTGTGAATGGGAGTTCACTCATGATTTGGCTCTGTGTTTGTCTGTTGTTGGTGTATAAGAATGCTTGTGACTTTTGTACATTGATTTTGTATCCTGAGACTTTGCTGAAGTTGCTTATCAGCTTAAGGAGATTTTGGGCTGAGACAATGGGGTTTTCTAGATATACAATCATGTCGTCTGCAAACAGGAACAATTTGACTTCCTCTTTTCCTAATTGAATACCCTTTATTTCCTTCTCCTGACTAATTGCCCTGGCCAGACCTTCCAACACTATGTTGAATAGGAGTGGTGAGAGAGGGCATCCCTGTCTTGTGCCAGTTTTCAAAGGGAATGCTTCCAGTTTTTGCCCATTCAGTATGATATTGGCTGTGGGTTTGTCATAGATAGCTCTTATTATTTTGAAATACATCCCATCAATACCTAATTTATTGAGAGTTTTTAGCATGAAGCGTTGTTGAATTTTGTCAAAGGCCTTTTCTGCATCTATTGAGATAATCATGTGGTTTTTGTCTTTGATTCTGTTTATATGCTGGATTACATTTATTGATTTGTGTATATTGAACCAGCCTTGCATCCCAGGGATGAAGCCCACTTGATCATGGTGGATAAGCTTTTTGATGTGCTGCTGGATTTGGTTTGCCAGTATTTTATTGAGGATTTTTGCATCAATGTTCATCAAGGATATTGGTCTAAAATTCTCTTTTTTGGTTGTGTCTCTGCCCAGCTTTGGTATCAGGATGATGCTGGCCTCATAAAATGAGTTAGGGAAGATTCCCTCTTTTTCTATTGATTGGAATAGTTTCAGAAGGAATGGTACCAGTTCCTCCTTGTACCTCTGGTAGAATTCGGCTGTGAATCCATCTGGTCCTGGACTCTTTTTGGTTGGTAAGCTATTGATTATTGCCACAATTTCAGATCCTGTTATTGGTCTATTCAGAGATTCAGCTTCTTCCTGGTTTAGTCTTGGGAGAGTGTATGTGTCAAGGAATTTATCCATTTCTTCTAGATTTTCTAGTTTATTTGCATAGAGGTGTTTGTAGTATTCTCTGATGGTAGTTTCTGTTTCTGTGGGATCGGTGATGATATCCCCTTTATCATTTTTTATTGTGTCTATTTGATTCTTCTCTCTTTTTTCTTTATTAGTCTTGCTAGCGGTTTATCAATTTTGTTGATCCTTTCAAAAAACCAGCTCCTGGATTCATTAATTTTTTGGAGGGTTTTTTTGTGTCTCTATTTCCTTCAATTCTGCTCTGATTTTAGTTATTTCTTGCCTTCTGCTAGCTTTTGAATGTGTTTGCTCTTGCTTTTCTAGTTCTTTTAATTGTGATTATAGGGTGTCAATTTTAGATCTTTCCTGCTTTCTCTTGTGGGCATTTAGTGCTATAAATTTCCCTCTACACACTGCTTTGAATGCGTCCCAGAGATTCTAGTATGTTGTATCTTTGTTCTCGTTGGTTTCAAAGAACATCTTTATTTCTGCCTTCATTTCGTTATGTACCCAGTAGTCATTCAGGAGCAGGTTGTTCAGTTTCCATGTAGTTGAGCGGTTTTGAGTGAGATTCTTAATCCTGAGTTCTAGTTTGATTGAACTGTGGTCTGAGAGATAGTTTGTTATAATTTCTGTTCTTTTACATTTGCTGAGGAGAGCTTTACTTTCAAGTATGTGGTCAATTTTGGAATAGGTGTGGTGTGGTGCTGAAAAAAATGTATATTCTGTTGATTTGGGGTGGAGAGTTCTGTAGATGTCTATTAGGTCTGCTTGGTGCAGAGCTGAGTTCAATTCCTGGGTATCCTTGTTAACTTTCTGTCTTGTTGATCTGTCTAATGTTGACAGTGGGGTGTTAAAGTCTCCCATTATTAATGCATGGGAATCTAAGTCTCTTTGTAGGTCACTCAGGACTTGCTTTATGAATCTGGGTGCTCCTGTATTGGGTGCATATATATTTGGGATAGTTAGCTCTTCTTGTTGAATTGATCCCTTTACCATTATGTAATGGCCTTCTTTGTCTCTTTTGATCTTTGTTGGTTTAAAGTCTGTTTTATCAGAGACTAGGATTGCAACCCCTGCCTTTTTTTGTTTTCCATTGGCTTGGTAGATCTTCCTCCATCCTTTTATTTTGAGCCTATGTGTGTCTCTGCACGTGAAATGGGTTTCCTGAATACAGCACACTGATGGGTCTTGACTCTTTATCCAATTTGCCAGTCTGTGTCTTTTAATTGGAGCATTTAGTCCATTTACATTTAAAGTTAATATTGTTATGTGTGAATTTGATCCTGTCATTATGATGTTAGCTGGTTATTTTGCTCATTAGTTGATGCAGTTTCTTCCTAGTCTCAATGGTCTTTACATTTTGGCATGATTTTGCAGCAGCTGGTACTGGTTGTTCCTTTCCATGTTTAGTGCTTCCTTCAGGAGCTCTTTTAGGGCAGGCCTGGTGGTGACAAAATCTCTCAGCATTTGCTTGTCTGTAAAGGATTTTATTTCTCCTTCACTTATGAAGCTTAGTTTGGCTGGATATGAAATTCTGGGTTGAAAATTCTTTTTTTTAAGAATGTTGAATATTGACCCCCACTCTCTTCTGGCTTGTAGAGTTTCTGCCGAGAGATCCGCTGTTAGTCTGATGGGCTTCCCTTTGAGGGTAACCCGACCTTTCTCTCTGGCTGTTCTTAACATTTTTTCCTTCATTTCAACTTTGGTGAATCTGACAATTACGTGTCTTGGAGTTGCTCTTCTCGAGGAGTATCTTTGTGGCGTTCTCTGTATTTCCTGAATCTGAACGTTGGCCTGCCTTGCTAGATTGGGGAAGTTCTCCTGGATAATATCCTGCAGAGTGTTTTCCAACTTGGTTCCATTCTCCCCGTCACTTTCAGGTACACCAATCAGATGTAGATTTGGTCTTTTCACATAGTCCCATATTTCTTGGAGGCTTTGCTCGTTTCTTTTTATTCCTTTTTCTCTAAACTTCCCTTCTCGCTTCATTTCATTCATTTCATCTTCCATCGCTGATACCCTTTCTTCTAGTTGATCGCATCAGCTCCTGAGGCTTCTACATTCTTCACGTAGTTCTCGAGCCTTGGTTTTCAGCTCCATCAGCTCCTTTAAGCACTTCTCTGTATTGGTTATTCTAGTTATTCATTCTTCTAAATTCTTTTCAAAGTTTTCAACTTCTTTGCCTTTGGTTTGAATGTCCTCCCATAGTTCGGAGTAATTTGATCGTCTGAAGCCTTCTTCTCTCAGCTCGTCAAAGTCATTCTCCGTCCAGCTTTGTTCCATTCCTGGTGAGGAACTGCATTCCTTTGGAGGAGGAGAGGAGCTCTGCTTTTTAGAGTTTCCAGTTTTTCTGCTCTGTTTTTTCCCCATCTTTGTGGTTTTATCTACTTTTGGTCTTTGACGATGGTGATGTACAGATGGTTTTTTTGTGTGGATGTCCTTTCTGTTTGTTAGTTTTCCTTCTAACAGACAGGACCCTCAGCTGCAGGTCTGTTAGAGTACCCGGCCGTGTGAAGTGTCAGTCTGCCCCTGCTGGGGGGTGCCTCCCAGTTAGGCTGCTCGGGGGTCAGGGGTCAGGGACCCACTTGAGGAGGCAGTCTGCCCGTTCTCAGATCTCCAGCTGCGTGCTGGGAGAACCACTGCTCTCTTCAAAGCTGTCAGACAGGGACATTTAAGTCTGCAGAGGTTACTGCTGTCTTTTTGTTTGTCTGTGCCCTGCCCCCAGAGGTGGAGCCTACAGAGGCAGGCAGGCCTCCTTGAGCTGTGGTGGGCTCCACCCAGTTCGAGCTTCCCGGCTGTTTTGTTTACCTCAGCAAGCCTGGGCAATGGCGGGCGCCCCTCCTCCAGCCTCGCTGCCACCTTGCAGTTTGATCTCAGACTGCTGTGCTAGCAATCAGCGAGACTCTGTGGGCGTAGGACCCTCTGAGCCAAGTGCGGGATATAATCTCCTGGTGCGCCGTTTTTTAAGCCCGTCGGAAAAGCGCAGTATTCGGGTGAGAGTGACCCGATTTTCCAGGTGCCCTCTGTCACCCCTTTCTTTGACTAGGAAAGGGAACTCCCTGACCCCTTGTGCTTCCTGAGTGAGGCAATGCCTCGCCCTGCTTCGGCTCACGCACGGTGCGCGCACCCACTGACCTGTGCCCACTGTCTGGCACTCCCTAGTGAGATGAACCTCAGATGGAAATGCAGAAATCACCTGTCTTCTGCGTTGCTCACGCTGGGAGCTGTAGACCGGAGCTGTTCCTATTTGGCCATCTTGGCTCCTCCCCCCATCTTCTCAGTTTTCTCAAGGCCTTCTTGTTCTCCAAGCCCTTAGCAGTTTCCATTTTTTTTTTTTTGTTTGTTTGTTTGTTTGTGACAGAGTCTCGCTCTGTCACCAGGCTGGAGTGCAGTGGCATGAGCTCAGTTCACTACAACCTCTGCCTCCTGGGTTCAAGCGATTCTCCTAGCTTAGCCTCCCAAGTAGCTGGGACTACAGGCACATGCCACCACACCCAGCTAATTTTTGTATTTTTAGTAGAGATGGGGTTTTGTCATGTTTGCCAGGCTGGTCTTGAACTCCTTACCTCAGGTGATCTGCCTGCTTCAGCCTACCAAAGTGCTAGGATTACAGGTGTGAGCCACTGCACCTGGCCAGCAGTTTCCTTTTAAGAGCTGTGCATTCATTCATCCATTCATTTAATCATTCAACAACTATTTACTAAGCACCTACTATGTACCATGCGTTGTTCTAGGAGTTAGGAAGAGTGGAGAGCAAGCCAGCCATAGTCCCTTGTCCTCTGGTAATTTAGATTCCATTGAAAAAGGCCAACAATAAGCAAGTAAACAAATAAATTAACAAGATAATTATAGATTGTGATCAGTGCTTTGAAGAATACAAAGTGGGTAATATAAGAGGAATTAACTGGAGGAGGTGTGCACTACTTTTAATAGGATGTTAGAAAAAGCTCCTCTGAGAAGGTGAAGAGAGGGAGCCAGCAATGAGAAGAGTTGGGAGAGAGCAACAACAGCAGATGCAAAGACCCTGAAGTGGGAAAGATCTTGAACGTATGAAGTGGGATGACAATGGTTTGATGTGAGATTGGAGAGGTACTAAGAGCCAAGCTGTGTAGGACCTTAGGGACCAGGATAAGGAGTTGATCGTTGTTCTAAGAGCAGTGGAATGCCACTGAGTAGCTGTAAGTGTGATATTTACGTGGTCTAATGGATTGATTGATTGATTGATTGATTGTAGAGATGGGATCCGGCTGTGTTGCCCAGGCTGATCTCAAGCTCCTGGCTTCAATCAATCCTCCCACTTTGGCCTCATCTCCCAAAGAGCTGAGATTATAGGCATAAGCTACCACACTCAGCATGATTTATGTATTTTGAAGCTCATTTTGTCCTAGTAGTCTTTTCTCTCAGTTTTCTTTTTCTAATTCCTATTCCCCTTCACATTATTTACATTCAAGACGATCATCTCATTTCCATGTCCACTTCCCCATCGGGGAGAATAGGTCTTCCAAACAAGGTATTTATTAACCTGTACAAGGATCGCTAGTAAGTGCACCAAATATAGCTAATTTGATTCTGGCTCCCACCTCTATTAAAGACTTCAAAGAATCATAGATTTGTAGAATGCTAGAGTTGTAGGGAACATTAACAATGTGTAGTCTAGCCCTTACAACATGGATAAGAAAATTGATTCCCAGAGAGATGATCTTGCTGGTGTGTAAGTAGGGAAAACTTTCGGATCCTCATCTGTCAAGAATGCAGGAGCAGGTTCCTTCCTGTCTTTTAGGCGCCTGTTTCAATTAAGAAAAAAAAATATTGGCTGGGCACGGTGGCTCATGCCTGTAATCCCAACACTTTGGGAGGCTGAGTTGGGCAGATCACAAGGTCAAGAGATCGAGACCATCCTGGCCAACATGGTGAAACCCCGTCTCTACTAAAAATACAAAAGTTAGCTGGGCATGGTGGCACATGATGTAGTCACAGCTACTTAGGAGGCTGAGGCAGGAGAATTGCTTGAACTCAGGAGGCAGAGGTTGCAGTGAGCAAGATCACTCCACTGCACTCCAGCCTGGCGACAGAGCGAGACTCCGTCTCAAAAAAAAAAAAAAAAAAAAAAAAAAAAAAAAAAAAGTCAGGATGTCCTAACTGGTTTATTGGCTTCAAGGTCAATCACCATAGGTCAGTAGTGCTGCAGCTACTGCTAGCATAGCAGCCACGGGCCCAGCTGCCCTACCCCCATGCACATTTCATGTTTATTGGGGCTCATCCATGCTCTTCTATAGGAAAATAGCCTCTACCTCACTTCTGCATTTCAAATCTCATAGAAATACATTTAGTTGGAAGGACTTAATTCATGTCCAGAATCCTAGCTCCAAAAATTCTGAGAAATAGAGTTTTTTACTTTTCAATCTCTTCAATAGAAAGGAAATGAGGTCATTCCATATATGTAGGTTTGGCAGATAAAATGCAGAACATCCAGTTAAATTTGAATTTCAGATAAACAATGATTTTTTAGTATAAGTATCTCCCAAATACTGCATGGGGCATACTTACACAAAATACTTGTTTATTATTTATCTAAAATTCAGATTTAAATGGACATCCTGTACTTTTATTTGATAAATCTGACATTTTGACAAATCTCCAGCACAGAGACTGAGAGCAGAAGTCCTTAATTTAGATGGGGGACATTGAGGAAGGCCCATCTTCCAAGGTGATATTTAAGGGGAGACCTGAGAGATGAATAAGAGATCATCATGCTCAAAGAGGAGAGAAGGGCATTGCAGGCACAGGTAACAGCTTTGCAACAGCCTAGAGGCAAGAACAATTTGGGCTAATTTAAGCAAAGTTGACACATGATGAGTTAGGAGTAAAGATGGCACAAGATAATAATGAAGACGTAGGCAGAGACTAGAGCAAGTGAAATCTTAAGTTTTAGTAGTGGAATAAACAAGAGTGGAATGGGGGAGACCCAGGGTCACTACCTGCTAATGGCATTCCCAGAGTTGTATACGGCAGTCATCCCAAAGAGAGAAAACTATGCCAGTAATTTAGGTGAGAAAGGATGATGGCTTGAGATAGTGGGATCCAGTGGAGCTGAAAATGAGCAGGCCAATTTGAAGTGTATTTTGTAGATAGAATTGACAAAAACATTGAAGTGGCCTTTGGGTGATGAGGGAGGGGAAAATCAATCATGAATTTCTAATTTCTGGAATGGATGACTGTGTAATTGCAAGGCTGTTACAGAAATGGGCTACATACTTAATGAGCTTTGGATGTTGAGATGGGATCACAAGAGAGGGGGTAAAGACAAAGTGATGAGATATTTTGTTTCAGTTGGACCACAGTCCACAATAACTGCTTCTCCTCTCTGCAGAATATTCACTAACATGCACGAGACCTGTTTGCTCTGTCCTTCTCTCCTTCCTCCCTGCCCTCCCCTTCATCATTTTCTCCTTTTTATTCTCTGTCCTTTCTTTCTGTTCTGTAGTCATCCTATTTCCTTGACAGAATCGAAGCCTCAGCCAGTGAGATAGATGGAGTGTAGGCAGCTAGAAATGGAAAGGATTCCTGTGCTTCTGTGATTCACAGTCTCCCAGTGGGCCTTTAAACCATTTAACCTCTGTTGTCCAGACCCCAGGAAGAGGGGAGGCTGGAAGAGGGAAAAGAACTTGGACTGGAGCAGCAGGGGAGGCCCTGGAGGAAGGAGCAGGTATCATCCTCCAGCAAATGGGCAATCCATTAGTCCAAACTCCTCATTTTAAAATTGAAAAAACTGAAGCCTTTGCCCATTTTGACTAAACCAGATAAGAAATTATACAGTATGAAGGAACATTGACACCACTTAGAAACAGTAGGGTGTCAAGATTTGACTTGACTCTTGTTAGTTTTGTGACTATAAAGTGAAAACAATTATATCAAAAAATTTGTTTTAGGGATGATAAAAGTAATTTATACTTATTCGTTCAAAAGTACTTATTAAGGACCTACTATGTGCAGATACAGTGTTGAAAGCTAGGGACTCAGTGGAGATCAACACAGACAGGAACCTGGCCTCATGGGAATTCTAAACTCTAGCGGGGAGAACAGCTCATTAACAAATAAATAAGTGTAATGTATGGTAGGTACCACGAAGCAACATAAAGCTGGGAAGAAAGACACAAATGCTAGCATAGTTTTCTCTCTTTGGGATGACTGCCTTATACAACTCTGGGGAATGCCATTAGCAAGTAGTGGCCTCGGATCTTCCCCCATTGCACTCTTGCCTATTCCACTACTAAAACCTAAGTTTTTGCTTGCTCTAATCTCTAAGTCTTCATTATTATCTTGTGCCATCTTTACTCCCAACTCATCATGCGTCAACTTTGCTTAAATTAGCCCAAATTGTTCTTGCCTCTAGGTTGATGCAAAGCTGTTACCTGTGCCTGGGATGCCCTTCTCTCCTCTCTGAGCATGATGATCTCTTATTCATCTCTCAGGTCTGCCCTTAAATATCACCTAGAGAGATGGGCCTTCTCAATGCTGGATGGAGTGCTGGATGGAGTAGATAGAGTTACAATCTCAATAGATTCTATTTGAGCAAAGATTTGAAGGTGGTAAGAGAAGTCGTCAAGTGCTTATCTGAAGGAAGGATCATCCAGATGAAAGGAAAGGCAGAGGCAAAGGCTGTGATGCTGAAGCTGCTGATGTGTTTGAGATTTAACATGAGGCCATGTGGCTGGAGCAGAGGGAGCAGCGGGTGTGGAGTAGGAAGTCAGAGATGGGACTGGCCGACTGTGCAGGGCTTTGTCATTGTCAGGACTTCATTCAGTACTGGGTGAGGTGAGCCTACCAGGGGTTGGAGTTGGTGGGAAGGGGCTGACTTCTGGACGTGAGTTACTGCATTGGTTGTGGAGTGTGAGAGCAAAGGAGGAGGCAGGAAGCTCTAACGAATTTGGCCCCACCATGGGGAGGATGGAGCTGCCAGTGACTGCAGTGGGAAGAACTGTGAGGAGCTGGCCTGGGCAGGAATATCAGGGGTGGCATGTTGGACATGTGAAGCCAGGAGGCCTGTGGGCCATCCAACAGTGCTGTGAACTGTGCAGCCCGATGTAAGCATATCTGACATTAGGAGTGGTGGAGAAACAAAAAGAACAAGGATAGTTCATTTTAACACAGTAATAATTTTATAATTTTATAATTTTCAAATCATTAAAGATTTTACTACTTTCTTAACTACTCCAGGAGCCTGTGTCACATTCCAGTCACAGGGAGGAAACTGGGGGCCATGCAGGATAAAGGTCAAAGCCTGCATGCTGGGACTCAAGTGCTTCCTCCCCAACAGTATTAGAACACCAACTCCCAGGAGCACAGAGACTTGAAGAGAGTGTCCGGGTCGTGGACTATGAGTCAGAGAAACCAAGCCAGGGGCATGCAAGGCAGCACGAGGCAGAGCAGGGAAACCCAGCAAGGGAGGTGGCAACGCACAGTGACCTAGAAAAGCCTGATGAGCTGAGAGCCAGCCGACAACAGGCCCCATGTGCCTCTGTGTCTTGGTCCACATGATAGACTCTCCCTCCCTCCCTTCCTTCCTCTCCTCTGGTGACCAGTAGCTAAAACATCACTGGCACGCTGCTGGCATCCAGCCTGCCAATTAGTTCAGGAGCCACTCCCTCTGACTGCCTCCTGAGCCTCAGATGTTACCTCCCCTGTCTCCCAAACACACCCCTCCAGCTCTGTCCTGCCTGCCCTGAATCTCTGGAAGGAAAACTTGCCCTGGGACCTGCCTTGGACTCTCTGGTTCCCCTCATCCAGCCCCTCCCTGCGCAGAACATGGCATCTCGTGCCCTTTTATCTGCCATTTCTGGCCACCTTTGCAAGCGTCCTTGAAACCAGCGCTTGGTAGAGTTATCCACGCCCATGTGAGGCTCCCCTGCCCCCTGGGTGGTGTATGTGGCAGGAGGAGCAGGGAGGAGCTTCAAGGAAGCAGAGGGAAAGGAACCTATAAGAGTTCTTGGGATGGCTTCCAGGAAGCTGTGAGGACAGAGCTATGCTGAAAGGAGAAAGGCAAAGGCTACAGAAAAGTGAACACTGAAGAGGAATTAGGCAAGAACAAAGCCTACCAAGTTAGAAGAAGGGAATGAGAGGGCGAAACAACAGCACCAGAAAGGAATGAGGTTGCCGGGCACGGTGGCTCATACCTGTAATCCCAGCACTTTGGGAGGCCGAGGCAGGCGAACCACCTGAGGTCGGGAGTTCGAGACCAGCCTGACCAACATGGAGAAACCCTGTCTCTACTAAAAATACAAAATTAGCTGGGTATGGTGGTGCATGTCTGTAATCCCAGCTACTCAGTGAGGCTGAGGCAGGAGAATCGCTTGAACCCGGGAGGCGGAGGTTGTGGTGAGCCGATGCGCCATTGCACTCCAGCCTGGGCAACAAGAGCAAAACTGCATCTCAAAAAAAAAAAAAAAGAAGAAAGAAAGAAAGAAAAAGAAAAAGAAAGGAATGAGGATCAGGAGTCGGGGGGAGAGACATGATCTTACAGAACGGGCTGGACCTGGGGAGAGGATTTTGTCAGAACTATGGAAAGTTTGAAATGAGGTTGAAGAAGGAGTGATGGTAATACTTTTTACATTTTTAGAACATCTTCTTATATTTTATTTCATCATTCATTCCTCATAGATCTCATTACCCCCATTTTACGGATCAAGAAACTGAGGCTCAGAGAGGTGATGTGAGTTGTCCAAGATCACACAGCTAATAAGAAGGTACATTCTCCTCTATACCACAGAGCACCTCTTCTGTGTGTGGCATATTACATAGAAAAATGAGATTAGACATTTAGAAGTTGAGGATTCTCATCCCGCAAACACTTATGGGGCACTTTTTATGTGCCAGGCAACATGCTAAGCACTGAAGATACTAAGACGCCCTGCTTTCAAAAGACTGACCTTCTGGTTAAGGAGTGATATGAGTGGTGCAAACCAGGTGGGGGGCGGGGCTGCCCATAGGCTGAGGGCTCCTCTGGGAGAGGGCAGCTTAGGGAAGCTTTTACAGCGGATGTCTGGGAAGAAGGGAACCACTTCCCCAGTGGGTGGTGGAAGGGGATAGCAGAGGGCATTTCAGGGAAAAGCAAGCAAGCAGAGTGTGTGGGAGAGCTCCAAGGAGTTGAGATCCACAAAAGAGGGATGTGTAGGGAGCTGGATGGAAAAGCTAAAGAAATAATGGGGAGAATAGTGATATTAATTAAATTTGTGATCTGTTTAAAACCATTGCATAGGGCAAGGCACAGTGGCTCATGCCTATAATCCCAGCACTTTGGGAGGGTGAGGCAGGAGGATCACTTAGCCCAGGAGTGAGAGACCAGCCTGGGCAACATAGCAAGATTTGTCCCAATGAAAAAAAATACTAAATGTTTTTAAAAGGCACAATGCATAGCTGTAATAACAGTTGAGGAGGAATCTTACAACTACAGTGTTAAAGGAGACAAAGGGTGTTTCTTCATTATGTTGCGGTGATGGAAACTTAAATGAGATAAGGATATATTTGAGTCTTCCTATATGCCAGATGGCATGCAAAATGTTTTTATATACATTATGTAATTGAATTCATGTAACAGTGAAAAATAGTGAAGATGACCTATTTGGGTTGACATGAGAAGATCTATAAGATCGTGGTTAAAAGAAAAAGTCAGTGCAGAACATTATGTACTATAAATTATGACCCATAGTAAAGAAACACATACAGGGGAAGGGTTTTGGTCAGAGGGAGTACAGAGCCAGGGCAGCCAAGAGAAGGAGGTGTGTCTGAGCCTGGTGCAGGCTGCGTGCCTAGGGCTGGCACTGAGAGGGACATGGAGCTTGTCATACTGAGGGCATAACTCAATCCTGTTACACTAGGCAAGTCTCAGAGAATTTTCAAGTGGAAGTGAAACACACTCTGGTGACACAGGTTGTAGAGATTGTTCTGTCTGCAGGTGGATAGATTGGAGGCAGGAGGAGAGCAGTCAGGTAGGAGAGATCCCGTGGGGTGGACAAGCCTGGCCCCTGGAAACAGAGTCGGGGGAGAGGAAGCAAGGGTGAGAAACTGGGCTGAGGAAATGAGTGGGTGACAGATCTTCACATGGCTGGTAGGGGGAAAAAAAAGGAACACAGAACACAATTAGATTATTTTCAGGATTTTCATCGCAGTTATATATGCAAATAAAAAGTTAAACAAGTTGATGAGTTAATTTTTTAAAATGGCAGCCCTCACCCCCATCTCCACTACTTTCAACTCTTTTAGCTGTTTTGGTGTTCACCTTCACATCTGTAAATACAAGGATTATATTATTACTATTTGCTCTTCTAATTTTAGGCATTATCTATTATTGATTTGCTGTTATCAAAGATATAGCTTTTTCTTGTAACCACAACCTCACTTGATCCCACAAACACATATCCTCACTATTCCCACTGTCCCTGGTTTATAGCTATTTCAAATACACACACACACACACACACACACACACACACACACACATTTCTATGTGTATAAAACACAGATATGTAAATACACACAAACATGTCCTGAAGGATCAAATCAAACTAGGATTCAGGAAGATCATAGCTAAAGAAGACTTTCGGCTTGCACGGTGGCTCACACCTGTAATCCTAGCATTTTGGGAGGCCAAGGTGGGCGGATCACCCAAGGTCAGGAGTTCGAGACCAGCCAGACCAACATGGCAAAACCCCATCTCTACTAAAAGTACAAAAAATTAGCTGGGTGTGGTGGTGGGCACCTGTAATCCCAGCTACCTAAGAGACTGAGGCAAGAGAAGCCCTTGAACCCGGGAGGCTGAGGTTGCAGTGAGCTGAGATGTGCCAGTGCACTCCAGCCTGGGTGACAGAGCAAGGCTTCATAAAAACTTCATAAAAAAAAAAAAGAAGAAGAAGAAGAAGATTTGAACCAAAAGGTAGAGAAGCACAAGACAAGAGGCCGTGAAAAAGCAAGTCATGCATTGGTGAGTATGTGTGTGGAGGGCAGGGATGAGGAAAATTTCAGAACAGAATCAATTCAGCCTTGTGCAGAAAGGAATAATGAAGGCAGGAGGCAGCAACTTCAGGGCTGTCTGATTTGAAGGAAATATTAAAGCCTTTATCAGGAAAGGGGAATCACTAACAGTCAGACAGAAGCACCAGACTGAAGGAAAAAAGATCACAGCCCCATATCCTTAGAGAGTATCAGAGACCTCAGATGCCAGGCATCTGCCATGCTGTTGTTTTACTCTGCAGTGAGTCACTGGATCCTTGAAACTGGGGGCAAGGGTGAGATCATTACCCCAGAAGGCAGGGAGCAGAGACAACAAGGCCCTTGGGGTCCAGGCAGCTGAACCCGTCTGGTCAGAGGCCACTGTCACAAAACCAACAAAGAATTCATATCTAATAGGTTTTCCTCAGGGCTCAGATGAGTAGGTTTGGGAGTTACTGGGAGGCTGTGATACCAGGCAGGATGACAAACAAAAACAGTCAGCCAAGAAAACAAGCTTCAGAGTGTTTGCCCTGGGAGAACAATGGATGTCCGGGTAGAGCCAAAGCCACTGGCTCCTCCCTCCCCACAACTCAGAGCCACCAGGGACCTGGGCCACGTGTCCCTTTCCATGACCATGGGGTGTGTGACTGCGGGAGGCTGAAAGTGTCAGCACTGTGACCTGGAAATATATGCCTGGATTGGGGAGGTGGACACCTTGGAAATAAACTCCAGACTTCCTCTATTTGAAAAATTTTGTGGCCGGAAGCGTTGGCTCAAGCCTGTAATCTCAGCACTTTGGGAGGCCGAGGCAGGTGGATCACGAGGTCAGGAGATCGGACCAACTGGCTATGGTGAAACCCCATCTCTACTAAACAAAATACAAAAAATTAGCCGGGCATGGTGGCAGGCACCTGTAGTCCCAGCTACTGTGGAGGCTGAGGCAGGAGAATGGCATGAACCCGGGAGGCAGAGCTTGCAGTGAGCCGAGATCGCACCACTGCCCTCCAGCCTAGGCAACAGAGCAAGAGTCTGTCTCAAAAAAAAAAAAAAAAAAAGAAAAAAAAAAAAGAAAAGTTTTTTGCATTGAACTGGATTCTGCACATATCTATACACATGCTCCAATCCCACTAATTCATCTTTTTTCCCAATGCCCAACCTAAACACTGAGAGAAAAAAAAAGAGCAGCCTCTGACATTCAGAAGTTGGCCTAACAGAGCTAAACCATGTTATTCACCTAGTAGGCATAAACTATATTACAGAATACCAATCTCAGACAAGTTTACTCCTAGACCTTGATAAAGTGAGACAATGCAAGGCTGCTTCACAAGTTTTTCTGAGCACAGATCCAAAAAAAGACACTGTGCCACCCACAAAATACCAAACACCCCTTCTCTTGGTTAACAGAAATGTTTGCTACTTCTTTACCAATTATAGCTTTCCCCTCATTCTAGTCTCCCCTCCCTATAGAAAATATTTATTTGGGTATTCATTCACAGGATCTGCTCTGCTTTCTAACAGCATTAATCCAGAGCAAACCCCCACTTCCTTAGACCTTTCCCCAAATCACCTAACCAAAACCCAAACCCTATCATAGGTTTTTTCCTAACACTCTTATTAAAATGTCCCACACTCCCCATGGGGTGCATTCTCCATTGCTGCAAGGAGTAATAAACCCAGCATGTTTAATGACAGTTATGTTCCTGGGGGGTCTTTGGCTGGAAAACACGGGTAACAGTGTTCTTTGCTTCCTTCTTAACTCTCTGGGATCTACATTGAAGACCTGGCCCCATGTTGTGTGGGAGAAGCTGGTACAAAGGCAGGAGGTGCTCTTAGAAAGGACAAAACCAGTAATGCATTCACTCAACAAATATTTATGGAGCACCCACACATGCCACAGACTGTTCTAGGTACCAAGGACAATAGACAAATAAAGCAGGATCCCTGAATTTTTAGGAAGCTCTCAGTTGGGGTAGAGGTGAGAAACACACATAAACAGATCGTCTTGATTGTGGAGATTAGTGCAGTGATCAAAGTATGCCCTGGGGACTGCTATGTGCTTATAGATGTGGTGCCTAAACCAGTGTCGGAGAGGAGTGGGGGATCAAGAAAGGCTTTCAGGGAAGGAGGCGTTTGAGGCCCTGGAAGGCTGAGGACAAGCTAAGAAGAAGGAACAATGAAAGAGGGTCAGGGAGATGTAAACAGTGTGGTGAGTGGGGAATTTTAGGCAATTTGGCCTTTCTGGAGTGAAAAATGGGAAGCAGGTGGGGGCAGGGGTTAGGCTGAAGGCAGGCCAACGTGCAGTTCAGGCTTTATCCTTTAGAGAAGGGAGGCATTATTGAAAGTCCAACAAGTTCTAACATGACCAGATTATATTTTTAGAAATCATTTGAATATCTGCAACTTACTTTAAAATGCATAAAATTATAAGATGGATAGAAGGATGAAGGAATGGGTCGATGGAAACATATTTGATAAAGCAAGTACAGTAAAATGCTAATGAGAAAATGTAGGTGGTAATATTTGGATGGTCACTGTAAAATTCATTCAACTCTTCTGTCAGAAGATTTTCAAAATAAAATTTTAGAAAAGCATAGACTTTGGCCTGGGTAATGGAAGATGGATTGGGCAGAATAAGTCTGGAGGCAGGGAAATGAGAAAGGCAGCTGTCATAATCCAGGTGAGGGCTGATCTAGACAGTGCTAGGAGGAAGATGGGTGGAGTCCTGTGGTAGGCGCTAACATCAAGGAGGTTGGGGCCTCAAGGACTGTAAGAATGAGGAAGAAGAAAGAGTTGAAGATAACACCTAGGTTGGGTGACTGTGTGGGGGTTGGTAGCAACAATGAGTATAAAACAGGCAGCAGGATCAGGTCTGGGAAGGGGGACAAGATGACTTCATGACCCCAGAGTTTCTATAGGAATATGCTTTGGGAGCTTGCAGACCCCTGGCTCCTCAAGGGGGCCACTCTGGTGGGGGAAGGGGCTCAGTACCGTGGATCTCCATCTCTTGACACTTGCCCCAGTTTTCACTGGATTTCCCCAGGAGTGGAGTGGCTCTTACTCTCCCTCCCTAGGGAGCAGCTCTTCCACCCTCCTAATGACTTCTCCACTCCTGCCATGCTTTTTCCTCTTTTAGCTTTTGAAAACCATCTTTCTCCTTTCTCTGGTTTTCCAAGCCAGATACTCAAATTTGACCCTCCCTGGAGAGTACACCCTCTATGCTCACTATCTCTTTTCCCTTCTGCTCATCTTAGCATCCCCCAAGTGTTGCCCTTGGCTCTTTTCCAATACCATTGTTTCTTTTTTATGTTCTCGCTTTCCTGTGGGTGACAGATTATGGAGTTGTGGGTTGAATTTTGTCTGCCAAGGACATATTGAAGTCCTAGCCCCAGGTACCTACGTATGTGGCTTTATTCAAAAATAGGGTCTTGGCCAGATGAGGTGGCTCACCCCTGTAATCCCAGCACTTTGGGAGACCAAGGTGGGCAGATTGCTTGAGCTCAAGAGTTGGAGACCAGACTGATCAACATAGCAAAACCCTGTCCCTACAAAAAATACAAAAATTAGCCAGGCATGGTGCTGTGTGCCTGTAGTCCCACATGCTGTGTGCCTGTAGTCCCACCTACTCGGGAGGCTGATGTGGGAAGATCACTTGAGCCAGTGAGGTGGAGGTTGCAGTAAGCCGAGATCATGCCACTGCACTGCAGCCTGGGTGATAGAGCCAGACCTTGTCTCAAAAAAGAAAGAAAGAAAGAAAGAAAGAAAGAAAGAAAGAAAGAAAGAAAGAAAGAAAGAAAGAAGAAAGGGAGGGAAAGAAGGAAGGAAGGAAGCAAGGAAAGAAGGAAGGAGGGAGGGAGGGAGGGAAGGAAAGAAGGAAAGAAAGAGAGAGAGAAAAAGAAAATAGGGTCTTTTCATCAAGTTCAGATGAGGTCATATTGGATCAGGGTGGGCCATTATAAGAGGAGGGAAATTTTGACACAGACACATGGGAGACGGCCATGTGAAAATGCTGTCAGAGATTGGAGTGAGGCATCTACAAGCCAAAGAATGCCACGGATTGCCAGCAAACACCAGGAGCTAGAAGAGGCAATGAAGCATTTTTTCCTAGAGCCTTTGGAGAGAGCATGGCTCTGCTGACACCTTGACTTCAGACTTCTTGCTTCCAAAACTGTAAGAGAATGTGTCATTGTTTCAAGCCACACAGTCTATGGTGATGTGTTATGGAAGCCCTAGGAAACTAATATAGCAGATAAGTTGTGTGTGTGTGTGTGCATGTATACGTGTGTGTGTGTCCGTCTGTGTAGGGAAATACCGTGGAAAGTTACTATTTGTTATAGCCATTTTATCATATATTTTATGAGATTTTATCTTTTCAAGTCAACTTTGCATGTGCTTTGTGTTGAAAGACCTGAGTTTGAACATTCATACCATATTTGGAATATGGGAATGTAACCATACCTAATTTAAGCAGTTGTGAGAAGCAAATGGAATAATGTATCTGAATCCATTTAATAAACTGTTCAACATTGTAAACATGCTGTTAGTAGTATCATAACTGTGTGAAGAAGCAGAAAACACTTTGGACTGGGGGATGGAAATCTTGGCCAGGGTTCAGTATTCACTTGACTTCCCGGCCATAACATCGAATGAATGGCCAGGACTCTCTTTGAGTAAATGAGCTTCTGAGAGGCTCCTAAAGAGGCGACCCCCATCCCTCACGGCTGAGAAGAGTGTGATCATCGTTTAAGGTTAAGGTCCAGGTTGGAAGACCTCCCCAAATTTAAACCTTGCTACAAAGTATTCTTTCATTTACTTTGAACCCTTCCTTCATTTACATCCCTTTAGGAACCAGGCCCTGTAGTGCTCAAGGAGGGTGGGAGAGTGAAACGAAAAGGAGTGAGATGCTGCTTCTGTTCTCGAGGACTTCACAGTCAACTTGCGGTAAGTGCTGCAGGGAGATGGCTGTAGTGGCTTTGGGAGTGTGCACACTTTTCCAACAGAAAGTACCAGGAACCCTGCCTGGGGAAGGCTTCCCGGAGGAGGTGAGGTGGAGCTGGTCCACGAAAATTGAGTGGGATTTCCAAGACATCAGTCTTTCGCGGGAAAAGAGAAATTAGGGCATGGTTTTAATTTAGTAAATATTTATTAATCAAGTACCCCATTCTAGGGTCCGTGCTAAGTGTCTGGGGTTGGTAGAGTCAGGAAGTATAAAATCAACTTAAGACATTTGGGAAAGATCTCCCTTTGTAGTAAGGAAGTTGAATCTGTACACAATGAAAGGAAACAAGGTAAAAGGCGCGAAGTCCATGACCATGACGAGGGCTGTGAGAACTGTAAATAGGGATTTGGGCAGTCCCGGCTGATTCTGAATAAAAGTCCGGAGGGGCGTTACTTTCGGGTCTCGGCCTGTGTGTCCCCAGCCCTTTGTTGTCCCCTCCGCAGGAAGGTGAAGGCTGTTTATGTAATCGGCGGCGCCTCGCGGGCGACTGGGGGAAGTGGATGGGGGAGCCTGGCCAGGGCTGACTGAGCGCCCCTGGAATCCGTGCTCCGGGCGTTGGCTCACTCCCGCCCCGACACCTGGGCCCGCCCTCCCGCTGCGCAGCCACGCGCCGGGCAGCAGCGTGGGCTGGCGGGCGACTCCCCACGCCTCCTGCAACACCGCCCTCTCCCTACCGGAGCGAGGAGGCAGGAAAAGCCTAGAGACGCCTGGTCCCATCCGCCTACCCAGTCCCCAGCCGGCCTGAAGGGAGGAAGAGGAAGGAACCCATAATCATCCCAAACTGGCGCAAATGGTGGGTTTTACTGTCCAGAGGTCATTTCGTCTCTGCGTTTCCAACCTCCTCGCCCTTTTACTTTTTTTGGGCTCACTCAGGAAACTGGAGCAGTCCTTCTCTGGGTTTAACTTCAGTCCCTCACATGGCAACACTAGGAATGATCAAGACTTTTGTTGCGGGTAGTGGTGATGTGGGTTTGAGAGGAGGATGCATCTGGTCGTGGGATTAATTTTGGTTTCTGAGTATTACGAAGAACTAGAAAAGTTTTGCGTATGTCGGTTTTCAGGATGGGGTTCAGATGGGTCAAAGCCCTGTGCAGGTCCACGGGGGCTGCAGGAGGTAAAATGGAGGAGGAGACAGGCGGACAAGCTGGGGTCAGTGGTCCACTCCCCTGTGTCTGTCTTAACCGAGATGCAGCTGGATGCTTGCACGTGGCAGCTTTTTCAACCACCTGTTGATAGACGTTCGTTTCCAGTCTTATCCTGTTACCAACTGTGCTGCAATGAACAGCCTTGTGTATAGCCTTTTAGTGTATTTGAGCCTTTCTTTTCGACCCAGGCATATTGTAAGGAGAGAGGAACTGAGATAGAAGGAATATTTAAAGCAGGGTCAGAGAAATCAGGACTGGATCAGGAGGAAGCCCGAAGGGTGTAACCTTCCCATAGGGCTGCTGGAAGCCTAGCTTCAACCCTTCCAGCTGCAGCACATCCCAAACTGGGGCGAGAAGCGAGTGAGGAGGAGATGCAGAGGAAGGCAAAGAACAACTCTAGCGACCCAGGGTGATCCGGGTGCCGGAAAACAGAAGCTGGAAAAAGGAGATCTGCCCCGGAAAGGAGGCATGGAAAGTGTAGATGTGGGTCCTCGAGGTGGCGTCGTAGAAGACTACCTCTCCGCCCTAGTAATCCAAGCGGACGCCCACTTTGTTCGGACAGATCGGGAGATCCTCCCGGGAACCGCTCTCGATGAGCGCCTGGCACTGGGAGCCGCTGCTGTGCAGCTCCACGAAGCCGGTCAAGGGCTCCACCTCCAGGAAGCCCCGCCTGGGAACCAGCTCCAAGGCCAAGCCCCGGCACGCAGGCCCCGCCCCCGGGCCGTTGGAGCTCCGCCTCCCAGGCGCCGCGGCCGGAGCAAAGGCCCAGCGAGCCCAGCACTCAGCGGAACCTGTAGAAGCGTCGGGGGTTGCCCCGCTTCTGCGAACCGCCCTGGGATGCGAGGTTCAGCGTCACTATCTCATCCTGGGAAAGGATGAGATCCGGGTGGGCCGAGGCTGCGTCCAGTGTCACAGGGGCTGTGTGAAGATGAGGAGAAAGAGGTGGCCAACCCCGGGTCAAGTTGTCCAAACCCCCTACCTTCCTCTGATACCCCCGTCCCACCACCCGCCCCGCTCGATGCCGCCAGAGAGGCTTTCTCTTCCCAGTCACAGCCTTTGTGGTCCCCAGAGAAGTCTTAGGCCCGGCACCGCCTCCTCCTCCTCAAAGTTAATCCCTAAATTTCACAATGTGTTGTTCTGTGGGCGCAGAGAGAAGTTCTTCATTGGTGGTGGTGGTGAGATCATTTCAACACCCGAAGATGAGACCATCTCTTCCTTGTCCATTTCCCGTGGCCCCTAATTCCCATGTCTAAGACAAGAATTGAGTCTAGTATAAGAGGGTCAAGGCTCAGACTTTCTGAGGGCCAGTAATTTTCTAAAGTGGAGTTCCTCAAACACAGGGATGAGTGAAAGTGTTGGAATACAAAAGGAGGAATAGTCATCCCCCGCCACACACACATACACTTTTACTAGGATTCCACGTTCAGTCGCAGTTTATTAAAGTTAGAAGTGTCTCCATCCACCCCCTACAGAGGCTTGCGTGGTGGTTCCAGTCTGCTAAATATTTCAGAATGGGGACCTCATTCTATCTACTGATTTATCAAATCTCATTAATTAATTTCCCTTGCTGATATGAGGGGTTGGGAGAGAAGGGGGACGTGGGAATGTAAGGAAGAGCGAGAGTGGTCGGGCTCATGGGGTTTGATGGACTGTGACCCAGGCTGGCGTTGCTCCTCTCCGGATTTCACTCCTGGCTGAACTGGTGCCTTCGGTAAACAGCTGCTTAAAGAGTGCGGGGACTGCTGCAGGGACTTCCTTTTTCCACTAGGCGGCACCACAGCCAAAGTGATAAGAAGTCAAGCGTGGGGCGGGTGGCTGGAGATTGTCTCTTCCCCTCCTTTTGCTCAAGAATTCGTCCATTCCTTCTCCAACTCTCTTCACCACCACCCCCGCCCCCATCTCCACTCTCAGTAGCCCGAGCCCTCCCATTCTCCACTCCTTCGACCCAATTCCACTAAGTCAAGAACCGTGGTCGGTCTCAGCCACTCACTCAGCGCCACTCTATGCTCCGAAGTCCGTGTAGCACCACCGCTCCCCGTGTTCTCTGAGCTGGCTTAGCTTGAAGGAACCTCACAAAACCAAGCCCGGATCGCTGTCAGCCACTCACTCAGTGCCGCATGGAGCTCCTCGGACAGCGCAACGTCAAATGTCTTCGTATCCTGAGAGCTCGCTCCTTGACCAGAAATCTCATCATAAGAGGCCAGGAGACATACTGGAAAAGTGACTTTCCCAGCAGACGAGGCCCGAAACAGGGAGTGGGATGGGGCTGAAGAGTGGTGATTTGGTGGCCCCGATGTAGTTCTGCCGCCTTTGCGGGAGAAGGAAAGGAGAAAAGAGGTCAGCGGGAGCACCTCGGCAGCAATCCTCCATTGCCAGACAGCACAGCTGAGCTCTACATACAGCAGGAGGGATGGAGGTGAAACTCAAGAAAGTACACCTGAACAAGTCGGAGCGCCCTCTGTTTCCTGGCAGAGGTGTAATTTGGGGAGGAACTGAGGAAATGGAATAAATGAATTCATTCATTTATTCATTTATTCCATTTAGTGGAATTGGGTGGATACAGCATTTTGACCACCTGTAGACTTAGAGGTCCCTTAGTATTCAGAGACAGGACTCTTACCTGCAGAAGATGACCCGGGCTCTGAGGTTTTGTTCATTTTATGATTATTTTTCTGTAACAAGCCCCCTAAAAATTGGGGAGAGAAAACCTATTTGGTCTTGATAACCAGAAGCTGCAAATTAAAAACAAAAACAAGCACCCTGCCATCATCAATCAGAACAGTCAATGGTTCTCAGTGGGACCCATTCCCCACCCAGGGGGAAGTGTGGAAACCTTTCAGGTTGTCTCAGTGACAACAAGAGTGTGGTTCTCTACTGGCTTATAGGGCTTTCTGGGGCCTGGGATACTAAGCATTTAACAGGGCAAAAGTCATGGAGCATAACAAAGATGGCCTTTCTAAACACCGGTAGCTCCTTTTGTGGAGAAATGCTGGTGGAATAGGATCCCTAAATCCTGCTCTCTGGCTTTGGAATGCATTCTGTAGTTTCTGGCTTTGGAGAAAGGAGTTCTAATTCTCTCTCTTTCACTTAATGATCATATGACCTGGGTAACTTACCTCCCCTCCCGGAAGCTACATGGACCTCACTGTAAGTTGCAGATAATAACACCTATCTTGGAGGATAGTTGTGGGGTTTTGAAATATTAGATGCGCACATAGTGGTCCTTTAAGAAATGGTACTTCTACTGTTATTGTCTTAGGTGGCAGAACCATATCTAATGACTTTAGCACAGGCTGTTATTACAGTGGGTCTCCATCCCCTGAGCTGTACTGACCTCACACCCAGAGGAGTTTGCCTCGAAACCTGCTGCCCTGTAGGGGCAGCAAATACTACAGAGGTGGAGCTGCCTCCTTCTTGTCCCACTTTTTCCTCCCTGTCTCTAGGAGTGAAGAAATACATTTGTAATTTTCTATTACTTCTGAATACTTCAAAGTTTGGGATTAGTGACTGTTTTGTGAGTTACCTGAGTTTAAAATAATAAAACAACCATATGCCTGTTCTCTCAATTGGCTGAGGAATCGGCATTCACTTATATCTGGCCTTCATGTAATCATAGAGACACAATTCTTCCCCTTTTCTCACTTTCCCCAAATGGCAGAAGCAACCAACCATCATTTCTCACTTACAGCTCTTCATGTCATTTTTATTCATGCTTTTGAAGAATCTGTTTTCATCTTTTTTCCTATCAGCCTGGAGTTGGTCTGGGGAATAAAGAATGGGATGAAATGGTGAGAGTCCAGAGGGGTTGAGCAAAGAACTCACTATCACACAGCAAGGCACTAATTTGAAATGCCTGGGAGAAGTAGAAGCTGCATTTGACTCTCATATTCTTATTGGACCAGGAAGGTATGCAACCCTTGAGAGATGCCCTTTCTGATTTCCTGTGGTGACTGCCTAGCCCAGCACTGTCCAGTATGAATGATGAATGTAATCTGAGTCACGAATGTGAGCCACTTATATATTTTTAAATTTTCTAGTAGTCACATTTAAAAAGTAGAAAGAAACTAGTAAAATTAACTTTAATTATATATTTTATTTAACTCAATATTCTCAAAATGTTATTTCAACATGTATTATAAAAATTATTGCTATCTTTTACAGTCTCTTTTTACACTCAATCTTGTGAAATTAATGATTCTTCACATATAGCATGTTTAAATTTGGACTAGCTACATTTCAAGTGCCTGTCAGCACATGTGGCTAGCAGCTACTAAATTGGACAGTGCAGAGCTAGCCCCTTTCTCACTGCCTGACAAAGGTAGGTGCTCAGGACAAAGAGTGCCTTGAGGCTTCACCCTTTAGCTTCAGAAGGCCTACTGTAGGGCTAACCACCCAGGAGCCAGGTGGGGTAAGGGGGGGCCCCACTCTCCTAAAGCCTGGATGGCAGTCCTGCCCTCTTTCCCATGAAAGAGGGCTTGAGAGGGGGAACGAAGACAGAGCTCCTGCAAGGGGAGGCCGAGTGCCTTCATCTCCCAGTTCACCCCTGCCAGAAGAGACTCCTTTTGCAGGTAGAGGATGAGCCCAGAAGCTGGGGACAATGGCCCATTCCTGGCCTAGATTTCCTGTAGGGGTGCTGGACTGAGTGGAGAACTATAGGGTGGAGCCCCTAGATGGGGAGCTACTTCTGGCCCCAGCACCCTTCCCCCAGTGTCTTGCAGCCCCAAGACAGCACAAGACAGCCTGGGGCTAGGTAGTGGGACAAGCGTGGGTAGCTTCCCTGAGAGCCACCAGCCCAGTCATGGGGACTGCTCAGGGGAGACGCGGGGGCCCTCTTAGGAGGGGTCTGCAAACCTAGAGCATAGGAAACACTGCCTGGGAGCACTTCACCTACAAGGGCCTTTAGCGGCTTCAGGGCCCAGCCACACCCTTCTCCACGTACGTGTTCCAGACCCAGTCACCCCGAGCAGGGAGAACCAACCCTCATAATAAGAACTGTGGAGATTGGACCTGTGGTATAAGTAGACTCCCTACCACCTCCTGTATTTCCTAGGCTTTAATAGGGCCAGGTGGCCATTGTGCCTTCTTCTTTGGGGTAAAAATAAAATAAAAATAAGAGAAAAAAAAAAGAAGGAAATAGGGCCAGGTGGGAGTTGGGGGACTGTGTGTGTGTGAGTTTGTGTATGTGAAAGAGGGAAAGAAAAGGGGGATACAGAGTAGAGCACACCAGTCTCCCCAACTCCAAACCTGATGAAGTGGAAAGGGCTGGGCTCCTTTATTGAAATTCCAAACTAGAACCAAACTATTCTTGACCTGAAGAGCCTAGAAAGGTGCTGGATCGGGCTGGACGTGGTGGCTCACGCCTGTAATCCCAGCACTTTGGGAGGCTGAGGCGGGTGGATCACAAGTCAGCAGTTCGAGACCAGCTTGACCAACCTGGTGAAACCCCGTCTCTACTAAAAATACAAAAAACTAGCTGGGCATGGTGGTGTGCGCCTGTAACACCAGCGACTTGGGAAGCTGAGGCAGGAGAATCGCTTGAAACCAGAAGGCGGAGGTTGCAGTGAGCCGAGATTGCGCCACTGCACTCTATCCTGGGCAATAAGAGCAAAACTCCATCAAAAATAAATAAATAAATAAACAAATAAATAAAGTTGCTAGATCGGCTGAGATCATGCCCAGTGGGGTGGGAGGAGCTAGACAAAGCAGAGCAGTTAGTGGACAAAAGAAAAGCTCAGACAACAAAATTAAGAATAAAACAAAACATGCTTTCCTGTTTATGTCTGCCGAGTGGAGATTCCCGGCTGAATGGGTGGAGATCTTGGGGCATTGCCCTGGTCCTCCTTTTCCGTAGTCCCAAGGGGAAGTGTTTGTGTATGGGGGGCTGGGGGTTGGGGTGGGGGAGGTGGGTGTGGAACTCCAGGTGATAATTTCAGAAGATTCCATCTAGCTGTCTTTATGCCCACCTTAGACCAACACAGTCTTCACATTAAGGGGAGTCCTTACAAATACTAACCCTTCTTCCTAGTTGCAAACACAGAAAGGTTTATGAAAAATATCTGGCGAACATCTAAAACCCAAGTCATCCACTACTGTTCTGCTGATTTCTGTTTCCCTGTAAGGCTGGAAGAGGTTTCTCCCCAGAATGTCACTGATTTTGAATTTATTTTCTCTTCTTCTGTAGGCAGGAGGAGACACCAGTGTGCACCAGAGAAGGAGAAGTCAGAGATGACAGTCCCTGCCTGAGGCCATCTCTGGTCCACCAGACAACTCATCACCAACTTCCCAACAGCCACTGCTCTAGGCCAGGTGTCCACATGGGGAATAGGTCCAGGCCCTCTATGGCTCTCGCAGGAGTCAGGGAGGCAGATAAATAACATATCACAAAGACAGAATATAAGAAATGCCTGGGAGGAGGCATACTGATGCGTGGAAAGTACTCAGCCAGAAGCCTGGCACTAGAAGGGCCCAGGGATTGTTGGCATGTATGAGTCACAGTTCCATTTCAGTGGAGTGAGCAGGGAGAGAATCTCCTGGAAGTAGGTGAATAGAGAAAATACAGCCTCTTCCTTACCTTTGAATTTTTTTAGGCTCCCTGTGATGGAGTCATGTCTTGATTTTGCTTCACTGAGTTTTTTCTCCAGTTCCAGAGGAACAGGGGTTGGGTTGAGAAACTGAAACTCTTCACTTCTAGGAAGATGTGGTTGAGCTGGTTGGTGAGATCAGGGGATGAGGTGTGGGAGAAGGAGGATCTGAGATACGCGGTTGAGAAATGAGGGGATGAAGACCTGGGGGTAGAACTGAGAGCAGTGGCTCACACCTGTAATCCCAGCACTTTGGGAGGCTGAGGCGGGTGGATCACCTGAGGTCAGGAGTTCAAGACTAGCCTGGCCAACATGGTAAAACCTGGTCTCTACTAAAAATATGAAAATTAGCCAGGCTTGGTGGCAAGCGCCTGTAGTCTCAGCTACTTGGGAGGCTGAGGCAGGAGAATCACTTGAACCTGGGAGACAAAGGTTGCAGTGAGCTGAGATTGCACCACTGCACTCCAGCCTGAGCAACAAGAGCAAAGCTCCATCTCAAAAAAAAAAAAAAAAAAAAAAAAAGAAGACCTGGCGGTTAAGGGATAGTGAGCTGGGAGTCAGAAAGTCAGGGCTAGGGATATGGGGCGGGAGTGAGGTAGGGCATAGGGAGATATGGAAATGAAGATGGGAGATGGAGACAGAGAGGAGGGAAAAAAACAGGGTCAGGGAGACAGAGTAGGGGACCCAGGAGCTATTCAGTTGAGCAAGGGGGCATTCAGGAAATAGTAGAATCTGTGCTGAAGAAGGAGGAAGGCTGAGAAAACAGCTGGTTTCTTTAACAACCAACCACGTGCTAATATGGTTGGCATAGGCATTCCCCGGCTGCAGCCTAAATGTATGAATGCAGAGTTAGAGGTGGGTGGGTATTTCTGAGAGAGGAATGTTGACTGCATTTGGATATACGCTGAGAATTGTGTGTGGATGAATCAGTAGGCAAAATACATTTGGGGTGGCCCATCATACCTGCACAAGACGACTTTGATATCCTAGAAGAGAAAGAGAAACAGCACAGCCTCAGCACTTGGCTGATTCCCAGGAGCCAAGGAGGAGATACAGAGCCTGCTGGGTGTGGGGCAGAGCAGGAGGAGTAAGAACCCCTCCAAGTCTCTCTTACCCCATCCTCCTCCCCTCTCCCCACCACGAAGGGCTTCTCCAAGAAGCACTGCTCTGCCAGTAAGCAGAAAAGTGTTTTGACCTCAAGAAGAACTGAGTGAAGAAGAGAAGAGTGAGATTTAGAAGATGAATTTGGCTCTGAGACTGAACAAGGGAGCCTGCTAGCCAGGGCAGGAGAAAGGCTAGAATGGCTTTGCATGATCTTTCTTAAAATAAATAAATAGGTTTTTGAACCTGTGGGAGAATAGATGACTTGAGGAGGAATCATCTCAGCTTATTTTAAGCACCAGCTAGACTTGCACTGTCCAATATGGTAGCCACCAACCACATGTGGCTACTGAACATTGGAAATTGTGGCTAGTGTGACAAAGAACTGAATTTTTAATTTCATTTTTACTAATTCAAATTTAAATTAAAAATAGAGGCCAGGCACGGTGGTTCACGCCTGTAATCCCAGCACTTTGGGAGGCTGAGGTGGGCAGATCACTTGAGGTCAGGAGTTCGAGACCATCCTGGCCAACATGGTAAAACCCCGTGTCTGCTAAGAATACAAAAATTAGCTGGGCGTGGTGGTGGGGACCTGTAATCCCAGCTACTTGGGACTTGGGCCTAGGAGGCGGAAGTTGTAGTGCGCCAAAATCGCGCCACTGTACTCCAGCCTGGGCAACAGAGCAAGATTCCATCTCAAAAAATAAAATAAAATAAATAGAAGAAGGGTAAAGTACTTTTTCCATTAAACACAACTTTATTGATTTGGTAAGACTATATTTTACTTTAACAATTGACAATTTAGCATCTGAATTGAGATGTGCCAAAGTGAAAAATATACACACAATTTCAAAGACTCAGTGTAAAAAAAAAAAAAAAAAAAACCACCAAAAACCCAGAATGTGAAATATCTCATTAATACTTTTAAAATATTCATTACAGGCTGAAAGGATAATATTTCAGATATATTGAGTTAAAATATTTTATTAAAATTAATTTCACTTTTATCATTTTAATGTGACTAACTAGAAAAATTTGTAATTCCATATGTGGCTGAAACTACATTTCTAAATCACACATGTGGCCAGAATTATATTTATGAATTACATATGTGGCTCACATTTTCATTCTAATACATGCGGCTCACATATTGCTATTGGACAGCACTGGGCTAGAGGTAGGATGGTTGGGGCAATCTCAGGTATTCTGCCAGTGGTCCATGCTCTGACCTGAGACTAGGGATGGGCTGCTACCTCTCTGCAATTCTGCCCCCAAGGGACTCACCTCCAGCAGCTGCCTGGGTGGCATGTTCTGCTTGGTCTTCAGGGAATCAACGAGCTTCTTGAGATCGTTCAACTGTGGCTCAGTGGAGGCAACATAGTGTTTCCCCGCTTCCGTTCCCTCATGACCCAGCCAGTAAATCCGTGATAGCAGGAAATTCTTCTCCTCCTCTAGGACTTGATGCAGGAGTTCAAATTCTGTGAGGATCCTTTGCTTCTCATGTTCTACCTGGTCCTAAGAAACAGGGACAGGCAGAGGGTGAGAGGATGGCCTCGAAGGTCCTTCTAGCCCACTTTATTCAGCCATTAATTTTATTAAGTTTGTGTGGAATTCCCAACCAGAGCAATGTGCCAGGGCAGACCTGGAAGAAAGGAAAGGAGAGGAGAACAAACTTCTAAAAGCACCTACTACGTGCTCAGCTTTAAGCGAAATTATTAATTTATGGTTTACCACTTGCCTTCAAGGAACTGTCTAATACAATTCCAGAAGGCTTTTCAGTTTATAATCTTTCATATAGATTTTATTCCTTTCACGCACACAGGAAAATAGGTAAGTGGGGTCACAATGTCTTCATTTTCCTTCTGTCTTTTTTTTTTTTTTTTTTTGAGACAGTCTCTCACTCTGTCACTCAGGCTGGAGTGCAGTGCACGATCACGGCTCACTGCAGCCTCATCCTCCCAGGCTCAAACAATACTTTCACCTCCCAGCCTCTCTAGTAGCTGGGACTACAGGCGTGTGCTACCACGCCCGGCTAGTTTTCTTTCTTTTTTTTTTTAATTAAGAGGAGAGTCTCGCTATGTTGCCCAGGCTGGTCTCAAACTCCTGGGCTCAAGCGATCCTCAGCCTCCCAGAGTGCTGTGATTACTGGCGTGAGCCACCGCGCCCGGCCAATGTCTTCATTTTCTAATTGGGGAATCCGTTGAGGGCGCAGCTCGGCCTTAAAAACCTGTACTTGCGATTCTAAGACCAGCGCGGGTTTTCCGTGCCCCACCTTGTCTGCCGGTGGAGACTGAGCAGTCAGCCCGCTGTAATAGCGAGGCCGACGCGGGAGGTGATGCCGCCTGGCCGGTCAGGTGCTGAGGCGCCGAGGAGAGGACATGGCTCACTGGATCTTTTTCTGAGGGGTCAGTGTAATAGGGGATTCCAGGAGCTTTGGCAGAGATGTTTCTGCTTCCAGAGATCGTGGGATGGAGTTTTTCTTACCGTGAAGACATCGACCCTGTGTACACCTTGTGCCTTCACTTGTACTGTCTCCTTCTCCTTTTGCTGCAAGACTTGGATCTGCTCTTGAATCTGCCCCTGCGGAAAGAGGGCCGTTTGGACAGGCTGTGCCTGGAGATTTCTGGCCTCATAAAATCCTCCTGGTCTCTTAGGAGAGCTGGTGACACTCTCCAGGTGAGTCCTTGTGTAATTATTAAGGACTCGCCTTTCTCAAGCTGGCGGGGAAAGGGGTTGCTGAGAAGGGAGAAATCTGGAGCCTAAGTGACCTAAATGACCAGAACATAGTTATTTATGACTAACTAGGACTATGGATGGTGCTTTGGAATTATCAAAGAACTACAAACTTCCCTTCATCTGTCCTACCAACAACTTTAAGAGAGTTGTTTTGTTTTTGCCATTTGAAAGGTGAGGTACCTGAGGCTCAGAGAGGTAAAGTGATTCCTTGCAGGTTGTACAGTAAACTCACAAGACTGGGCTTGAGCCCAAACCTTCTGAGTCAAATTTTCACATCCTTTCCATTCTCCATTGCACCTTGATTTAGAGAGTCAGCAGTTCCCCAGACTCAGCTCTTTGAACCCACTGTGCCTGACTGCGAGCTGCCCACTCAAGCCCAAGGGGTGGGGGCAATGGGGTGCAAACCCTCAGTGGGAAGGTAGCAGTTTCCAGGGCCTCACTGAACTCCTGGGCTGATGGGGGAACAGGGAAGAAACCTCAAATGCCTACCTGATAATTCTGGGCAGCTTCTTCGATCAAGCTGACATTATGGGATTTGTGGTCCTTGGATTCACGACACACAAAACAGAGGAACTTCCCATCATCCTCGCAGAAATAGTGGAACATCTCCTGGTGCCTCGGGCATGTAGCCTCTTTCCTTTTGGACTGCACCTCAGAGGCTTGTAGAGCTTGGATTTTCTCCACCAGATTCCGCAACAGCGAGTTGAACCTGATTGCGTTCTTCCTTACGGAAGTTTTGCAGAGGGGACATTTGAAAAATCCACATGATGTTTCCCCAATCTGAGTGATGCATTTGAGGCAGAAATTGTGCCCACAGTCGATGGTGACAGGTTTCTGCAGAATGTCCAGGCAGATGGGGCAGATCACTTCCTCTTGCAGTTTGTTCACAAACTGCCCACTGGCCATGACAGAACAACAGGGCTGTTTCAAGACTGTAGGAAGCTGTGCCAAGTCTGTAGGAGCCCCGGAGTCCACTGTGGATACTGTTTCTAGGAAGGGAGAAGGGAGTCAGAGAAAGTGGAGGTCAGAGATTCTGCCAATTAGTTAGAAGAGCAGAGAGAGAGGAAAAGAAGAGGGAGAAAAAAATAAAGAAATGATAGAAAAGCGTAAAATTTAGGATCTAGAAAATATTATAAAGAGAGGAAAACAGATGGGCAGTCCTACCTTGCTACCTCTTGAGAACAAATGGATACTTTGAATGTGTAATAGGCTGCTTATAAAGTGAAATAAGTTGTCCTGAACTTTGGACTAAAGGTATGTTTGTATGGTGGTTGACTAAGATCAGAATGACCGGGGCACCAAACACCACTTATGGGGGATTTCCCAATCAGCTCTGAGTAGGGAGTGGAGGGGTGGGTGGTGATGCCTACTGAAAGGTCACAGCCAGTTCACTGCAATGCTTTGGGCATCTTGTATGCAAAGTTCAAGCCTTGGTAGAGCATCTGGAAAGTAGGGGAAGGGCAATTCTCTACCTCAGGTGCTTTGGCTCCTCACAGAATTTTGTGAAAATGTGGAGGTTATCATCACCTACCTTGGGGAATTTCCAGTCACAGGGTCAACCAACCACTCCCTAGCTCAGTAGGATAGGCAAGGAACTTCCTTTCTAAAGAGTTGTTCTTTGTTTTTGCACTTTGCTCTTGCCCCTGGTGATCTTCTGTCTCCCCACAACACCTGTAGTAGTCTGTCCTCTGTTGATTTTTTCTCTGTATGTCTCCAGTATGCTGGTGTCTCCGTGCCCATTCTTTGCTTTGCCAATTCTGTCTATATGTTCTTCTTCTTCCTTCTTGGTGCTTCTCTGATCCCTGACTTGCCTTCTATGGCTTTTGTTATGACTAGGAATATATCAACCAGTGTTACATACATTCCCTTCTGTACATTCATGTCCTAACCTTCCCTCCTTGCCTCTTGTCTTAAGGAAAAGGGTGCTTCCTCCCTACCCCTTCTCTTGGTATAGCTTCCACCCTCACCTCCTCACTCTCCATTATCAGCCGTCTGTCCCCAGCAAGAAGTACACCATTAATTTTTGTCTGATCTTAATCTTAGGTCAAACAGGGCTTGTGGATGATTATTATAATAATAGCCAGAGTGATCATACACTCTGCTTTGCCTGGAACCATCCTGGGTTTCACTTTGTCCTGGTGTAATTATTAATAGCACCTCCTTTCACTTTCAGAAATGTCCAGTTTGGACTATAAATTATGTGGCTCCCCTTATAGCAACTGCTGTAAACCAAAGACTTTCAGAAATGTTATACCTCCAGACCTTTCTTTTTGTTTGTTTTAGGGTTAAATTAAAACAGTCTAACATCTGTAAATTGTTTTACTTACACTCCTAAACTGCTGGCCCCTAGAAGCAGAATTTAACTTTTGACAGGTTTTGTTTGACTGGCATGATGATTTAGAAAATAATGATAATGTAGATGCCTTTAGAGAGGGTGGCTATGTTCCCCACCGCTCTGCTACCTCACGTCTCCTTGGCCCTTGAAGGCATTTGACATTATGACTCTGATTTATAGATTTATTTTGCTTATATTACCTCATTTAAGTCTCACCTGTAAGAAATTATCTTTATCCTTTCTCAAAAAAGGAACTCAGTATTCTTCAGAATCACTTGGAAAACTTGTTAAAATTCAGATTTGCTGAACTCCAGTAGAGACTTTCTCTTTCAACAGGTCCTTGGTGGAGCCTGATGATTGACATCTTAAGCAAATTCTCTGGAGAAGTCGATGCTCCTGATGGAGGCTCACACATTGATAACCCCTGGTTTAGAGACACTACTAATTGTTCCAGCTCATCCAGCTAATAAATGACAGATCTCAGACTTAATTCCAGGTTTCCTATTCCACATTAAGTCTTCTTTATTCTTTCTTGTTTCAGCATTAATGAAAACAAATAGTAATCTTTAAAAATGATAAACAAATATTTTAAAAGAACATTGGTATTTCAATGAAGCTGGGCAACCCAGCAGAGAGAATGAAAATACTCATATGAACACCACTGGAGAGTTTCAAAGAACTGTCACCAAACAGGTACTGATGGCTTCATGAGGAAGGAAATTTAGACATAAAAAATGAGAATCTACAGTGTTTCAAAGGTGCTTTACTCTCTCAGAATTATTATTGTTATCCTGGGTCATCCATCCACTGGACTGAATGGAGATATATATATACATATATTTTTTTTCTTTCTTCTTTCTTTTTTTTTTTTTTGAGACAGAGTTTCACTATTATTGCCCAGACTGGAGTGCAATGGCGTGATCTCGGTTCACTACAACCTCTGAATCCCCGGTTCAAGTGATTCTCCTGCCTCAGCCTCCCAAGTAGCTGGGATTACAGGCACCTGCCACCACATCCAGCTAATTTTTTGTATTTTTAATAGAGACGGGGTTTCACCACGTTGGCCAGGCTGGTCTTGAACTCCTGACCTCAGATGACCCACCTGCCTCAGCCTCCCAAAGTGCTGGGATTACAGGCGTGAGCCACTGTGCCCAGCCCTTGAATGGATATCTTAAACTCTTAGTAGGCTCAGTAGTCTGAAACCAAATGCCTCCAATTTGCAAGGGCTAGGGTCTTGAGATAGTTGGTATTGTGTTAGTTCCAAAGGACTTCCAAGCCAATTCTGAGGCATAGAGTTTATAAAAATTAGCCATAGAACAGGAAATGATGCAGAGCCTCATGCACATGAGACAGCTGTCACACACAAGAAAGCAGACACAGAGCCATGCAGCAGCGAGTGCACAGATCTGGAGGGGACCTGCCAAGACTAATGGGATGAGACACCTTATCAGAGGCCAGTGAAGGCTAGAGGCAGCTCAGTTGTCAGACTAGACAGCCCCACAATGTTACATAAGCCTCCCTGCATCACGATTCCAGCTACAGAAGCTTCCCCTGCCTCAGGATTCACATTTCCGGGCCTATGTGAATTGGTAGAATGTCTATGGAGGAAAATAATGTGATATGTTTCAAAACTACAAATGCTCATTCCCTTTATCCCAGAAATTCCACCTCTGGGAATTTAGTCTACAGATATACTCACACATATAAATTTATTTTGGACTTTGTGGTAATGTTTGCATTAGCAAAATATTAGAAAACAATCTAAATGTACATCAGTATGGAAATGTTTAAATAAATTATAGCCCAGCTTTATAACAGAATAGAAATAAAAAAGAATCAGGGAGTTCCTTATTTACATATGGAAAATATGGCCAAGATATGTTGTTATGTGAAGAAAGGAAAAAACAAATAATGCAGAAAAATGCATGTACTATGCTACCATTTGGGTAGAAAAAAAATACTTATTTTCTTGAATATCCAAATAAGTTCTTTCTGGAAGGATAAGAATTTAATAACTAACAATGGTTGTCTCTAAGGAGAGGGACTGACTAGCCAGGGAACAGGGGTGGAAGAGAGGCTTTTCTTTGTATGACATATTACATTTTGTGAATTTTTAATTGTATAAATACATTAAGTTTTTTTCTTTTTTAGTACTTTTTACATTATGTTTTACAACATTAAATAGTAAATCAAAAAATGGACAGAGAATGAAATGGACATTTGCAGAGCAATAAAACCAATTAACCAATAAATACTTGAAAACAGTAATCTTGAAAATGCACGCTCAACTCATTGGCTCATGCCTGTAATTCCAGCACTTTGTGAGGCCAAGGCAGGCAGATTTCTTGAGCATAGGAGTTCAAGAGCAGCCTGGACAACATGGTGAAACCCTGTCTCTACAAAAAATACAAAAGTTAGCTGGGCATGGTGGCACACACCTATAGTCCCAGCTTCTTGGAAGGCTGATGCAGGAGGATTGCATGAACCTGCGAGATCGAGGCTGCAGTGAGCCGTGATCATGCCACTGCACTTTAGCCGCCCTACTGCACTCCAGCTTGGGTAACAGAGCAAGACGTTTCCTTAAAAAAAAAAAAAAAAGAAAGAAAGAAAGAAAAAGAAAAAAGAAAATGCCAATTAAAATAAAAGAAGATATCAGTTTATATCTTAAGTTTAAGTCTGGAATATCAAATATAGCCAAGGACATGGAGAAATAGGTACTCCTATACCCTACTGGTGAGAGTATAAATTACAATAATTTAAAAATATTTAGTAGAATTTAAACGGTGTACTTTCATTTCAAGGTTCTGTAATGATAATGATGATGATGAAAATACTGCTACCAGTAAATAAAAGCTAACATTTCTTGAATGCTTACCATGTGCCAGGCACAGTCCCAAGCATTTTGCGTATTAACTCATTTATATAGAGAAGTATTATTATTCCCATTTTGAGGACAAGTCAACGGAGATCAAGAGAGATTAAGCAATTTGCCCCAAAGGTCATTCAGTAAGTAAATAGTGGAATGGGGACTTGAACCCAGGTAGCCTCTAGAGCCTTCTTACACCCTGTATGATTCTGCCTCTCTAGAGAAAACCTTGCACATGTGCACTCAGAGATGCATGTAACAGTATTAATATTGGCTGGGTGCGGTGGCTCCCGCCTGTAATCCCAGCACTTTGGGAGGCTGAGGCGGGCGGATCACGAGGTCAGGAGATCAAGACCATCCTGGCTAACCCGGTGAAACCCTGTCTCCACTAAAAATACAAAAAATTAGCCAGGCATGGTGGCCGGCGCCTGTAGTCCCAGCTACTCGGGAGGCTGAGGCAGGAGAATGGCGGGAACCTGGGAGGCGGAGCTTCCAGTGAGCCGAGATCGCGCCACTGCCCTCCAGCCTGGGCGACAGGGTGAGGCTCCGTCTCAAAAAAATAAATAAATAAATAAATAAATCCTATGTCAGGGTTTTTCAATGATAGCACTGTTGACATTTTAGGCTGGATAATTCTTTGGTGTGTGGTGGCCCTGTGCACTGTAGGATGTTTACCAGCATCCCTGGCCTCTACCACTAGATTCCAGTAGCACTCCTATCCCCCAGTTGTGACAAACAAAAATGTCTCCAAGCATGACCAAATGTCCCTGGGGGACAAAACCTCTGATGGAAAACCAGTGATCTGTATGTAGTCATATGGCTAGGTCTCAAAACAGTAATGAGTATGTGGTGATTTATATACACTTAGAAACACACAACACTTCATATAGTTTGCAGTTTCCATATATGTGATAGAAGTTTAAACACAAGGCCTGAAAGGATACATACTAAATTTATGGCAGTGTTTGCTTCCGGGAGGAGAGAGAGAAAGAGCGAGAGAGGAATGGAACTAAGAAGAGAACTAAATGGACAGAGGGATTCTCAAATTTTTTTGAGATTAAAATTTAAAAAATTAAATCTGTAATATTTAATTTTTAAAAATCTGAGGCAAACATAGCAAAATGTTTGTATTTGTTAATTCTAGGTTGTGGTTATAAGGTGCTTGTTATATGATTTTCTATTATTTTCTATATTAAGTTTTTCCAAAGTAAAATATTTTAGTTAAAATAGGAAAAATGTTGAAAATGAACAATGGATAGAAATAAAAATAGAAATTCAGAGGAATTCTAAAATAAATTCTAAAATTAAGAAAAAGTTCAACTCCTTTCCTACTACTCAGGAAAATACAAATAATGCGATACAAATACAAAAATGAGATAAACTTTGTACTCATCAGATTGGCAAAATTTTTCAAAAATGTCCAGAGCTGATGAGGATGTGGAAAAATGGGACTCTTCATATGTGGCTGGTTTCAGTGTGAATGGGCACTATCTTTTTCAAAAGCCTCAAGGCAAATGACTTAAAATGCATTTGAACGGTGACTAGAAAGAATATTATAAGAAAAGTAAAATGCACACAGGATTTCAAAAGGGTTTTTAGGCTTCAAGATAAGTCAGGGACGGTGGGGTCGAAATGAAGTCAAGGGACAGCTTACACAGAGATACCCTATAACCAGTCTCCCAACAAGAGAGCTAGATTTTATTTAGTTAAAAATAGAAATTAGAAACAGGAGGTAGTAAAAACAGGGTTTTCTTCCTTTCTTTCTTTTTTTCTTTCTTTCTTTCTTTCTCTCTTTCTTTCCTCCTTCCTTCCTTCCTTCCTTCCTTCCTTTCTTTCTTCCTTCCTTTCTTTCTTTCTTTCTTTCTTTTTCTTTTTCTTTTTCTTTTCTTTTCTTTTCGAGACAGAGTTTTGCTTTGGTTGCCCAGGCTGGGGTGCAATGGTGCAATCTCAGCTCACTGCAACCTCCGCCTCCCAGGTTCAAGCGATTCTCCTGCCTCAGCCTCCCAAGTAGCTGGGATTACAGGGCTGTGCCACCATGCCTGGCTGATTTTTGTATTTTTAGTAGAGACAGGGTTTCACCATGTTGATCAGGCTGGTGTTGAACTCCTGACCTCCAGTGATCAGCCCGCCTTGGCCTCCCAAAGTGCTGGGATTACAGGCATGAGTCACAGCACTTAGCCATAAAAAAGTTCTGTTTAAAATACCAGAATGATTAAAATGTTTGCTTTCTGTTTGCATGTATATCATCCCATTAAAAATGAGTTTAAAGTTTTCTATAGAGATATATACATGCAAACAGAAAGAAAAAAAAATAGGAGGGCCATCAAAATAAATGGAGCAACAAAGTTCAGTTTATATATAGCAGTCAATATAACATTGGGCTGAATTGCTCAACCAAAGGATCAGTCATGAGATTAAAAACCCCAACAAAATGTAAAGCTCCCTTTCTTCCTTAGAGAAACCCATTAAAACATAGAAGCATAAATCCAGAGATAGTTTAAGGGCTGCTGTGCCTGTGCAGATGGGAGAACCTCATGGTGGTCTCACTCCTCTCCCTCTGCCAGGAGAAACTGCAGTCTCCTAACACCGCGACTCCAACTTAGGAGCAAGGGCAGGGGGAAGAAGCTGAAAAGGCCTGGCCTTCACTTGACTCAGTTATCCAGATTATTTAAATTATTGGATTGGCCGGTGGAATGGTTAATTTTATATGTCAACTTGGCTAGGCCGCGCTACCCAGTTATTTGCTATGGTTATGCTGCTTCTACAATAAATGACATCAGAGAAAAGTGGTTGAGAGAAAAGTGGCAAGAAGAAATAAAAATATGCTTGGGTTTGAGGATCTAAATGCCCCCATCAGAACACATCAGACTATGTAATATTCTTGTACCACAGAAGTACGGTGTCCAGAGCCTAACACAGAGCTCTTGGTAACTCACTCTGGGAAGCGCATTTTAATAAAGGTAACCGCAAACTGGACTGCCTTGAGAGGAGGTCACTTGGATGGCAAGCAGTTTTGAAATCTCATTTCAGGAGGCATGAGGAGGATCTGGTTGGCCCTGAGAGACTCAGGAGTACAGAGTGCTGCCTTCCAGATGCGGGGAGGTTTGTGGTGGATGTCTGTCTCTCCCATGGTCTCAACACTTCTATGCAGATTTCCGCGGGCTGAATTGTGTCCCTCTCACCCACTGCTCCAAACTTGTATGATGAAGCCCTAACTCCAAGAACCTCAAAATGTGACTATATTTGGAAATAGGGCCTTTGAAAGTTGATTAAATTGTCGACAAAGAGTCAAACTCTATAAAATATTCAAAGAGATGTATTTTGAGCCAAATATGGGTGGCCATGGCCCATGACACAGCCCTCAGGAGATCCTGAGAACATGTGCCTGAGGTGGTTAGGGCACAGCCTGGTTTCATACATACATTTTTGGGAGACATGATACTTCAATCAAGTACATTTAAGATGTACATGGGTTAGGTTCAGAAAGGCAGGATGACTCAAAGTAGGGAGCTTCCAGGTTATAAGTAGATTTAAACATTTTCTGGTTGACAGTTGGTTGAGTTTATCTGAAGACCTGGGATCAATGGAAAGGAAATGTCTGGGTTGAGATAAAGAACTGTGGAGAGAAAAGAGAAAAGTTCCTTTTTTTTTTTTTTTTTTTTTGAGACAAGGTCTCACTCTGTCACCCAGACTGCAGTGCAATGGCATGATCTCGACTCACTGCAACCTCCGCCTCCCAGGTTCCAGCCATTCTCCTGCCTCAGCCTCCCAAGTAGCTGGCATTAAGGCATGCACCACCTCGCCTGGCTAATTTTTTGTATTTTTAGTAGAGATGGGATTTCTCCATGTTGGTCAGGCTGGTCTCGAACTCCCGACCTCAGGTGATCTGTCTGCCTCGGCCTCCCAAAGTGCTGGGATTACAGGCGTGAGCCACCGCACCCGGCACAAAGTTCTTAATGTGCAGAGGAAGCCTTCAGGTAGCAGGCTTCAGAGAGAATAGATTATAAATGTTTTTTATTAGACTCAAAAAGGGTGCCAGACTCTTGATTATCTCCTGGACCTGAAAAAAAGGGAAAAGGGGATTCTCTATAGAATGTAGATTTTTCCCCCACAAGAGACAACTTTGCAGGGCAATTTCAAGATATGGCAAGGAAATACATTTGGGGTTAAAATATTTTGATTTCTTTCCTTATTTGTTATGTAATGTTATGCCAGAGCCAGTTTGGAAAGTAGGCCACATTAGGGTTAAATAAAACCCCTCTGATGAGACTTTACGGTTTGTAGGGCATGACTCCCCAGGCCCCTTAGGTAGAAATTTGGGCAAGAGAAGGAAAAAGGTCAGAGTTTAGTCCTCAGAGGTAAAATAAGCCCATCAGAGCGGACCTTTGTCTAATCTGACTGGCGTCTTCATAAGAAGACGAGATTTGGACACACAGAAGGGCACCAGGGATGCTCCACATGAGGAAAGACCTTGTGAGGACTCACTGAGTAGACGGCCATCTGTAAGCCAAGGAGAGCGGCCTCACAGGCAACAACCTTGATCTTGGACTTTCAGCCTCCAGAACTTTGAGAAAATAAATTGCTGTTGCTAGAGCCACCCAGCCTGTGGTACTTTGTTACGGAGGTCCTGGCAAAAGAATACACAGATGAACTCCCATATCACCGCAGAGCCCACCTTCCATCCCCACAACCCCAGTTCTGAGTTTCCAGCTCTTCGCAAGGGATCTCCCAACCCTTACACCTCCTACTGGATGGAGCAGTGCTCATCTCCTCTTCTCTCTATTGCAAACTTCAGTGCAGGCACTCCACAATCCTGCAGCTGCAATGTGAGCCAGTTTAGCCCCTCTGGACTGTGTGTGGGCAATATACACCAAAATTATTTTAAAATGCACCTAAGACCGTTTGGCCCAGTAGTTTCATGTCTAAAAGTTTTCCCTAAGTGAAGCCATCCTCACAGGGTTAACAATAATTCTGGACAGAAATATAATTATAATTAAGCCTTAATCAGACTGCACTTTGACTCACTTCCTTGAAACCAAAAGTCATGTAACACTAGACACTGACCAGTCATATCCCCATTGTTGCTCTAGGTAGGATTTCTGACATAAGAATCAGCCAAGGCAGGAGGATTGCTTGAAGCCAGGAGTTCGAGACCAGCCTGGGCAACAAAGCAAGATCCCATCTCTACAAAAAAAATTATTAATTAAAAAAATTTTTTTAAAGAATTGCTTAAGCAGATCCTGAATTTTAGTAGAACAGCTGATGACAACTAGTTTAAGACCTCCACAAAGGAACTGTTTTCTCAACTTGATAATACAGCTTCTTCATCTCCTTGTCCCATGACTTCACCCTGCACTCTTCAGCCAGTCACTTTGGCCAACTCCAAAATCTTTAAAATCTCTAGCTCCAAATTATTTGGGGAGATGGATTTGAAGTTCCCTTCCATGTCCTCATTTGGCGGCCCTACGATTAAACCTCTTTCTCTGCTGCAACCAGGTTTCAGCTTACTGACTTTCTGTGCCTGTTGGGCAACAAATCTGTTATGGTTACATAAGGAAGTAATCAAAAGCATATATAGTCAGAGAAAAGAAACCAGAAGGATAACTTATTTGTTCATTACAATGGATACTTATTACTATGTGACAGGCATAATTCTAGGCACTTTTATTACAGTGAATAAAGTATACAGAAGCCCCACCCACTGAGAGCCAGGCAGTAAATCAGCTAACCAAATGAATCATACATTAGGAGGAAATTTTTTTTTTCACATTAAGGTTCTAAGGAGGAAATAAATATTATGGAGGAAAAAATAAAGCAGAAAGGGAGTATGAAGAGCAGTCGATATGGTTCCAGTTTTCAATAGAGCTGTCAAAATAGGCTTGAGAAGGTGAAAACTGGCATCAACTTGCAGGCAGTTAACAGTAAGGTGCCAATAGTTGTTATTGCTGGTTGGTGAAATTATGGGTAATTATATTCTTTTATACTTTTCTGTGCTTTCCAAATGCAGCACAATTAACATATTTGCTTTTACAATTAAAAAAATCCCACAATAAATGTTACTTAAAAAAAAAAACTGACACCTTCAGTTGTTCCCCATTTTCTACAGAATAAAGTCCAACTCGTCCTCCATTGGCCTCTTCCCTTTCATCTAAACTTATCTTTCATTCCTTAACTGTCTTTTCCAGTTGGCCTGATACCCTGTGACCCAGATTTGCCAAACAGGGTTGTCAGATTTAGCAAATAAAAGTACAGGACACCCAGTTAAATATGAACGTCAGATAAACAATGAATAATGCAATATTTGAGACATACTAAAAAACTACTTGTTGTACATCTGAAATTCAAGTTTAACTGAGCATCGTATGTTTTTCCTGACAATGTGACAAGTGATCTTCCTTCCCCTGTGCTGGAATAATCTCTTTTCCATCTTTCCAAATTTTTCCAGCTAATCAGAGGGTGGGGAGGAGGGATGGATGTGGGTGGGAATGAGAGATAAGCCTGCCTATCAACTCCTGTATTTAATATAGGATATTCCTGGGGGCCAGGTGTGGTGGCTTATGCCTGTAATCCCAGCACTTTGGGAGGCCAAGGCGGGTGGATCACCTGAGGTCAGGGGGTTCAAGACCAGCCTGGCCAACATGGTGAAACCTTGTCTCTACTAAAATACAAAAATTAGCTGGATGTGGTGGCGCATGCCTGTAGTCCCAGTTACTCGGGAAGCTGAGGCAGGAGAATCACTTGAACCTGGGAGGCAGAGGTTGCAGTGAGCCGAGATTGCACCACTGCACTCCAGCCTGGTGACAGAGTGAGACTCCTCACCAAAAAAAAAAAAAAAAGAAAAAAAAAGATATTCCTGGGGAGTAGATGGGTGGTGGAGGGCGGGGGAACAAGGGTGGGGTATTGTTAAAACATCGTAAAAGGGCTCCTTTTTTGATCTTGAATTATGACTTTCCTATAGATAAAAATTGCACCTTTAATCAGAGAACAATGGCCCAGGTGTCAGGTATAGGTGAAAGTCCAAAGTTCTCTTCAGAAAAGAAACTCTATTTTAGTTATACAGAACATTTATTCAAATCTTCCACTATTTAATTTATGTAAAATATCCTAGTCAATGTTTTTAACCCGAGTGTTTTTAAACATTGCTTTTTAAAAAATAAAAAACTTTTAAAATATTGAACCATTTACGGGGGCTTTAAAAACAGACAGCTTTTGTTCCAAATGAGGATGCCTCTCCTTCCGTTTGTCTGACCTACCCTTTGCCCCCATGGTCCCCTACTCCATTTATTAGCTCCACAGAGACCTGACAGAACCTTAAAGTTGATCCCTGAGTCAGACTGGGCCTGTCTCAAGGTCAGCTCACATCTGAAATCAAGCCTCTGCTGAGTCTGTGGAGTAAAAGGCTGATACTCCCTTCTCTCCTGCAAGACAGCTGTGTGCTCTGGCCCAGAGTGGGCACAGAACTGCTGGGCCCAGGCTGTCAGAAACTTCTGGGCTGGCATCCAGCTGCTCCAATGCACAAAGCCAGCTAACGCAGGCCAACCATGCCAGTGAGTCCACATTACAGAAGGACGGGAAGCAGTGGGATGCGGTACCCAGGGGTAGCAGTCTAATCCCTCCCAAAGCCAAATTCTAGAAAAATTTTCCAAATTTAAAAAATGGAAAAGGGAAAAATGGAAAATGGAAAAAATTTTAAATTTAATTTTCCAAATTTAAAAAATGGTAAAAGCTCTTACCCATGGCCATAGTTTTTCATCTTGACATCCTCAGCACTTACCATGGTACCTGGCACAAAACAGCTAATTTTTCAGTTGCCATACTGAACAGCCATTGTATACAGGCTCTCTATATTCCAATGACAACAATCTTTAGGCAACATTGTTAAGTGACAGAACAGTGTTTAGTATGCAAAACTTTGCTTAATAAAGGGGAGAAATACCAATATATATAGTTGTATTTAACTTCTATTTACATAAAGAAACATTGAAAGGATACGCAGAAAACTAATAAAAGTGTGTACCGGTGGGCCAGGGACGGGGGTAGTGGTAGGTGGAATGAATGAAGAAGGGCAAGGTGGTCACAGTCCTACTTAATCTATACCTTTTAATATATTATTTTTTGAGCCAAGTGTATGTATAACCCTTTAAGTTACATAGTTAAAATCATCTATTTTTGGTTATATAATTTTGTAGTAGCAAAAAACTCAACTGAAAAATAGGAAGCTATTCTCTCCATTTCTCTCTGTGGTCACATAGCCGCTCACGTTTAATTCTTTCTAAGCTCACAGATTGACCAACACAGCCACCATACTTGAGTTTCCATGACTTTATAATTCTAGTGCCCATCACTGTCTCAATCTAGATTTCCTTTTCCCCAAAAAAAATCTGCTACGTCACTTGCTATAATTTCTAGCTCTCTGCCAAATGTTTCACACATAGCTTTTATCCTTTTGAAGATAGCATATACATTGTTATATAGTCTATGCCCAATAACCCCAGAGTCTGGAAGCCCCATGGGTCTGATTCTGTTGTCTGTTTTTATTTTTGTTTTTTTTTCTTTTCTTTTCTTTTTGAGACAAGGTCTGGCTCTACGGCCCAGGCTGGAGTACAGTGGCATGATCTCAGCTCTTTGCAACCTCTGCTTCCCAAGCGCAAGCCGTCCATCCACTTCAGCCACCCTAGTAGCTGGGACTACAGGTGTGCACCACCACACCCAACTGACTTTTGCATTTTTTGTAGAAACGGAGTTTCACCATGTTGTGCAGGCTGGTCTTGAACTCTTGAGCTCAAGTAATTCCCCAGCCTCAGCCTCCCAAAGTGCTGGTATGGCAAGCATGAGCCACTGCACCTGGCCTGTTTCTGCTTTTCTTATGGCAATCTCGCCTCTCTGGGGCTTGATTATTTTTGCTTGTTTGCTAGATGCATTTGAGGCCTAGGATGCTATTATCTTCTTCCCAGAATGATTGTTTTTGACACTAGCAGTTTAGAGTCACTTTGAACAAGTTCAATGGTTACTTGAGATTCTCTGGGCTGGGACACCATTTCTACTCCCTTTAAGCCTTTAAAGGCTGCCAAAAATGCAGCTTGGATTCTTAAACTCTCTTCAGCAAATGCTCCCAGAACAGAAGCGACCCCAGTTGCAGGCTCACCTCCATGTTCCTTTCCTTTCCCAAATTTTGGCCCAGCAATTCCTCACTAACCTTTGAATATTTAAGTAAGATACTTAAAAATATTTTACCCAGCATTTTTAGTTGTCTTCAAATGGAGGCTTGGTCTGAATTACTCAGTCCATTAATGGAAGCAGAAGCCCTTCTGATGCAGGCCTTAGTTTTTCAGTAGTTTGCTCTTCTCTGGGCCTTAGCTTTCAGAAAGATTCTCTTGTCTGTAGTAGTAAAGTCTGTATAAAGTCTGCATGGACTTTTCTTGCGTACACACATTGCCACATCACCTCCAGTCAAGGCTGGAAGAGAATCTTGCATTTTACACATCTAATATTTCAGAAGAGCTGGAGTCACAGCAGTCCTCTTCACTGAGCTCAGAAACAAAACCCTGCTTGTGCATATATTCAGGCTGGGACCTCTAAAATGCAGACACCTAAGTGCTCCAGCTTTGAGAATTCTAGCTTCAGTGTGACAACGGCATAAGGAGTTGCCCTACGGTGTAAAGGCCCCTGTGAGGTCTCAGTTTGCAGACCAGGATGTGACAAGGAGATTGGAGCTGCAGTCAGCTCTAGAGGCCGAAAGAGGAGCCAAACAGCAAACAGAGGTGCCAAATGCTGCCTTAGAAATCTGTAAGCCAGCTAAGAGTTCTGCAGTCTCAACTAAACAAAACTTTTTTATTCCATTGGTTTGGGGTGTACTGTTCTTAGGGCTTTTGCCAACTGAATTGGTCTGTGGTGTCTTGAAAGATTGGGGGTCTGCACGGAAAAGGCTCGGAGGCCAGTTCTCTGAGGCTGCCTTTGTTGCAGGAAATAAAATGAATCTTTCCAGAGCCACAGCACTAGCATTTGGAGACCACTCTCAGGGGCTTTGGGGCGTACGACTTTCGGGGCTCTGGTCCTCTGTTTCCCTATCCGTAGAATGGAGACGGCTACTCTGTGAGAAGCCCGAGGTGCGCAGGACCCAAGTGAGGAGCCGGCAACCTGAAGTCCTCAGGATGGGGAGGGATCCGAAGGAGGCGGTGTGAAGACTCAAGAGGACCGCCTTGGGGTGGGAAGAGGACAGCCCGGCACTGGCTGCTGGCCCAGGTGCTGTGATGGGTTTCGTGCGCAGAGAGGCCTGACAGCCTCTGCATCAGTGACCGGGCGAAGAGTGGGGCAGCTCGGACGGTGGTTGGGGAACGTTAGGGAGATTGGCGCGCGGACCACTGGGTGAGCGCCCAGGAACGCCGGACGCGCGCCTTCACGCCCGGGTGCCTGGCGGCGTTTTAGAAAAGCTGTATTTGAAAAGCAACCGATTGGGGTGAAGGCGGGGGAGCGGAATCCTGATTACACTGTCCCAATTTCAGTTGAGGTGGGCTTTTAAAAGAAATCCCAATTCACACATTCGATCAGGTTAGTTACAAGAAAGGCTGGGAGGAGGTGGGGCTGGAAACACCAGAGGGCCCAGATGTCCGTTGGCGACGGTCTTCTGCAAACGACAGAGCGCAAGCCTTGCCCCTGGAATTCTAGAGCCGCCGCAAAGATAGGAACTCAAAACGACCCGAGCCCCGGAGCCGCAGCCCCTCGGGACGGTCACGAGCAGAGCTCCCAAGGGGACCGCTGGGGACTGGGCGGGGGCTCTGCTTCTCACCTGTTCCTTCTCTATCCACTGAGCCCTGACACGTAGGACCAGCGCTACTAACAGACTTGTTTTCCGGTTCAGCTCCCCTTAGGGCTCCTGTTGGAAACCGACCCTATCTGGGGAGCCTGTCTGGGCCACTCCCATTGCCGGAGAACTCTCCTGGGGCGGGGAGATGGCCCAGGTTTGTGGGGCTTGAAAGCTTACACAGTGTTGTGTCTTTTCAAGAAAAAGGATACAGCCGGGCACGGTGGCTCACGCCTGTAATCCCGGTACTTTGGGTGGCCGAGGTGGGTGGATCACGAGGTCAGGAGATCGAGACCATCCTGGCCAACATGGTGAAACCTCGTCTCCACTAAAAATACAAAAAATTAGCTGGGCATAGTGGCATGTGCCTGTAATCCCAGCTACTCGGGCGGCTGAGCCAGGAGAATCTCTTGAACCAGGGAGGCGGAGGTTGCAGTGAGGCAGTGAGCCAAGATCGTTGCCACTACACTCAGGTCTGGCGACAGAGCAACACTCCGTCTCAAAATAAAAAAATTAAAAAAAAAAGGAAAGAAAGAAAAGAAAAAGGATACAGAATTTGACAAAATTAAGAATAAAAGCAAATATGACTTACAATGAGGAAAAACAATGACAGCAAATGATAAATGTTTAAAAACTGACATATCACAAACATCAAAAAATCCCCCCAAAATTCTAATAACTGCTTGAACCACCCCTATATTTTCCCATTTATATTTTTTGATTCCCTCTTCATTCGACAACACTTTTGTAATGTATTTTCCTGGGTGAGAATGAATAATTTGGTATTTCGTCTAGCATAGTTAAGCAAAAAAAGTTTTTATTGAAAGTTTAGAAAAGTTAATATCCATTTCACAATCGTTATTGGTAATAATATGCAAATTTTTAGTGCTATTAATTTTGGAGAAGCCTCTGTGAAGAGTTTCCTATGTAAGCCTGAGATTTCAGGGCATTTCAAGTTTTCTTGGGCAGTGACTAATCTTAAATACTCTTTTAAGTTGCTGAAAGTCATTGGCCTGTTTTTCGTTAAGTCCTTGTTGTAAAGGTGTAGTATGAAACTGTTTGTAGATGTCAATATTTTATGCCAAAACAACAAGTTTTTTAAGTTTTAATGTGTTTATGTGGTTAATTCTTCATCAAGTGATTGTCAAACAATCTAGGCATCTATTCTATTTAAAATGTATCCCTTCCCTTCAATAAATTGCTGGTTTTGGCTGGAACCAAACTTTTTTTCTTCTTCCAATTCCTTTTCTGATGTCAGAATAACTTCTATTAATTTCATGTGCAAATATGCAAGAGATCATTTTATTTCATGATGTATGTATAATTGTATATGCATATTTAATAAGTATATTCCTAAAGAAGAGAGCTTCCATTTTGACTAGACTTTGATGAGACTGAGTAATACGCTTATAATTTTCTACATCTAGGGGTTAAAAGGATTTATTGGCTTCACTGTCCACAGACTTCTGGTGCCTCATGTCACAGCACACATTCTTATTGTGACAGATCTCTGACCTTTCACTTTAGTCTCTGATGTCAGGTGAGTTATCTCAGTGGGTGGTGGTTCCTGTAAGCCACTTCTACACTGAGACGGGTAGCAATAACTTGACTATACATGAAAGTGCTTATGAACCACATATCCTAGTAATCTCAAACAATGTAATCCCAACTTAATTTCCCCTTAGCTAGAACCCCCACATGCTACCTGATACAAGAGAAACTGTGACAGAGGGAAGTTGACGTGGAAGGAGACAGTAATCCTAACCGTGGTTAAAATATGTTACTTTTGCAAATTTTACAAAACACTTAGCATGACCATATTGAACACATTGCTTGGAATTCCAGGGTCTTGGAAAGAACCAGTGCAAGGGATGAACTTAATGGCAGAGCTTCCTCTGCACACTTCACGACTGCAACAGGCTTGTCCCTGAAGTCTCTCCGCTGGGGTCCCACTTCAGGCTGACGTACTGTCTGTGTCACCGAACATCACTCTCTGCATTTGCTTACCCTTTTTGATTCTTCCCTGTGCCTCAGTTTGGAGTTGGAAGCTCATAAATTCCCCTATTATAGGGAAGTGGCTGATTGTGTAACCCTATCCTTTTGTTGAAATAGGTGTGTCCAGTTAAGTATTTACTGTAAACCAGCCCCTCATACGCATTCCACTGGGGGTGGATTCATTGCTTTCTACAACCTCGCCATATGTAATGTCCACACTGGTCCATCTGGCTGTGCTTCTCAAGATCAGCTGTTTTGTAGGACTTGAAATAAGGATTCCTTAACAACCTGGTGAATGCCTAATAGCCTCAATACATTTCAGGCTGTTTTAGTTTTGTTTATTTGGTTTTCGTGTTTTGTGGTGAGAACACTTAAAATCTACTCTCTCAGCAATTTTCAAGAACACAGTGTACCATTACTAACAAATCACCAGAAGGTACAACAGATCTCTTGAAGTATTCCTCCTTGAAGTAACTGAAACTTTGTATCCTTTGACCAACCCATCCCCATGCCCACCACGCCCAGACTTTGGTAACCACCATTGTATTAATACTGTCTGCTTCTACCAGTTAACCTTTTTACACTCTAAGTGAGGTCATGCTGTATTGGAGGTTGTTTCCTCCACGCGACTGGGTGGAATTCAGAGGTTCCTACCAATAACTCATTTCTTTCACCAGCAGCTCCCAAGGGCTCTGCTGAGTCCCCCATGCCTCCTGAATCTGAGATCTTGAACCCCTGCTCCTCCCCAACCCTGTTTTTCTGAGAACTGCCTCATCAAACATAGAGCATAGCAACTTTCCTGAGATTTCTCTAAATTTCCTCTTATTCAGGTCACTGTGCATGACAGATTGACTGCTTGATTCCTGGAAGTCTAGGGATAAAAAGTATTGAGTGCTGGTCTAAAGGACAGGTTTCAGCAGAGGACACAATCTCAGAGCAGACAACTTAAGTTTCAGTATTAGGCATTTCCGTTCTTAAACATTCCTTCACTATTTCTGCCCAAGACATTTCTCACTGGTAAACTTTCCTTGTTGGTTACCTGCCTTCTGCAGCCCTGCAGGCTCTGTCTCTCTCCTGGGCCACCCCTCTTCCTCTTACACAGTTTTATGCTCCCCTTCCCTTCTCTTTCCTTCCATCTTCAGTCTACATATTTCACGGCTAGCTTTCCACAGCCAGATGTTTCTTGCCCTGAGGAATTATGCTATCAGTTTTTAAGCCACCGTTTAAAAGACGGTTGCCAGTGCCCTAGAGTCTTGGCAACAATGCTCCACCTTCCGGAGGTGAAGCGAAATGGTGTCCTGTCTTGAAAGACAGCGCCACCTACTGTCCATCAAGAGACAGCTGCCGAAAACAGCTGAATGACCCTGTTCATTGCCTGTTCTGGGGAGGGTGGCAGATAATCCAGGCAAGAATAATTCGAAGGTACATTGAACTTGAGGTGGTGATGGAACACTTAAGAATGCACAGAAGTTTAAACTCAATAGGGATAGTAATACCAAGCTGGCATCGGGCCTCAGGGAGGTTACAGGATCTGCATAGTGCTAACAACTGTGCATCGGTAGAATGGGAATCTGAATCCGGACACTCCGCCTGTGAAGTCCACGTAGCTCCACCTCGCTGCACTAAGATAGAGTAGATCTCCTTTTATGGATGATCAAATAAGTGAGAGGGAACCCAGGAGCCAGTGGAGAGGAGAATTTTAAGGAGGGGACTGCTGATGATCTAAAGTTTGAGTCATCAGTTTGGATGTGAACTGAGAAAATACCGCTGGGATTTGAGTTTAGGACTTAGTTGGAGACCCTTAGAGAGTGGTTTAGGGTGCCCAGCCCTGGGATAGGCATAGGAGAGTATGGAAAGACAGAAAGACATAGTCCTATCCCTCATGAAGCTAAATGTGAGCCAAAGCCAGGGAAGTTGGCAAAAATCAAATGGTAATAAATGAGACGGTGATTTAGGAAAGAGAGATCCATGTAGAACCTGCAGGCCCCTCTGACACCTTTGTGAAAATTAGGATGGATCAGTTCACTTTCTTGGGGCCATTGCTGCCCTGAGCCAGAGCCCACAGCTTGGCAAGCAACCTCTGGGCTAGGTCTCAGCCCCCATTCATCAGAATGAAGACTGACTTGTTAGGAAAGTTTCATTCAGGAAACTGGGACTTGAGCTGGGCTTCCACTGATGTGAAGGGTTTGGAGCAGCTGTGTGAAAGAGGTAGGAGTTAGGTCTTCCCTGCTGGGAAATGTCAAAACAGAGGCAATTAAGAGTCATAAAGGAGAGAGAGAAGACAAAAATCACCTGACTCTTGGCTCCAGTATTTTTAAAGCATGAGAAATTAGATAAGATCACTCCTTTAAAACAGTTACTGAGCACCTAATATATTCAAGGAGCTATGCCGAATAGGCTGACTCAGGGAAATAAGGACCCTGACAGTTGCGCATTAGTTTGTAGTTTATGAAGCACATCCATTTCCAGCTATGACATTTTGTCCACTTTCTTGTAAAGGAGGCTGAAGTTGTGGCTGCCCCTGAACATGAAGCTACAAATCTCCACAATTAGGACCATAATCCAGATTCTTTGACTAGTCCAGAATTCCTTTCATTCTGACCATCCTCTTCTTAAACATTTTAAAATTTAGGTAATTGTTTAGATAGATGGCACATTTGCTGGCTCAAAATTTTAAAAACACAGGAAAAAGTCTCCCTCTTGCCCCTGGTTTCCACACATCTAGTTTCTCTCTCCAGAAGCAAATTTTACTAGTTCATTGATATATTCTTCCAGAGATGTTCTTTGCATAAAAAGCAAATAAGAATATTTATTCTTCCCCGATTTGTGCAAATAATAGCATATTATACACACTGTTCTGTACCTTGCTTTTAAATTTAATTTATTTTTATTTTTTAAAATCAGTAATCTATGTGTCCAAAGCATAAACCAGGCATGGGCATAGACCAGAAGCCAAGCTGGGATAAACAGGGGGTTGCTTTGTTCCTGTCTGATGTGAGATGGGCACCATTAAGCTTTTTTTTTTTTTTTTTTCGAGACAGAGTCTGGCTCTGTCATCCAGGCTGGAGTACAGTGGCGCAATCTCGGCTCACTGCAAGCTCCACCTCCCGGGTTCACGCCATTCTCCTACTTCAGCCTCCCGAGTAGCTGGGACTACAGGCACCCGCCACCATGCCCGGCTAATGAGACAGGGTTTCACCATGTTAGCCAGGATGGTCTCGATCTCCTGACCTCGTGATCCACCTGTCTCGGCCTCCCAAAGTGTTGGGATTACAGGCGTGAGCCACCATGCCTGGCCAAGCTTTTTTTTTTTTAATGTATCAATTTATGTTGGAGATTATTCCAATAGCAAAAGTTCCCTTCCACACCCCACCCCCTACTAATGGCTGCACAATGTTCTATTGTATGAATGTAGCTAGTTTATTTAGCTTAACTTCCGTTGATGAACATTTGTTTTTTTTCTAAAATTTGAAGCAAATGTTTCTAAAACATTGATGCAATAGGTATATGCATATATTATTTCACATATGCATGAATATATATGTAAAATTTCTAACATCAGAATTGCTGGCTCAAAGAGAATGTACATTTGTAATCTTGGAGGAAATTCTCAAATTCCTACTCCTCTAAAGGAGGAGTACTAATTGGCATTCCCATCAGCAGTGTATGGGAGTGCCAATTTCCTCACACACTTACCAACACTGTGTTACCAAATGTTTGGATTTCTGTCAATCTGATAGGAAAAATAGTATGTCAGTGTTATTTTAATTTGTATTTTCTTCATGAGATTGAGATTATCTTTTAATATGCTTTAGAGACATTTGGTATTTCTTTTTCTATGAAATGTCTGCTGAGATACCTCTGCCCAATTTTCTTCTTGGTAGTTGATAAATTCTTATTTGCAAGAGCTGTATATAAAAGGTAATTAGCCCTTTGATTTTGATGGCAGTTGTAAATATTTTTCTTCTTCCAATGGTATTTCGTCATTTGTCTCTTGACATTGCACTTACGGTTTTTTTTCCCCCATGCAGGTCTTTTTTAATGTGGCTGAATTTATCTTTCTTTCCTTTTATGGTTTCTACATTTGAAACATTCTCAAGCTACTGCTAGTTAAATACAGTGGATTTCTGCCTTCAAGTTGCTCAATAAACCAGTAGGAAAATCAAGAAAAGTACCTAAGTAACTAGTAGAAGTTACTATATAGTCAGTACTATAAGTTGGTACAAAGTGCTGTTTCTTCATCTGTCTATCCATACATCTAATTATCAATCTATCTTTCCATCTGTCCATTAATCCATCCATTTATCAAGCTTTTACTGAATCCTTTCTAAGAGCAAGAAAAGGTATATATAGAGAGATGACATTTTATGGTAATGAAGCCCATGGGCTGGGATAAGAGACACCCAGATCTGAATCCCAGCTCTATGTTTACACCACTGTGGCCTTGGGCAGGTTACTTAATCTGTCCACATTTTTGTTTCTTATACTATTTCATGAGATACGACAGGAACGTAGATTGTGGAGGGGTCAAGGATTGAAGGTTAAAAAACAGACATTGTCGGAAATGCCTTAGGAAGAGAACTATAAGTGAGTACAATGCCTACATTTATAATTTCAGGTGGTGAAATCTGAATCCTGACAAGGTCAAGAGAGTGGCCACTAGGGTGGGTGGCAAAAGCAAAGGTCATTGGATGTGAGCAGGACAAGAACTGAAAGGCCTTGGTGTTAAATGATCATGTACATAGTCTTTGAAATCACCAGGATCATGGTAATTTCACAGCCAGATGAAGGGCAAGTTCTGGGAGGATCCTGAGCACAGGAGCTTCTGTCCCCGGTGGAGTGTGGGATGTGCCACCCTCCCAGCATGTGGATGCACTCACCAACCTGGAATCTCTCCAAACCTCTTTGTTCAGGATCTTACAGAGGTTCCATTATTTAGGTATGATTGATCAAATCACTGGCTGTTGGTGATTAACTCAGTCCCTGGGCTCCTCTCCCCTCCCCAGAGGTCAGAGGTGAGACTGAAAGTTCCAACCAGCCAGGCGTGGTGGTTCACGCCTGTAATCCCAGCATTTTGGGAGGCCAAGGCAGGCAGGTAACCTGAGGTCAGGAGTTCGAGACCAGCCTGGCCAACATGGTGAAACCCCGTCTCTACTAAAAATACAAAATATTAGCTGGGCATGGTGGTGTGCACCTGTAATCCCAGCTACTCGGGAGGCTGAGGCAGGAGATTCGCTGGAACCTGGGAGGCAGAGGTTGCAGTGAGCTGAGATAGTGCCGTTGCTCTCCAGCTTGGGCAACAAGAGTGAAACTCTGTCTCAAAAAAAAAAAAAAAAAAAGAAAGAAAGAAAGAAAGATCCCACCCTCTAATCACATGGTTCTTCTGCCAACCAGCCCCCATTCTTCCTCCAAGAGTCACCTCATTAGCATAAACCCTGGTATGGTTGAAAAGGGCTTATTATGAATAATAAAAGATACACTCATCAGAACATAACCATGTGGTAAGTTGAGGTGCATCAGGAATTAAGATGATTCAACTTAAAATTTTTGACTTTATGATGGGTTTACTGGGGTATTGAGTACACTTTCACCTTACAATATTTCTGACTTCAGTGAATTCACTGGGACGTAACCCCATCATAAGTTAAGGATCATCTGTTCAAGGGTTTTAGGAGCTCTGTGCCAAGACTAATTATATATATATCTCACAAGATCACACAACCCACAGCAAACAGTGGCAAAGTGGGATTGAGGGAGGAGGCTCTGAAATGAGGTTTTCAACAAGCGTCTTGGACCCTTAGAAGTTTCAAGTGACAGCCCTTATTAGTGGCACCCCTTAGGGGCTCCCTCAAACTCAATGCCAAGACTAGCCTGACTGGAGGGAACTTAGACAATGGAGTGGGCATTTGATGTTCCAGCATCTTGAGTGGGTGCCATTATTCTGTGACACCTGGATCCTGGGGTTCCATAAGCTGGGGTTCTAGGATGTCCATTCTTAGTTGAGTCTCATTTCCTGTCATATCGACGTCAAAGGCCCAAGACCTTCCTCCTCCCCTTGAGCAAACAAGCCACGCCCTGCACCAAAGTCCATCTCACCTTCCAGCTACCCTAGGTAATTTTCCTGGTAATTCAGTGTTTCTAGGAAAGCATGAGTCTTTCCACCCCCCGCCCTGAGATTTACTGACATATGAACACATATGATTGGCATGATATAAGAACCACTCATCTGCTGGCCATCTCTCCAGGTCTGGAGCCAGAGAAGATGATCTGAAATTGTAGCAGGAGAAATTGAGGTAGGATACTAAGAAAGCTTTTCAGGAGTGGGGCTAGGCAAGAGGTGCAGCATGAGGGAATAAGAGTGAATCCTCAGTATCTAAGGGAGGTGGCAGGTGGCGGGGGACTTCTTTCTTTGGGTCATCTTTGGTGGTGATTTGACAGGAAGGAACAAAGTGGCTTCAAACATTATACAAGTCTCTAGTCTGTTCTGTGTCCTGTTTTCTTTCTCATTCTTTCAGTGTGGAATCTATATGACCCTGGGAGGGATGTTGGTTGGAAGAATGACCAGCTGATGGAGATGCTGCTGTAATTATTGGTGGTAATAATGGGCAGCAGTGAGCCACCCGGTGTGACAGTGTAGGAGAAAACAGTCCAAACTCCTGCCAAACTCTCTCTACTGATGGCAAATCAGAGGAGACTCAAATTGTAAGTTTATAGTGGTCTGGCTTTTGGCCATGACAATGACACCTTGCCCTTTTAATTTGGGGCCCGTGCAAATATTCACTGAAAGCTGTCAAGAGGAAAACAGAATTGGTTATTGAATCACTTGCTTCCTCTAGGTGTATGAAAAATAATTTCAAGTTTAACAAACACAAGGAAACCGCAGGGTCCATGTCAAAGCTGATGAGCTATTTCTGAAACTCGTGCAGAATTGTGGTTTGTGTGGTCTATGTCACGGCACCCTTGAGGGAGAGTGGGCAATTGCCTGAACTTGGAGGCTGTGTCCTGTCCCCAGGCTGCTCCAGGGCTGCCTCCTTCCGACTGGGCCTTCTTATCTGGGACTGTTGAGGGCAACAGGCCTTCCGAAGACCAGTGAAGAAGGAGGCCCTGCAAACAGGAGGCTGACAGGGTAGGAACGAGGCCATGATCCCTTTGCAGAAGGACAACCAGGAGGAGGGTGTCTGCCCCATCTGCCAGGAGAGCCTGAAGGAGGCCGTGAGCACCAACTGCGGACATCTCTTCTGTCGAGTGTGCCTGACACAGCATGTGGAGAAGGCCTCAGCCTCTGGGGTCTTCTGCTGCCCCCTCTGCCGGAAGCCCTGTTCTGAGGAGGTGCTAGGGACAGGCTATATCTGCCCCAACCACCAGAAGAGGGTGTGCAGGTTCTGTGAGGAGAGCAGACTTCTTCTATGTGTGGAATGCCTGGTGTCCCCTGAACACATGTCTCATCATGAACTGACCATTGAAAATGCCCTCAGCCACTACAAGGTAAGCCTGGGTCACCGCAGCCAGGCCCTGCCTCCACCTCGCTGAGGTGCTGCATCCTACATGTTCATCATGCCTGGCACCTCAGAGTAGCTCAACAATGGACATCTCTCTTTGTTTCTTCTGCTTCATCCTGTTTTGGACCCTTGTCTTGCTTTTCTGTGTATATTTTGAGGCTGATGTTTCCATGCATTAATGTGAGTCTGTCTAAAAGAGGATATTGTCAGTGTGATGTTAGAGTCCCAGTCTGCTCATCTGTAGAATAGAGTAATTGGACTAACTAATGCAAAACCCTTTCAGGACTAAAACTGTGTGAACTCCTGGTTGATAGTACTAGAAACTTGGCTAGAAATGTAATCAGGTTTTATATACACTAGTAATTATCCTGCAAATATATTAAAACCTGAAAGTTACTACATAATTTTTTCTCTCTTTTTCTTCCTTCTGCATTTGTCTTATCTTTCCTTTTCCTTTCTTTGCTATGGCAATTATTTTATCTTATTCTGTTAAATTTTCTATCACAAAAGTTACATGCTGTAGGTAATAAATTCAGAAAGCACTGAAAGGTATAAAGTCAAGACTAAAAATTTGTCTTCCTTTCTCCCTCCATTCATAGTCCTCAGAGGTAACCATTGTTTGATTTTTGTACATCCTTCCAAAAAATGTGTGTGCTTATGAATGCACTCTTACACACACACACACACACACACACCCTCAAAGGATTCTCTCTATATTTTTTTCTGTAACTCATTTTTGTTATCTAAAAGTGTGGCTTGAACATTTTCTCATCAGCATGTATAGATCTTCTGAATTATTTTCAAGAACTGTGTGGTATTAAATTCTATGAATGTACCATAAATTGGCAGACATTGGGTCATTTCCAAGCTATTGTTTTGTTTTAAGATTACACAGAACGTTCTAATGAATATCCTTCAACATATATATTGGAGGACCTAGAATATCCAAGATATATTTTGGTGAGAGCATAAGGTAGAAATCTAACTTTAGTTTTTCCAAGTTATAATCAATTTGTCCTATCACCATTTGTTGAATGATTCATATAGTTTCCCCATTGATTTGAATGCCAATGTCATAATATACCATATATGCATATTTTCTTGCATACTGCCTTGATTCTTTGTGCTGTTCTATTCTGTCTATGCTTGCCTATAAGCCAAGGTATTTTAGAGATTTTATCCTTACCATATATTTTAATGTCAGGTATTTTGATAGAATCCTCACAATACTCTTATTTTTCAGAATTCGTGCAGATATTTGTATATCTTTATTTTGCCAATTAGCTTTGGAATTATTTTTATCAACCTTTCCCCTGACCCTAATCCAGTTAGTATTTGACTGGACAATTGACAATATTTTCACATGGCATCCTTCTATCCAATAGTGAAGGCTGAACTTCCAAAGCTGAGGTAGCTTTGAGATACTTGACTTTTGGAGAACATGTTATGATACAGAATGAGAAAGTGGGGAGTCCAGATTAAAAGTGACTACAGAAAGGTAGAGAAATAATTGAAAAAGCCAGAGGCAAAGTTCTATTTGGTTCTAACATCATTCCCTCCAGGTGCAATGTCCACAGGAGAGTGGGGAGGGATTCCTCACCTGCCGATGAAGCAGCATAAGATGGAGAAATTTATTTCCTCACTAAATGATTTTTTCAGGTCTGTCCTTTGTGTTAGATGTCATGCTAGGCATTGTAGAAAGTACAAAGATGATTCATAATTCTTGTTTCAAATCTGTCTTTAAATAATGACAAGAAAGCTAAAACAAATAAATAACGATGACACTTGTTCATTAAGTAAAAACTTAGTAAGTTCCTGCTGTGTGTGAGAAACTGCAGCATGTGCTAGGAATCAATGAAGACAGATGCCATTCCTTCTGCCAGGAGTTTGCAGTGTAGTAAGGGAGACACAAATAAGTAATCAAAGAACTGTAACTTTTTTTTCTTTTTTTTTTTTTTTTTTTTTTGAGATGGAGTCTCATTCTGTCACCCAAGCTGGAGAGCAGTGGCATGATCTCGGCTCACTGCAACCTCCGTCTCCCAGGTTCAAGCAATTCTTTGCCTCAGCCTCCCGAGTAGCTGGGATTACAGGCACCCACCACCAGGCCTAGCTAATTTTTGTATTTTTAGTAGAAACAGGGTTTCACCATCTTGGCCAGGCTGGTCTTGAACTCCTGACCTCATGATCCATCTGCGCTGGCCTCCCAAAAGAACTGTAACTTTTTATTAGTTAGGAAGAAAATAAACAAGGGTCTGGGATGAACAGTAATGGGTGGCCCATGTCCATTTGGTCAGTGAGGGCCTCATAGAGGAAGTGACCTTGAAGCTGAGGGCTGGCAGAAGAGAAATCAACCTGCAAAGACAGGGGGTAGGGAGTGCATACAGATGCCCACACCTGAGAAGTCTTGTTATATTTGAAGAATTTATCATTAGAGTTTGAATCGACAGGACTTACTGAGAGATTAGAAGTGGGTTCTTTGTAAGAAAAAAACAACCCCATCAAAAAGTGGGCAAAGGATATGAACAGACGCTTCTCAAAAGAAGACATTTATGCAACCAACAGACATATGAAAAAATGCTCATCATCACTGGTCTTTAGAGAAATGCAAATCAAAACCACAATGAGATACCATCTCTGCCAGTTAGAATGGCAATCATTAAAAAGTCAGTAAACAACAGATTCTGGAGACGAAGTGGAGAAATAGGAACGCTTTTACACTGTTGGTGGGAGTGTAAATTAGTTCAACCATTGTGGAAGACAGTGTGGTGATTCCTCAAGGATCTAAAACCAGAAATACCATTTGACCCAGCAATCCCATTACTGGGTATATACCCAAAGGATTATAAATCATTCTACTATAAAGACACATGCACACGTATGTTTATTGTGGCATGGTTCACAATAGCAAAGACTTGGAACCAACCCAAATGCCCATCAACGATAGACTGGATAAAGAAAATATGGCACATATACACCATGGAATACTATGCAGCCATAAAAACAGATGAGTTCACGTCCTTTACAGGGACGTGGATGAAGATGGAAACCATCATTCTCAGCAAACTAACACAAGATCAGAAAACCAAACACCACATGTTCTCACTCGTAAGTGAGAGTTGAACAATGAGAACACGTGGACACAGGGAGGGGAATATCACACACCAGGGCCTGTGAGGGGATGGGGGGTAGGGGAGGGATAGCATTAGGAGAAATACCTAACGTGGATGACGGTTTGATGGGTGCAGCAAACCACCATGGCACGTGTATACCTATGTAACAAACCTGCATGTTCTGTCCATGTGCCCCAGAACTTAAAGTATATATATTTTAAAAAGTGGGTTGAAGGAAGGAGGAAGGTCAAAGATGACTTCATGAGTTTCTGGTTTGAGAAACTGAATAGATGATGTGAAAGATAATAACTTGGTAGAACAGGTTTGAATGCAACACCAAGAGTTTCATTTAAGACAAGTTGAGTCCAAGTTGAGACACATCAAAATAGGATCTTACATACGCAGCTGGATCACAAATTTAGATCTCCAGAGTCTTATTCCTAGAACCTAGAACAAAGATCCATCCAGGCAAAGACAATATTTAAATCCAAGAAAAGCGGGCACGGTGGCTCACACCTGTAGTCCCAGCACTTTGGGAGGCCAAAGTGGGAGGATCGCTTGAGCCCAGGAGTTCAAGACCAGCTTAGGCAACACAGTGAGATACTATCTCTAGAACAACAACAGCAACAACAAAGTGAAATTAACAGGATTTAAAAAAAAGAACGTGACAATTTGGGGCTGGGTGCAGTGGCTCACGCCTGTGGTCCCAGCTACTTGGAAGGTTGAGGTGGGAGGATTGCTTGAGCCCAAGAGAGTGAGGCTGGAGTGAGCTGTGATTGTGCCACTGCACTGCAGCCAGGAAGACAGAGCAAGACCCTGTCTCAAACAAAGAAACAAACAACCAAGAAACCAAGGAAACTGATGTAATTGCCTCAAAAGAGGCTAGACAGAAAAAGAAGTTTTGGGGTAAGGTTCTGGGAAAGGCCGTCATTTAGATGTAGGCAGAGGAGGACCCAGCAAAGGAGACAGGATGAGTTGCCAGAAAGGCAGGAGAAAAACAAGGGGAATGGTGCCCCAGCTGCTAAGAGAGAAGGGTATTTTAAGAGATTATAATAGATTGCATTGAACAATGCTAACACTTCAGTAAGATGGTGGCAGAGGCATGAGAGCTGAGTTGGGAGGAGGCACACTTCTTCCATAGTAATAACAGGGAACAAGAGAAGGTGTCTGCAAGCCTACATAGTTTTGCAGTTTTGGAAATCCAGGTTTTGTTCTGGTTTTTATTTTCTCATAATATTTGAGGAAGGAACATCAGCAGTATGGGTGGGATCAGGATGGATGTGAAAGGTTTGAAAAGAAACAAGATGGTGTGATGCAGTGTGGGAGAGCGCTTACAAGAGAAACTATGTAGGGTTGGCAGACAGTATGTAGCACCAATTTGAGGTCTGAAATGTTTAACATGTTTCAGGAGGCTGCCTGAGGACAGACAGCAAACAAGAAGGTGATGGTACATTTTACCATGGATAAGGAGTTGTCTGAAAAGTAACACAGAGAGGGAGGGTAAGGGAGTTGAGTATATTTCTGAAGAAGTGATTATAATGGTGGACCTTATGTGTACTCATGGATATTGACAGCGTAATTTTGAAATTAAGGAGGGTTTTTTTTTACTGATTTTTTCACCATATCTCTATTTATTTGAATTAAACTTTGTAGTTAAGTATTGTAAATTTTGTTCTTTTAAAAGAATCATATAATCCCTGACTGTACTCTAAAAAGACCGAAAAATTTATAAAATCTACAAATTCTTATTTGTATACCTGTTTCCTCACTGACCAGTCAATGTCAGTGTCAATCACTTTAATGTATTTTGCTGGTTTAGTAAGTGTGTGACAGTGATGTACGTTGTTTTACTTTGCTTGATTATGAATGCTAGTAGTGGTGAGGCTTTTATCCATGAAGACTCGCTGTCTGCATTTTCCCCTAGAATCAGGGCATAAATTCTACATGATTGCATCAAAATAGTTTATCTTTTGGATAATGAGCTCCATTAGTTGTGTTTGTTTAACCTACATTTTTTTATTCTGTTATTTCTTCTTAATTATATTTTTGGGCAACTTTTTAGAAATTTGCATTTAAATTGGCTCTATTCTTTTTTATAATATAATCTCCATGTCTTAAATACACAGAAATTTGTTTAATATGAGTGTGCTGCTCTGTTTTATTTTTAAAGGTTTATTAATTCCTGGCTTACTTGGAATTTCATATAGTATGTTGTGTGAAGGATGACTCCACGTTAATTTTCCTTTATTCTGGTATCCAGTTGTTCCCAAAATATTTATATAACAGTGAGTCCTTTCCACATTTACGTGTTGTTTCTCGCTTGACATCAATTAAGTTCTCATGATGGGCTGTTTTTTTTTTACTCTAGTCCATTGATTATTCTTTCTGTTATATAGTTTTGACAACATGTTACTTTATGGTTTATTTTTAAATCTAGCAGCATTTTTGCCATTTAATAATTTTATTACCTGATATTTTTGCTGTCTTTTAAGATGAGTGCTTTTTTACAATGTTTCTAAATTTCATAGATCATTCCATAAGATTTTAATGGTTATTGCATTAAATTTGTTGATTACTAAGAATCATGACTTTTGGGGGTTTAGTTAGTCTTCTCAACCAGTACCAAGATACATCACTAACGGCTTTCCACTATGTATCTGAATCAGATATTAAATTGTCTTTACTTAAACCTCATGTGCCCTGACTCTATTGAGGGTAGCTATGTATTTTACAACACTATTTTTTTTGACAATTTTTACTTGTAGATTCAAATGAGATTCTTTGCTGAGCTCATGTATTTACCATACATTTTTAAAAATTTTCTGACATTTTCTAGATCATAATTGTGTGAGTGATGTTGTTTTTAATTCATATTTTTGGACACAGTTCTGTAAGGAGCATGCATTTTGAAAGCTGTTAATTTTTCTTTTTTTTTTTTTTTTTCAGTGTCAGGGATAGGTACTTTTTGTCTGTTAACCACTTTTCTTTTGTACATTGTGTTAGCAAGTTGTTTAAGAACAAATTTAATGCCCTTTTTTGTCAGATTTTAAAAATTTAATATGATTTAACCTGAATGACAGAATTTTAAAATATTCATTTAGACAAGACAGGTCTTCGACTATTTTCTAGATTTCAACTTGTCTTTTTTTCTCTGAGGAATATTTTGGTAGGTGAAAGTGTATAGAATTTAGCTTTTCAATTCTAATGAGTGTCTTATTTATATTATATGCACCCATTAAATACCTTTATGCAAAAATTGGTGAAAAAGTACTTTTTAGAAACAGAGGACTTTACCTTACTCATTTTGAATATTGTAAACAATATGACAGTATTATCTTCAGTCATTCTATGCCTTTATCTTTATTACTGTTATCTTTGCCTTCTTTTTTTCATTTACACAGTGTCTGTAGTTGGCTTTATTAAATTTTAAACTGCCAGATGATAGGACTGTGGCTTTTTGAACTGGACCTTAATAGGCCTGACTTTGACAGGCAGAAAAATAAAGCACTCCTGACAGAGAGAAGTAAAAGGCCATGAGGAGGTGTGGCTGCACGGGTGTGTTTGGGAAGCAGAGAGCAATGTTGTGTGCTGGTGAAGAGAGTTCAGTGAGCAGAGAGAGAATCCCGGACAATGTCAGTTGGGGCTGGGTCCTGGGGCACCTTGGATGCTGGGTGAAGGAGTTTGGGCTTATCTTTGTTGCTGAGAAGCCATTTTGAAGGGAGGACTAACATCAACAAAGGTGAAATGTGACAGATTTCAAGCTGAATGGCAGGCAGAATGGCAGTCCCAATGTCAGAAACATGAAGGTCAAGAGGAGTGGACTGCAGAAGAGCTTGGGGAACTGGGCAGCATGTTTGATTCTACCATATTGATTTTGAGCTGCCAACAGGGCAGTAGGCAGCACTTAGCTCTCACTTGGAAGCATGAGATGGATTGCTAGGAAAAAAGATTTGGTTTTGGAATTCTAAGATCTGAAGGCTCCAGAAAGGAAAGCTAAGGACATAGTCTGAGATAGAAAAGGGTTGAGGAGCCAACTTCAAGGCTCCTTTTTACAGAAAAAAATGAAGAGGCAAAGAAGCAGTGGCAGAAGGCACAGGTCTAGGAAGGATGGGGTGGAGAGGAGGTACAGAAAGGCACCTGCGGATTTCATGGCTGGAGATCTCAGGTGACTTTGGAGAGAGAGGCTTTAAAGGAGTGATGAGAAACAAGGCGGCTGGCTGAGGAATGACGACAGTGAGGAGGTGAAGACAGCAACACCAAACAACTTGACTGTGAGGGCAGCAAGTGAGTAGATGCAAGCGGTGAAGGCTGTTTGTGCTTTTCAGGACATGAACTCTTGTGCTCGCACAAACAGTTCCACACCAGCCTGCCACCTTCTTCAGCGAGACTCATGAGCGACATCCATGATGCCCATTTATTACTTCCCACTCCTATGACTTTTTTATTTCGTCTCTGCTGGGAAATGCCTGCAGGAAACACCCAGTGACGTGACACGTTTTTAGTAACTTTGTGGTGACATCACTGTCTTCTCTGCTTACTGCAGCTTTCTGTTCACCAAATGCCCTTGCTGACCCCTCACACACACAGTCCTTTGACCTTGATTTCACCAGGAAATTCTCAGGCTGGAAAGAACTTTCAGTTGTCTTCACCATCCCCTGACTTCTACCTGTACATCTCCAAAATCTCCTCAAAAAAGATTAAAAAAAAAAAATCTGAAGTGGGAAAGATTTAGTGAAACACACACTTTTCAGCTAATAGCACATCCTGATCTTTAGTTCACAAATCTCTTCTCGTTTTGTTTTCTATTTTATCATTCACCCTCCAACTGCCCCCCGAACCATGGGCAGCCATTTAAAGCATTTGTTGTTATTTTTGCTTCTCTTATAGGTCATCAAAAACCTGAAAGCAAAATTTTTTTAGAAACTCAAATCATTCTTTAACTCCATAGCTTCAAGGACACAGCGACACATCCAGATGCTGATTTAAGATTGAGAGAGAAGGCACTGCCTACCTGGGCTATGAGTTTGCACCTAGTAAAGGGCTCTATCTTGTCACTCATCCCAGTGAGGACCAGGCAGCAGAGGTAGCAGAGGGTTGCCATTTCCTCTTTAAGGCAATTCCCTCCAGACTGGCTCCATGTGTTACTGTAAAATAGTAAGAAGTGCTAGAAGACTGTCATATAACTTTTGTATGTTGAGAGAAAGCACCCTGAAGTCAAGTAGAAATGGTTCTGTTGCTATCTATTATTTTTTCTGTACTTCTAAGACTGTAAAAAAATTACCCATTACTATTTCCCCCCATCATTATCCAATAAATAAACTCTCAAGTCCCTTACTCCAACCATGATGCTCTAAAAGCATTTCTTTTTAGGCAGAATTTTACATTAGTTGCATTCTGGGATCAGGCCCCCTACCGTGTTCCATTGACTCCTCCCAGTGGGTGCCCCCCTCACTCCCAGTCTGACAAGCAGGTGTGTCTGTCTCTTTAGGAACGACTCAATCGCCGGAGCAGGAAGCTCAGAAAGGACATTGCAGAACTTCAGCGGCTCAAGGCTCAGCAGGAGAAGAAACTGCAGGCTCTGCAGGTGGGTTTTTCGGGTTCCTGGGAAGGACTCCCTGGAGTGTTCTCAGGAGCCCTTACTTAACTATTCTGGACATCTGTCTGTCCCTGGAACAGCCTGATGTGGGCAGATGGTCGTGGAGGCTGAAAACCCGGGTGTTGGCCTTGGCGTCAAAGTTTGCTGGTTGAGTGACCTACGCAAGTTAAGCCCTCTGATCTTTATGTGACTTACATGTTAAATGAGAACCAGTCCTGCTCTGCCTGGATCACAGTAGGGATCAAAGGAGACCAGTGTCTCGTCAACTGAAAATTACTACACAAGCCATAGGCCTCTGTTTCTTTTTATTTTATTTTATTTTTTTTTTGAGATGGAGCCTTGCTCTGTCGCCCAGGCTGGAGTGCAGTGGCACGAACTCCGCTCACTGCAAGCTCCGCCTCCCGGGTTCACGCCATTCTCCTGCCTCAGCCTCCCGAGTACTGGGACTACAGGCACTTGCCACCACGCCCAGCTAATTTTTTCTATATTTTAGTAGAGATGGGGTTTCACCATGTTAGCCAGGATGGTCTCGATCTCCTGACCTCGTGATCCGCCCGCCTTGGCCTCCCAAAGTGCTGGGATTACAGGTGTGAGCCACCGTGCCCGGCCGCCATAGGCCTCCATTTCTGTCTCTGACAGTCTACCTTTCTATTCCTCTTGGTCACATGGCATCTGTAGATATTCAGAGAGTGAGGTGGAAAGGTGAGGTGTCCCTGCCTTTATGAGAATCAAAGCTGCTTCTGCTATACCTGTGACACACAGAGGCAACACCATGAGGGCAAGAGGACTGAGGAATCAGCATTCCTGCTCAGACATTCAGAGACTGTGAAGGGCCAGGAGGGAGCCACCTGACACTGAGTCTTAGGGAGCCCCTTTCCTGTAGTTTCAGGTAGACCACGGGAACCACAGGCTGGAGGCTGGGCCGGAGAGCCAGCACCAAACCAGGGAACAGCTGGGTGCCCTCCCTCAGCAGTGGCTGGGCCAGCTGGAGCACATGCCAGCAGAAGCGGCCAGAATCCTTGACATCTCCAGGGCAGTAACACAGCTCAGAAGCCTGGTCATTGATCTGGAAAGGACGGCCAAGGAATTAGACACCAACACACTGAAGGTGCATACCCTGAGGCCTTCCCCAAGGGCTGGGATTCTCCCCGATAGGAGGCAGCCCATCTGCATCACCCTTCTGGGAGGTGTAAGAGGGAGGGGCCTGTGTGATATGTGGTGACTTGTGGTAGATGTGGCTTGTTCCAGGCTACAGAGTGCTGCTGCAGCAGAATGGGCACAGAAGAGGGGTGTTGCTATGTTCCCCCAGTTCTCAAGGTGGCACCCCAGAGTGGCCTCCAAGAGTGAATTGGGAAAGGAATTTGGAGGTGATAGGAACCTGAGAACCAATTATGATTCTCACTTTTTCTCTCTCCTAGAATGCTGGTGACTTACTGAACAGGTACGAGCTGTCCCTTCTTCTTTCCCACATGTGCATATAAACCCACACAACACAGACATGCACAGAGGTCAAGGAGACCCACTGCTCCGTTAGCTTTTGTATCTTGATGCTACATGGCCAATGGAAGAGCCAATGGAATATATGAATACATATTAATCTATGAAAGATTTCTTTGTTTCTAGGAGTGCTCCACAGAAATTAGAGGTTATTTATCCCCAGTTGGAGAAAGGAGTCAGTGAATTGCTTCTTCAGCCCCCTCAGAAGCTCTGACCTGTTCATCCCTGGGACACCTCACTTCAGGCTCACCTCAGCCTCCTCTCTCTCCTTCCTCCAACCTGTCCAGGCCCCCACTGGGTCTACCCAGTGCATCTTCGGGCCTGCCAGCTCCTGAACATGTCACCATTTCTTCATGTCCACAGTCATCACCTGATGCCTGACCCTCTGACTCTTGGACGATAGCCAGCCTCCTTCCAGGACAGGCTCATGCTTGGGGCTGCCACTGTGGAGGTCGGGGCCCATGGTCTCCAGGAGCATTTGTGAAATCTCCATTTTGCCTGTAAACTGATGGTAGTGCCCATCTCTCACAATCTCATTCAAATAGGATCCTCCAGGCCTCTGAATGGCCCGAGCTCATCAGCAGTGACACCACCTCACATGTGGAGCCCAGCTGAGTTCCTGCAGTACTTGTTGTCTGTACCACTCACCTGGCACTTATTTATTATTGTTGTGGAAGACAGACTCAAAGACAGCCTCCCTTCATGATCCTCACCTCTTGGAATTCATGCCCTTGTTTGGTCCCCTCCCCTTGAGTGTAAGTGGGATCTGTGACTTGCTTCTAATGAATGGAATAAGGCAAAGGTGATAGGGTGTCACTCTGGCAACTGTGTTGCATTGTATAGAACTCCTCCTTGCTGGCCCACCCTTTTAGAGCCCCTCCTAGGAGCCAAGAGCAGCTTCCAGCCAACAACAAGCAGAGGCCCTCAGTCTTGTGGCTGCAAGAACCTGAATTCTGCCAACAACCCGAGTGAGCTTGGAAGCAGATTCTTCCCCAACTGAGCCGGATAAGAACCTAGTCCAGCCAACACCTTGATTATAGTCTTGTGAGTACCTAAGCTGAGGACCCAGTGAAGCTGTGCCAAAATTTCCCACCCACAGAAACAGTGTGACAATAAATGTGTGTGTGTTTTTTTGTTTTCTGTTTTCGTTTTTGAGATGGAGTCTCACTCTGTTGCCCAGGCTGGAATGCGGTGGTGTGATGTCGGCTCACTGTAACCTCTGTCTCCTAGGTTCAAGCAATTCTCCTGCCTCAGCCTCCCTAATAGCTAGGGATTATAGGCGCCCGCCACCACACCCGGCTAATTTTTTGTGTTTTTAGTAGAGACAGGGTTTAACCATGTTGGCCAGGCTGGCCTTGAACTTCTGACCTCAGGTGATCAGCCCACCTTGGCCTCCCAAAATGCTGGGATTACAGGTGTGAGCCACCGCGCCTGGCCATGTGTTGTTATAAGGCAGTAAATTTGTGGTAATTTTTGTGGAGTAATGGATAATGAATACAATTGTATATTAGTCATTTTTGTATAAGCCTCACTTCTTTGGGTGAGCAGGGATCATATTCTGTCTGTGTCCTCATGTCTAGAACAGTGTCTGGCTCATAGCTGGTGTCCAGTAAAATTTTAAATGTATGTATAAGTGAACTAATAAGAAAGCATAAGGAAGGGCTCTTCTCAATCCTCTGATTAAAAAGAGCCATCAATTACCTTATAATCAGTATTTATTGAGCCTTTGCCAAAGTAGTCAATACCATACTGAGAGGTATAAGGAATAAAACATGGCCACAATTATAAAACAAGCCACGTGGTGGTGCAAAGAGTGAAAACTACAGGGTCAGACTTGAGTTTAGGTCTCGGTCCTGACACCTAATGCCTCTGTAACCTTGGGCAAATTACTTAGCCTCTCTGAACCTCTGTACTCCCCCCTCTAAAATAAGGGTTATGGTACCTGTGGCCTGGGATTGTTGTCAAAATTAAATACATGCTGAGTGTCTGCTAAAGTGTCTAAAACGTAAACATTCAAATATGTTCATTTTATCTTTTTTTTTTTTTTGGTGTATTCTGGCTTTATTGTTATTTTTTTTTAATTATACTTTAAGTTCTAGGGTACATGTGCACAATGTGCAGGTTTGTTACATATGTATACATGTGCCATGTTGGTGTGCTGCACCCATTAACTTGTCATTTACATTGGGTATTTCTCCTAATGCTATCCCTCCCCCCTCCCCCCACCCCAAAACAGGCCCTGGTGTGTGATGTTCCCCACCCTGTGTCCAAGTGATCTCATTGTTCAATTCCCACCAATGAGTGAGAACATGCGGTGTTTGGTTTTCTGTCCTTGCGATAGTTTGCTGAGAATGATGGTTTCCAGCTTCAACCATGTCCCTAAAAAGGACATGAACTCATCCTTTTTCATTTCATCTTTTTTTAAAAAAACCACTTCCCCTTTTGAAATGAAATATGGAATGATAAAAAAATTTTAAATAAATTCCACTTCACCATCCAGAAGTTTATAATTTAGCTGTGGAACTATGACTAAACAGCTACAGAATAAGAAGAGAGCGTGTAACTGCACTGAATTAGGTATCACAGAGGCTAAGTGCCCTGGGAATTCAGAGGAAAGAAACAGCGAGCCTGGGAAAGTCAGGGTAGGTTTTGTGGGGGAGGTGGGGATTGGACAAGTGGGAGAGGAAGGTGAGAACATTCTAGGTCACAATAACCACATGAATGAAAGCATAGAGGTAGGAAAAAGCCACGGTACCTTTGTAGGAGTGTGAGGAAACCAACCTGGTTAGGCTGGAATGTTCAGGAATGGGGAAGACGAGAAGTCAACAGGCTAAATGGATGACACCAAGACATAGTGAGGTTTCTGAGTCAGGAATGAAGGGAGAAGTGGTGTTTAATGAAAGCCAGTCTGGATCGTTTGCACAAGAAGGACTGGGACAGAGAGTTGGGGGCTGGAAGGAGAGGGGAGGAGAAAGAGCCTAGTGCAGATGTTCAGAAAAAAGGTATAGTTATTTGGCAAGAAGCTGCAGATCTCAGAGAAACATAAGATCCCAAATCTAAGAGCAAGACATTAGCCAAGGAAAGAACACCCCTGAAAGTGACAGCTAGCAATTTCTGCATCCCAGATGGAGTTAATGTCACCAAGAGAACTTGTACTAGGAGTAGGAGGAGACTGACAGCCCCCAGGGTCTCTCCTCAGGAGAGAATTCAGTTATACTGAAGATGCCTTCCAGGCCCCCCTTGGTCCCTTCTGACGTCACCACAGATGATCAGGCCAGGGGTGGGAGTCTGAACAGCAGATAATTGGCCAAACAAGTCTATGAGGTCACCTGTCAAGGAAGACCTTATCAAAGAGGGACAATAGTAATTAACTGAAACCATCAGGTCCTCTCGGAGATTCAGAAGGGATCCATGATGAATGTGTCATTAGTTGGCAAGAAGAGCAGACACAGAGAGAATCAGAGATGCATGTGCAGCCACGATGTATTGGAACAGGTGTCCATGACCCATGCTGCTGAGAGGCCGCAGGAATATCCAGTCTTCACGCTTCTTTGGACTTCGAGCCCACTTCTTACCGGTAGGTCCTGGGCATACAACATACCACTGCATAATGGTCATGAGCACAGACTCGGGAGCCAAACCACAAGACTTCAAATGCTGGCTCTGCGACTTACTATCAGCTGATTTGAGACCAGCTGCTCGGCCTCCACATGTCTCAGTTCTCTTATGTACAAGATGGGCACCTACCTCCTGAGGTTGTTGTGAGGATTAAATGAGTTAATATATACAAATATTTATTATGGTGTTTGGCCAAAATAAGTTCTATGTGTGTGATTGTTATCAGCATTTTTGGAATCTCTAGTTCTTCCTACAGGAACGAGTGGTGACCCCACCAACTCGCTCACGCCTGACATAGCTTCTCACGGGGCCTGGCTCATGGTGGAAAATCGCATTTTCCTTATTTCTGCTTTTATAATAAACTTACCTATCATTTGAACTAACTTGAGTGGGTCTCAGTTCTTTGCAATAGAAAGGGTTGCTACCATGTAAGCTTTGAAAAATGAGGTGTAAACTGTGGATGTTACAAATGTGCAACAGTCCTTCAGAGTCGGAAAGGGTAGCTGGGACTCTGGGGCCTCTAGACTTGAGCACTTCCTGGGGAGGGAACCCAGAGTCCCACTTCCGGCCAGCAGAGCAAGGAGGTTCATTAAGCTGCCTTATCTTGAAGTTACCAGGTTTTAGGATCTATCCACTTCCCCTGTGCTGACTCCATACTCCGAAAGCAAGTAAACTTCAAGTAAAATTACCCTAGGGGAGAAGCAGGTACTGACAGACCAACATGAGTGTTTTCACTTATGAGCAGTTTTATTTCTCAGTGTAAGACATATAAATTGTTCTCACTGACATATAACTATTAAAAGAAAAATAAAATAAAACAATTTAAAAAGAAGAAATATAAATTGTATTTCTGAATCCAAGTCACCTGTGGGGGTGTAGCCAGCATTAAAATAATCGCCAGGACCCATGCAGGCATCTATCTCTGAATGAGGCAGTGCAGCATAGCAGTTAAGAGCTCTTGGGTCAGACATGGATGAACTGGTTGCATGATCTTGGCTCGTTACCAAGATAAAGTGACACAAGGTGTGTAAAGCTCCCGAGCTGCAAGCCAGGATCTTCATACACATACATTTTAGAGGATAATAGTCCTTTCAAAAGACACAGCTAAAGCCAATAAAAATAAACAAAAATAGGATCTACTTTTCTGGAATCACAGGTTTGGGTGCTTTGGATATGTTTTATCATTATATAGGCACTTGTGTGTGTCTGTATTTTTTTGAATATACAACATTTTAATGAGATACTGCACACTCCCAGGGAAAGCAATTCAATCTCTAATCCCTGGCTTCTGATCTCCACCTCTTTTCTACCTGCTGAGGTAAGGATGAACAACAGAACTTCTCAATTGAATTCTAAGCTTGGGCCTAAGCACGCTGTGCCCTCTGCCTTTGAGTTTGCACCCTGGATGGCTCCCCTCCTCCCAGGAGACCCAGTAGGGAGATGACAGAGCATTGTAGTTTACACTGAGCAGAGTAAACAGATGATGTTAAGGAGACTGTCAGTGAAGGGCATGATTATGCAAAATAAAATACAATAGTGACAAGAACAAGAAAATAAAACATGGTCACTCTTCCATCCCATTTCTCAGATGTCACTACAGTAGTCTCAATTACGGTAGTCTCAATTCTTTAGACTAAAGTTCATAGGTCATCCAACTTATGCCCTGGCCTCCTTCTGGAATTCTTTTACCTAGCAGTTTCTGAGCCCACAGCTGAGCTATTTGTGACCCATTTGCTCCCACTATCTCATTTCTTGACCTCAGATGGTAATCAACTGATCAGGAAGACAATTTCCCTAGGGTTGAGTGTGGTCCCTGGGTTATGATTTATGGCTATACCTTATGTCCTCCTGCCCCCAGGCCCTGCACCTTAATCTCACCCAGAAGTGGCAACACCAGGAGGAAGGAGGCAGTGAGTGGCGTCGGCTGGGGATGGCACACATCTGCCCATAATGACAATGGAGACAACCCAGTGCTCCAGAGTCACAGGTCATCCAGCCAGTTCTCTGCTGTTTCCTCTTCTTAAGATGCTTCTTCCCCTCTTTTCCCTATTGACCATAGGCATCCTTTAGACCACCCTTTTCAGAAAGCCATCCCCCACTCACCCTCTCCTTCCAGGCTGGGCTATGCCCCTTCCCCTGAACTCCCATAATGCTGGGGTTGGACTTCCCGTAACACCCACCACACTGTGCTGTAATTTCCTCTTTATGTTTCTCTGTCTTCCCAAGAGCTCTTTCAGATATAGAGCAGGTTTTTTTTTTCTCTATATTTTCAAGTCACCAGTGGCCACCACACTGCTTGGTTCATAGTTAACACAAACTAAATGGTTCTAGAGAATGTGATTACATGAACTCTAACATTATTGGAAGAAAACAAGATGAAAAGAGGTGAGATGCCTTGTTTAAAGTCATACAACTGGTTGACAGGCTGGTTCAAGAACCCAGGTCTTCTGACTTCAAATCCAGTGCCCTTTCTATGCAGCTACTTCTGTGCCAAGCACGGATGGTGGTGAGCAGAACTGGCAGCAGCCTGAGTCCCCAGGTACCCTGGCCATCCACTGGGCATTGGGGAAAGGACTTGATCAGTAGATTGAGAGTCCTCTCTTCTATCCCTTACCACCCGGCCCCATCCCATCTTCTAAAGCAGTCATTTCTATTCCAAGTCATCCAGGTGATTCAGCCAGGGATCAAGTCCACATGGTACTTGGGTTGATATGAGTCCTGTACTTAGAGGAGAGTAGGTAACTGCTCCTTCTCAGGAGCTCAGGGAGAAACTGGACCCTCGGCCCCAGAGCCCAAAGAAGGGAATGACCTTCCTAGTGAAGGAGGCAGTGAAGGTGTAGATGGGCTCTCGGGTGACAGCGTTGGTGAAGGTCACCCAGCCCACCTCATAGTCAAGAGACACCCTCACCTGCCGGGGCTGCTCCTTCAGGGTCAGCCGTGTGGGGAAGGAGCCCAGAGCCGAGACGAAGCCCCAAGCCAGCCTCACAGCCCACACCCCCTCCTCTGGCCGCAGCCGAAGCTCCCCCTTCCGCTGCACATCCTCGCTCACCACGCCCACGGTGCAGCTGCCCCCATGGGCCAGGTCTATACTCACCACCCACGTGTGTCTCCCCCCTGTGATGCCAGTGTGGGCCAGAACACAGGTGGCCCGGTCAAAACGTTGGGGGTTGTCTGGTGAGTTCTGCCATTTGTAGGAGAACTGAGCTCGCTGGTGGTCCTCGGACAAGAGGAGCTTGGGGTGGGAAGTCTGAGGGTCTAGAGAAATGTGAGCTGTGGGGATAACCAAAAGGGACAGATGTCAGCAGACATGCTATTACCTCCAAGGAAGGCATAGAAACTCCCCCTGGGCCCCTCCTGTTAGTGTTATTATTACCAAAAACATGTATAGTGCCTACGTGGGCCAACAGTGTGGAACCACCTGGGAACTTGTTAGATATACGCTCTCAGAATCTGCATCCTAACAAGATGCCCAGGTGATTTGCACACAGGTAAAGCCTGAAAAGCCTGCCTCAGAGGATGTGAAAGCTCTCGTTTAGTTCAGTGTGGTCCTCGGGAAAGCTCTTCTGCTCACCGCAAGTTGGCTGGTTTCCAAAGCTGTGCGTGCCAGCTTGGATCTCCTGGGGCTGATATACCACATTCTCCCCTCCTCCCATCTCTATCCCACAGTGCAGCGACATTTCTCCCTTCAGTCCAAACTTCATGATTCCTCCCTGTTTTCCTCCCAGGGCACTGGTGACTCATTTACAGTCTTCCCTCCTGGCAGGCTCTCTGGCTCACCCCTGGGTTATTCACTCTGCCTCAGTAATTCTGAAACTGTCAGAGTCTGAGGACCACTTTTTACCACCAAAAACTGCTGCAGAGCCTTGCGTTTTGTTACTTTTAGTATTCATAAATTGAGAAGCTTCCATAAATTTAGGTCCATCTGTGGGTTAGAGAACCCCCTCCAACAACTCCGTGACTCCCAGGGTCTTAGGCTGGTTGATTGAGAAATGACAGCCTTGAAGGGGTCCATTCTGTTCATTTTTTTCCCACCCACAGGCCGCCCTCCTTCTGTCATCTGTGAAATGACATCTGAGAGGAAGCAGGGGTTCCTTACGTTCTAAAGAGGTGATTATAAACCCAGATCAAAGTCCCCTTTATCCAGAAAGCATTCCCAGATGGACTTTATCCCATTCTGCATTAATCTTTCTATCTACTCGACATGCGCAGATCAGGATGTGAGCTTCATACCACGAATGTAGTATGTGTATGTGCTTGTCCTTTCTTCATGTTTCTCCTGAGAGCCTTACAAACAATGTGACACACACACACACACAACCTATATATACACACATGTATTATATACACACACATATGTGTATATATAATATATATGATGTGTATATGTATCCATGGGTGTTTGTTATGACTATTGTCATAGTCATAACATAGTCATAGTGCAAATCCTGCAAAATTTTCTCTCCTTTCCGAGGACTTCTCATTCTCTCCCATCCTGACATAGGCTCCTTACCTGGCTCATAGTCCAACTCAAAGCATAGTTTTTCTGTAAAGAAAATAAACCAGGATGAGATTTTATTAGTCTTACAAAACCATCAGACACTTAATGATGAGAAAACTGAGGCCAAGAAGAGGGAAGGGACAAGAAGAAGAATGTAAGCTGGAATCCTCTAGACCAGTGGTTCCAAGCTTGCATCAGAATCATCTGGAGCTCTTGTTAAAACACATCTGTTTCAGATTCAGGTGCTCTGGGGTGGAGCTGAACATCTGTATTTCTAACAATTTCCTGGGCAATGCAGCTGCTGCTGCTGGTGGGAGCCCCACTGCCCTAGCCCTGATCAAACAGGGACCATGACTGCCTTGCTCACCTCTGTACCCGCAGAGCCCAGGACATAGTAAATGCTCAAGAAATATCTGCTTAGTGAATAGAGAAATGGGTTCATTTATTTATTATTCCACTTGGAAATAATTTTGGGGAGAGTCAAAGGTCAGCCTTTGATTAGAGTGAAATTTCCTTCACTGACAGGTCACTGGAAGTATTTGCAGGAAATGGAATTATGGGAAAAGTCCTTCTAGGGTGACATAACTGTGGGTGGGTCATTTCAAAATTGGTGTCATCATTCATTCTGTCATGGTTAGTGAGGAGGTGGTTGGCAGAGAGCCATGTCCCATTCCTGACTCTCATCCAAACCCTCCCCCACACCCTACCACCACTCCCTGTTCCGGAAAAGGAAGTGGAGCACAGTCCCCGTAGGACCGTCTAACTCTGAGCCAGACTAACAGAAAGAAAGTGAGAAGGAAGGAGGGACGAGCCAGATACCACAGGGTCAAGATAAATACTGTTGTTGGCTATTAATTAACAATGTTCATCATCAAAAACTTATCACATATTACAAATGTTGCTGTGGGATTTTTTAACTTATTAAGAATGATATATTGTTAATCATTATCTTTCATATTGCTTAATGACCACTAATCAGATTTGTTGAATTATTTTAAAATCAGTTTAACTTTTTCACCAGAAATATTCACCTTTATTCTCTTTCTTCATTGTCACAATATCCTAATAGGCAGATTTTATAAAAATCTGCAAATAAGGAAATCAAGGCACAGGAAGGAATAAGGCTTGCCAAAGTCACACCTTTCAGCAGTGGAGCGTGGAGGCCACTCCTAAACCCAGGCTTCATGGCCACCTGCGCTCTGTGGAGGCCTGGGGTTCTCTTACCCAGAAACATCTTCATCTCCCTCTGCAGCGGGAGGGCCTGCTGGGGAAAGTCCCGAATCCTCTGGCCCAGCTCTGGCGACACAGCCACCGGTTTCCGGCACTTTCTGGTTTCACATCTAGGGGCACAGAAATGGCTGGGTCTGGGAATTATCATCCTTAATAATGTCTCCAGACTCAGCTGGTCATCTTCTAATAGGGCATGATGGCGCTAGTTCCTGCAGGCAGACGTACTTCCTCTAGGATGAATCCCACTGCCCATTTTTGGGCATCTATGGATATACCTGAGAAGGCATTTGGGTATATAGAGGTTTATATGTAAATTTGTATCCTTAAGTGAGAATGTTATATACCTGTGTGGCAATAACTAGGCATGCAGTACATGTATGTATATTTATATGGAAAAAGAAAAGAGAGAAACTATATTGCTTACCTTATTAGAGTGCTTCTGATGTCCTAGGAGAAAGAGATACCAGAAATTCAGTTTCCAGCTTCTCCTTTCCATTTTTCTTTCCTTTCTTTTTCTACTTTTATTTTATTTATTTTTTATTTGCTTGTTTGTTTGTTTGAGAAAGGGTCTCACTCTGGTGCCCAGGCTGGAATACAGTGGCGTGATCATGGCTCACTGCATACTCAACCTCCTGGGCTCAAGGGATCCTCCTACCTCAGCATCTTGAGTAGCTGGGACTACAGGTGTTTGTCACCATGCCTGGCTAATTTTCTTTTTTTTTTTTTTTTTTTTTTTGTAGAGATGGGGTTTTGTTATGTTGCCCAGGCTCCTCCCACTTTTCTTATGACTGGAAAAGACAAAATATATTTCTAGCCCTGGACAGGAAAAGGATACCAGATGCATAGAGTCACAGAGCATTAGGACTCACCCATCTCTGTGGATCAGAGCCCAAAGCCTTTATTTTTTAGATAAAGATGGTGAAGTGACCTTCCCCTGCTCACTGGAGGCAAAGTAAGTCTCATACCAAGGTCTCCTGTTTCTCAGTCCTAAGAGCATCATTCTAAGTCATGCTGCCTTTCCAATACTTTGTGGGGACCCCAATACCTCTCCTCCAGTGTGAGGAAGTGAAATAGACCAGGACAAACTTCCTGACTGGTGGTTGGTGACATTTAGGTTATAGAGAATGGTTTGCAACTTACTTAATACTTTTTCAAAGTGCTACTTTCACTTCCATCTTACTGTTGGATCCTCACAAAAGCCCTGTGAAATATTTAAGGAAAGTATCTTCCCTATTTGGCAGATGGTGGGACGGAGAGGTGGAGACCAGAGAGCAAAAAGTGACCAGGGAACTCTTGGAAAAGCATGAACTAGAATTGAGACTTTCTGGTCCTCTGACCCACCTCCCATCTGGGATACAGAGATGTGTGAGTCAGGGAGACATGGCTTAGGCAAGACAAAGATGCAAGAGTCACAGGACAGCACAGGTGGGGCAGGGTTCCGGTTCAGGCCTCACCGTCAGGAGCTCCCTTGCTGGCCTCTCATTCTTCTCCTCCAGTTCTTCAATAAGAGCACTAAACCGGCAGATCTCCCCAGCAACCAGCAAATCAAATTCATCCCGTTGCCTCAAGATGTCCCCATCCTGGCTCTCCAATTGTGCTAAGAGGATGCTCTGCTGTTCCTCTAGAAACTTCCTCAGGTGTGCGAACTCAGAAATCACCTGTTGTCTCTTGGTGGACACCTGAGTCTGAGGGGGCAGGAGGCAAGCCCAAGAGAAAGTTTGCTTCCTCCTTCTCCCTCTGCTCCTCTTCCTCCCCTGTCCCCAGGTAGATCTGGAACTGTGTCATGGTTTCCTTTTCACTTGTCATCCCATTTCGAGAAGCAAGACTCACAGTGTTGTCTCAGCACCATCTGCTGCAGCTTCTAAAAGGGGTAGGGCTTACAGGAGGTGTAGGAGGAGGTGGTGGGGACACCCTACCTCCTGTCTTGTATGAAAAGCACATTATGTGCACAGCCCTGAGCTACTTTACAGTCACAATCTCATTTAATGCTTACAGTAATTCAATGAGGTCATGATGATTTTTACTCTCCATTTTACAGATAAGTAAACTGAAGTTGGAGAGTTGCTTGAGGTCATAGAGTTAGTGTCAGAGTCAGGATTTAAACTCATAATAACTTCAAAGCCCTATAATCTATGTTGCCTCAGTTTCAGGAAGACACTGGACCCTGAGGAAGGGGAGGAACCTGGGGAAGGGGTGATGACTTACCAGGAGGACTTGCATCCTTTTATTTTCTCTTGACTGGATTTCTTGAATCTCCTCTCTCTCTTTTCTTAGACATTTAAGACACTTATGGATTTGTTCCTGGGGAGAAGGAACATAAAATACTCAAGATGGAAAATGATTTGTTCAGGTTTGTCTGGTCATCTGACCCTCTGCCTCCAGGAATGAAATGGCCCCAGGAGAGGAGTCCCTTCCTTAGCTGACAATCCCCGAGCCTTCACCACCCTGACAGCTTACTCCCTTTGGGTCTTCTTCCTCTTGATTTGTCTCTAAGACTTTGGATCAGGACTTTCCCCCTTTATCCTGTGCCATTAGAGGCTGTGACTTGGTTTTCCCACTTGAGTCTTTCTTCAGGTTTAACATTCTATTGTGTTTTGCTTCGGGTAAGTGGTATCTGGGGTCTGTACTGAGTTTGATATGCCCCGCACTGAAATCATTCTGAGTTTCCGACTCATCCCAAAGGAACATGTGTAAATAACAACCCTCCCTTGTTACTGAAATCAATTATCTGTGTATGACTCCAGAGGGGAGAAGAAACTTGGGTAATGTAAAAATAATTGATAAATTGTTTTCAAAATTATTTGCTCCAGAATAGAGTTAGGAACAGGTACACACACGATAAATATGTGTGTTCAAAGATATATTAGAATTCTCACTATCAACTGCTAATTAACTAATTAAGACATCCACACACAGACTTGTACTAAAACATAATTCATAAGCACAATGCATAAACAACTAAAACCAGCACACATTCATTTAATGACAGATAAAATGGCATGCCACATACATTTACCCAGCCTGAATATATGTAAACACGAATTTATTCACAAACAGGAGCTCTCAGTTACACTTACACACTCAAATATATACATACTCAGACTCCCATCCAAACACACCAGACACACTTCTAAACATGCAAACATTAACACATATACACACTGTTTGTACAATCATTCCCTCAAATGCAAACTTCAGACACACCTGATCCATGGCACAGACACACACACTCATGTTTGGTCACTCATTCATTCAACAAGTACTTGTTGAACTCCCGTTATCTGTTGGCCACAAGTGAACACAGAACACACTCAAAAAAACATAAAACATAAACACAATTTTCCATGCCTGGGTCTATTGCCTGGGTGATCATGTAAGTAAGGAGAAAGAATTTGGCCTCCGGGTGGCCTAAATAATCCACAACTCTGCTGTTTCTCTTAGTCCAGTCCAGTCCACCCTGGGATCCCCCAGTTCCCCTTTCCTACCCTATAGGGAGCCGCTGCATCCTCCAGGAAGCGCATGGTGTGGGTAGCGTGCTCCCCAGCCTCCCGGCACACCACGCACAACTGCATCTCATCATCCTCACAGAAGAAGTAGATCTTCTCTCCGTGCTCTTGGCAGACATCCTCCTCTCCCAAACCCAGTGTGGACACCAGCTGGAGGCGCTCAATGTTCTCCACCACGTTAGCCAGCTGCCAGTTGGGCCGGAAGCTCCCAGGACGGAAGGGTTCTTTGCAGAGTGGGCAAGTAGGGGACTCCTCCAGGTCTGGGCCTGGTATCTCACAGTAGCGGGTAAGGCAGGCCCGGCAGAAGTTGTGGCCGCAGTCGATAGTGACCGGCTCCCTCAGGGTACCCTGACAGATGGGGCAGTTGACTTCATCTGCCAGGCTGGTCACAGAGGCAGCAGAGGCCATGCTGGTCCTGCTGCTATGGCTTCCTCAAGGCCACTCTCTCTGCTTGGCCACGGGGGAAGGGCTGGGTCACACACTCACACACCCACACATGCACATGGCTGGACACAGGCACATACTAAATATGCACCAGCACCCATATCGTCACACACTTGCATCTCTGGCAGCCAGGGTTCTATTCTCCTGCCAACAGCAGAGATGGGAAATAGCAGAGGAGAGGAAGGAAGAGGGGCTCACAGCATTTCAGAGGTGACCTTAGATGACCATAACCAGGGGCTGGCCATTCCTTTCTGCCCATCCAGAGACACTCACAGTAGAAGGAAAGTGGTGATATGTCAGCTGTCCACTGTCAGAAGAAATATTCTTTTGGGGGCAAGTGGGAGACTGGGTCACAGAGTGGAGATGCCATTCCAGCCTTTCTGCCATATGGCCAGCTGTCTCCAAAGAGATTGGAGGTATCAGCCAGCCCAGGGCTTGCCCATCAGCAAGCAGGAGAGTGTGGGGGCTCAGATAAGGTCCTTGTGCCAGGGTGTACACTGCACCAGCAACTTCAATGGTGATGCCTCAACTGGCCTGCTGCAGGCCTCAAAAGAGGCTGGAATATTCCCTATGATGGGGAGGAGAAAGAAAACTACTAACGGCCAGAATTTATTTACAATGACGGTACAACTTACATTGATACAAGCAATTTGGCCAGAATTTATTTACAATGACGGTACAACTTACATTGATACAAGCAATTTAAAAGTATGATCTTATTTCTGTGTCTGCTCTGCAACATCAGTGCTATTAGGATCTCCATTTCATAAATGAGAAAGCTGAGGCCCAGCCAGGTTATTCAGCTTGCCCTAGGCACACAAGTAAGAAGGTGAGTGACCATAAATAATTTGCTGTCAGATCTGTCTTCCGAGCAATGCTATTCAACATAAACGCAAAGTGAGCCACATATGCAATTTAAAATTTCCTAGTGGCCATATAAAAATAGTCTAAACAGGTGAAAGTAATTTTAATGATGTTATTTTATTTAGTCCTATATTTCCAAAATATTATCATTTCAATATGTGATCCATATAAAAAGTCATTAATAAGATATTTTACATTTTTAAATTTGTGAAAAGCCTTTGAAATCCGGTGTGTTGGCCGGGCGCGGTGGCTCACGCCTGTAATCCCAGCACTTTGGGAGGCCTAGGCGGGCGGATCACGAGGTCAGGAAATCTAGACCATCCTGGTTAACACGGTGAAACCCCGTCTCTACTAAAAATACAAAAAAATTAGCCTGGCGTGCTGGCCGGCGCCTGTAGTCCCAGCTACTCGGGAGGCTGAGGCAGGAGAATGGTGTGAACCCGGGAGGAGGAGCTTGCAGTGAGCCAAGATCGCGCTACTGCACTCCATCCCGGGAGACAGAGCGAGACTCCATTTCAAAAAAAAAAAAAAAGAAAAGAAAAAAGAGAAAAAGAAAAAGAAAAAAAAGAAATCCGGTATGTATTTTACATATACAGCATGCCGCCATTCAGACCGGCCACATTTCAGTGCTCAGTAGACACATGTGGCTGGTGGCTCCTGTATTGGACAAACTAGTTCCTGGGCTGCACTCGTGGCAGGAAGAGCAGAGATTGGATGGGAAGGGGAGGTAATAAAGTGATTAGAGTAAAAAGGGAGCAACCACAAGGGGCTAGGCTGATCACCCAGTGGGAGAATGGGGGAAGGCCTGGTTTTATCCACAGATGTGTGCATGGGTGAAGGACCGTGGCTGCAGATCTTGGTCTTGGCATGAGGTGTGGGAGGAGCGTAGGGCTTTAAGCCAGGAGACTGGGATCGTCCTTAACGTGATACTTTCTAGCTTTGTGACCTTTGGAAAGTCACTTTACATTTGGAAAGTCAGTTTACATTTCTTTCTCTGTAAAATGAAGGTAATAATGTTTGCCTAGAGGGTTATTAAAATTGAATGTAGTAATATAAAAATACTAAACCCTAGATAAATGTGGTTGAAACTGATTATCTGACTAATCGTTTTCTAATGTGTATCAACATAAATCATTTGCATTATGGTTTCTTGCCTTCTCCCCGCTACAGTAAAAATAAATAAATAAATAAATAAATAAATAAATAAATAAATAAATAAAATAGTCCAGTGTTACCCGAACCCCAAAGGGGACTGTTGTGCCAGGTGGTGGGGGATTTGGGACCGTAGGAGGGGCCACCATGGGCAGATGTGGTGAGGGAGGAAAGGAGAGCAGAAGAGGGGACCCGATGAGCAATCCTTACACCCTACCTGCAGTGTCGAAACAGCGTCCCGCCCACACACTTCCGGCAGAATCTCCCGAAGTCCACACCTCTCACTCCAGCCTGGACTTTGATGCTGTGGGCACGCCTCAGAGCCAGAAGTTTATGGCTCCCACCTGCTCAATCTGACAGGAAGCTTCTGCTCCCCAGTTCTCCCCAGCCACTGTGGTCTACAGATTCCAGGAAACCCATCCCCCTGTGACCTCATGGTGTGCTCTGTTCTCCACCCTAGGGACCAGAAGGAGCCAGGAGTAAAGAACTGGCTTACTTGGCCGCCACTGGGAAATTCTGGGTAATTCGAGACGCCCTGGAATTTGGACCCACTCCGCTGATAGGTGGTGGCCAGGGTTCTAGGGAACACAAGAGGCGGAGCCAGGTGGCTTCCCTGTGCTGGCATTCTTGCCTCTCTCTCTCTTTCTCTCTCTCTGTCTCTTAGCCTTGCAGCCGTTTCCCTCTGCGATTCATGTAAGTGTGACTCGATTTCAGGGAAAGGGAACTCGCGTGGGCTGAGGAGACCGGAGTGGACGGGCTGGGGAAGGCACCGTGATGCCCGCAACCCCGTCCCTGAAGGTGGTCCATGAGCTGCCTGCCTGTACCCTCTGTGCGGGGCCGCTGGAGGATGCGGTGACCATTCCCTGTGGACACACCTTCTGCCGGCTCTGCCTCCCCGCGCTCTCCCAGATGGGGGCCCAATCCTCGGGCAAGATCCTGCTCTGCCCGCTCTGCCAAGAGGAGGAGCAGGCAGAGACTCCCATGGCCCCTGTGCCCCTGGGCCCGCTGGGAGAAACTTACTGCGAGGAGCACGGCGAGAAGATCTACTTCTTCTGCGAGAACGATGCCGAGTTCCTCTGTGTGTTCTGCAGGGAGGGTCCCACGCACCAGGCGCACACCGTGGGGTTCCTGGACGAGGCCATTCAGCCCTACCGGGTAAGAAGTGTAGCTTTACCTAGGGCCTGTTTGGGGCAGGATGATGTCCTGTTATGAGGGGAGGAAATCGGGCGGGGATCTGGATGAAAGGCTTCCACATCAGGGAACCCTAAGGTTACAGGGACTTTCGAGGCATTCCCAGACTGAAGGCAGATAGGGCTCCACTTGGATGTGTGGTAGTTCCTGGTCTGGGGGGAACTTCAGCTCCAGCTCTCAGAGGACCCCACAGAGGTGGAGTGCAAAGAACTGTAGCCTTGGCTTCACTCACTATGGAAAGAAAGCTCCAATGCCGAGTGGGATCTTCTGCAGATTATGGGCAGGGTAAACTTGTTCTCCCAGGATCCAGACTGGAAATGGGGTTTATAGGGCCCTGACTGCCAGGGCGCAGAGGGGAGGGAGGAGCTGGGAAGGGGAACCTGCTAGCACTGCTCTTCTTCTTGAGAAAGGGAGGGTGGCAGTAGTCCAGAATTGTGAGAATTCCCCATCTGGCCTTGGGGCACTTTCCTGTCAGCCTCTCAGATCTCTCTCTTGTCATCCAGTCACCAGGTCTGGAAGTGGTTACCTTAGAAACATCTCCCAAATCTTTAATTCTGCCTTATCCTCACAGCCAGGTTCTCCCTATCTCTTGCGCAGACTTTGCAGTCTCCATGGCATTTCCTGTCTCCATTCTCACCCTTTCCAGTCACCTTCCAATCTGCTGGGAGACAGATCCTCCTAAAACACAAAGTCACTCATCTGCACAAAATCCTCCCATGTATACCTAGTGCCCAAAGAAAGTCCAAGGTCTTTAGCAAGACATTCAAGGCCCTTTGCAGTCGGGATCCTTCCTCCCTGTCCGGCCTCATCGCTCAGCCTCCCTCCTCAAGGCACCACGTGTCTGGCCAGACTGAGCTGCACTTGCTGTTTTTTCCTGAGTTGTCTTATTCATTCCTGCTTCCAATACTTTTTGCACATAGTCTCTTCCTCCTAGAATACTCTTCTCCCTTCCTCCCACCTCTCTCTCTGTTTTTAAGTATACAATTCAGGGGCACTAAGTCCTTTTCTTTTTTTTTTTATTATACATGTTCTGGGATACATATGCAGAACGTGCAGGTTTGTTACATAGGTATATACGTGCCATGGTGGTTTGCTGCACCCATCAATCCATCATCTACATTAGGTATTTCTCCTAATGCTATCCCTCCCCTAGTCCCCCAAGCCCTGACAGGCCCCGATGTGTGATGTTCCCCTCCCTGTGTCCATGTGTTCTCATTGTTCACCTCCCACTTATGAGTAAGAACATGTGGTGTTTGGTTTTCTGTTCCTGTGTTAGTTTGCTGAGAATGATGGTTTCCAGCTTCATCCATATCCCTGCAAAGGACATGAACACATCTTTTTTATGCCTGCATAGTATTCCATGGCATATATGTGCCATATTTTCTTTATCCAGTCTATCATTGATGGACATTTGGGTTGGTTCCAAGTCTTTGCTATTGTGAACAGTGCTGCAATAAACATATGTGTGCATGTGTCTTTACAGTAGGATAATTTATAATCCTCTGGGTATATACCCAGTAATGGGATTGCCAGGTCAAATGGTATTTCTCATTCTAGATTCTTGAGGAGTTGCCACACTGTCTTCCACAACGGTTGAACTAATTTACACTCCCACCAACATTGTAAAAGCATTCTTATTTCTCCACATCATCTCCAGCATCTGTTATTTCCTGACTTTTTAATGATCACCATTCTAACTGGTGTGAGATGGTATCTCATTGTGGTTTTGATTTGCATTTCTCTAATGACCAGTGATGATGAGCTTCTTTTCATAGGTTTGTTGGCCACATAAATGTCTTCTTTTGAGAAGTGTCTGTTCATATCCTTCACCTACTTTTTGATGGGGCTGTTTGTTTTTTTCTTGTAAATTTGTTTAAGTTCTTTGTAGATTTTGGATATTAGCCCTTTGTCAGATGGATAGATTGCAAAATGTTTCTCCCATTCTGTAGGTTGCCTGTTCACTCTGATGATAGTTTCTTTTGCTGTGCAGAAGCTCTTTCATTTAATTAGATACCATTTGTCAATTTAGGCTTTTGTTGCCATTGCTTTTGGTGTTCTAGTCATGAAGTCTTTGCCCATGCCTATGTCCTGAATGGTATTGCCTAGGTTTTCTTCTAGGGTTTTTATGGTTTTAGGTCTTACGTTTAAGTCTTTAATCCATCTTGAGTTAATTTTTATTTCAGGTGTAAGGAAGGGGTCCAGTTTCAGTTTTCTGCATATGGCTAGCCAGTTTTCCCAACACCATTTATTAAATAGGGAATCCTTTCCCCATTGCTTGTTTTTGTCAGGTTTGTCAAAGATCAGATGGTTGTAGATGTGTGGTGTTATTTCTGAGGCCCTTCTTCTGTTCCATTTGTCTATATGTCTGTTTTGATACCAGACATATTTGATATCATATACTACAGCCTTGTAGTATAGTTTGAAGTCAGGTAGCATGATGCCTCCAGCTTCATTCTTTTTGCTTAAGATTGTATTGGCTATGTGGGCTCTTTATTGGTTCCATATGAAATATAAAGTAGTTTTTTCTAATTCTGTGAAGAAAGTCAATGGTAGCTTGATAGGGATAACACTGAATCTATAAATTACTTTGGGCAGTATGGCCATTTTCACAATATTGATTCTTCCTATCCATGAGCATGGAATGTTTTTCCATTTGTCTGTGTTCTCTCTGATTTCCTTGAGCAGTGGTTTGTAGTTCTCCTTGAAGAGGTCCTTCACATCTGTGGGCACTAAGTCCTTTTCTCTCCCTCTCTATTCAACTGGAAATTTATCTTTCAAGGCACATTGTAAATGTTTTCTGCTTTCCAAACCTTCCCTTAGGCCTACAGGCAGAGCTGACCTCTGTGTTCCCATCTCACTGTGTGTACCCCTGGACTATTGCATTTATCTATCTGTATTTTAATCACTTGACATTGACTTCTTCCTGAGATGGTGGTCTCTTTAGGGCAAGGACTGGGCCTTTTCCACCTTTGAACCCCTCAGCACTCAACAGTGTGCCCAGGATGTGATAGTTAATAATTGTGAGTTGAATTATTAATTCAGTCACCTCTATCCACCCATTCTTCTCCCCACAGGATCGTCTCAGGAGTCGACTGGAAGCTCTGAGCACGGAGAGAGATGAGATTGAGGATGTAAAGTGTCAAGAAGACCAGAAGCTTCAAGTGCTGCTGGTACAGGCCACGTCACTGGCTACCTTTTCCTTTGAAGGTTTTCTTAAGAGACTCTGGGGAAACCCGTTGGCTGGTATCTGTTTCCTGGCTGAAAAGAACTGACAAACTGTTCTCGTTCACCTTCCTGTGGCTGCACAAAGGCATTTGGGATCTCAGACCATGAGCACTAGAAGTGGTTCTGATGTCTTGCAATCCAAGATCCATCTTGTATATCACATTTTACAGAGCAGAAAACTTAGGACCAGAAAAGCAATGCTCCCAAGGCCACATAGCAAAGCTGAAGTTCATGAGGAACCTGGATTTCTTGACCCTTAATTCATTGTTCTTTCCATCCTAGTCTGTTTGCCTGAACACACCACCTTCAGATGGGAAGCTTGGGGTCAAAAACATATGTTAGTGTCGGGATTCTAGTCCTGACTACAGGCTGACCTTGAGGAGAGTAGGCTGATGGTGTGGCTACATCTGGATCCCTCACGCCTCTCTTTTCATGCTATAAAGTTATGGAGGAATCACAGTGTGAGGATTTCTGGTACCTTGACCAAGGAGAGAGTGTGGGGACAAAGCAACCTATCCACCATCCCTCAGCTCTCATCAACGTATGCCCTGTAGTTGGTGATTTCCACGGCTAAAACCAAAATTACACACTCTCCCACTAAGTTGTGTTGACTCCAATCACAACTTCCTTTTGCCTCTAAGAAATTATTACAGTCTTCCCCACCTAACTCTAAGAAGGCATAGTAGGGTTATGATGGTATTGTAGTTGTGGAAATATTTTTGAAAAGTTCAACATCATTCTGAGAGCATAATGTAGCATTATTATTAGAGTATCTAGCTAAGACAGTAGCACAGCCCTCATCATTGGTAAGTTCATCCTGAGACCTAACTACTTCTAGGCATATTAGTAAATGGAATGAGTCTTGGACCAGTTGCTCCCTATCCCTGTTAATCAATAATAAGTATATAGATGATCATCCTGGAAGCTATCTCTGAGCCCCTTCCTAACCATGTCTGCCTTTTATCCCTTGAAGACTCAGATCGAAAGCAAGAAGCATCAGGTGGAAACAGCTTTTGAGAGGCTGCAGCAGGAGCTGGAGCAGCAGCGATGTCTCCTGCTGGCCAGGCTGAGGGAGCTGGAGCAGCAGATTTGGAAGGAGAGGGATGAATATATCACAAAGGTCTCTGAGGAAGTCACCCGGCTTGGAGCCCAGGTCAAGGAGCTGGAGGAGAAGTGTCAGCAGCCAGCAAGTGAGCTTCTACAAGTGAGAGACACTTCACCACTTTGTAGGATAAGAGAGGGACTCCACGGGGAAGGGGGTGGGCACCATGCTTTGGGCTGGAGAGAGGCAGGAAAGGGAAGTGGAGAGAGGTTAACGGGGTGCAGATCCAGAGGGGCTGGAGACTTGCCCAAGTCATACACTGTGGTCATGTTAAGGGGTTTAGGGTCAGACAGTCTTGGATTTGAATGTTGGCTCTTCCAATTGTGTGACTTGAGTGAGTCTCTTAGCCTCTCTAAACATGGGGACAGCAATAGCACCTCCCTCATAAAGTTATTGCAAAATTATAAGAAACAATCCATAAAAAATGCTTGGCATGATTCCTGATATACAGAAAGAACTCAATAACTGGTGTCTGCTATGGTTATGAATATGTGATCCTGGCTCACATCAGGTCCAGCTGATAACTGAAGGCAGGCCCCTGCTCTCTACCACCTCCTAATCATTGCAGACACAACCCACCCCCACGATAAGGCTGAAACAGGGAAACCAGCACAAATGAACTGACTACAGAAACCCAAATTAGTAAGAAAACATGATGTAAAAGAACAATCTAATGAGTAGGTAATTAAACAGGACAACTCTCTGCAGAAGGAGAGTTTTGAGTTCATATTTTAAGGGAAAAGTGATGTACAGAATCCCTGACAGGAAGGACTTATGGAAACTAAATGTATGTTCTTGTCTTTCTTTTGCAGGATGTCAGAGTCAACCAGAGCAGGTAGGGCCCACTCCCCGGTCCTGCCTCCTTTTACTCAACATCAAGACTGAATGGGAAGGGGCAGGGGCACTTACTGCCACCCACTTTGCCAGGAAAGCAAAGGCACTCTGGCAGACACACTGTCTCATTCAACTGTGCACAAACAGTCCAAACTCACTAAAGATTTGCGTTCTAAAGGTTCATTTTTAAATTGATTGGTTGGTATTGGGGACACATTTTTTCCCCTAGAAGTGAAGTTATAAATAATAATCATGTTTTTAGGTTGATCCAGGAACATTTATTTAATCTATGAAATTATTAGTACTTGAGTCAGTATCTAACACCATTTAAAATGTAATTTAAAGGGGGAATACTTTCTGTAGACTATGATAAGCATGGAAACCAGGAATACCAGCCTGTTCTTTCATTCATTCATTTTTTACACACATCTCTGGTTTCCTTCAGAATTTTCTAATGCTACTGTAAAAGGACAGCCACCAGGAGCCAGTGGCATTGTAAATGCATGGCCCTTTCCTTCCCTGTCTGCTATAAGCATTAGCAGTCTGCACTGAGATGAAGAGAGGTGTAGTGACTAGGGAACAATTGTCACGTGCTTTGTGCCTATTCCCGTGCAGGGAGGATAAACCCAGGGTCCATGAATCAGGAAGTGTCTCCAAACATGCTTTTCAAAGAGCATTAGAGGTTTAGATCTAGAAGGGCTTGGAGGTCTTCCAGTCTGAGGAAGAAACTGAGACCCAGGGGGTGAAGAGTCTTCAAGGTAATGCAGCAAGTGTCTAATGAGGACTGAGCTGGGACCAGAATCAGGAGTTTTTTTCATTGCAATATATATTTTCGTTGATCCTTTTTTTTTCTTCCCTTCTAGCCTCTTTTCCTTTACAAATAGCAGCATACACAAGGGTAGTTTAAGGCTGTTTTCAAATGGTACCCTGTTGCCCTCTAGAGACCAAAAGGGGTAATGATCTCTGTCCCTCAGCCCCTACAGAACCAAACATTCTCCTAAAGGGGCTTACCTCCAATTCTTGAGAAGTGATTATCCTTAGTTCCTCTTAGGTTTAACTGAAATGCCTACTATTTTAGTAACTACACATTTCCAGCAAAAGTAAAGAAATGATACTCAATTTCATTATTCACCACAGACGCCAAGATCATTCTTTAGTCTGATTTTAGCCTCACGTGGTCTCACCCGAACATTTGTTTTTGGAATTTGGACCTAACTGGTTACCAAACCTGTCTGCAGGTGTGAGATGAAGACTTTTGTGAGTCCTGAGGCCATTTCTCCTGACCTTGTCAAGAAGATCCGTGATTTCCACAGGAAAATACTCACCCTCCCAGAGATGATGAGGATGTTCTCAGGTAAAGGGGAAGGCGCCACAGTTTTCCCCAGTCCCATTAGCTGCCCTCCTGTCTTCCACCCATCTCCATCCTTCTCTGCCCTTGAAACCTGGCTCGAGACATCTTCCCTCCCCAGAGCCTTCCCTTAGTGATCTCAATTTATTCAGGGGCACTATTCCCAGAGCATCTCCTCCACTCCCTAAGGACAGGTGCAGGACTGAGAGTCCAGGAGGGTGAGGACCCTTCTCCTCCACTAGACCACAGCAGAAGCCGAGTCTTCTGTCCTCATCTTCACATTGTACTCAAGTCACCTTGCCCCTGGGGGTGCCTATAAGAAGTAATAAGTCACAGATCTCTCTTTCTATTTCTGCTTCCCTCAGAAAACTTGGCGCATCATCTGGAAATAGATTCAGGTAAACAGCTTGGGATTTGGGGAGTCATTCTTCCATTCATCCATTCAATCCATGGCAGCAAACAGAGCAATAAAATGCATGAATTCTGGAGCTTGATTGCTTGAGTTCTCGATTCCAGTTCTTGCTAGCTCTGAGACACTGGGCAAGTTATTAAGCCTCTGTCCCACAATATTTTCTTCATCAGTAAAATGAAAATAAAAGTACTGTACCTGTCCCATAAGTAGCTGTGAGGACAAAATAAATTAATACATGCAAAGAGCTTAGTATATTACCTGACTCATAGTAAGTGCTCAATTAATGTCATCTACTTGTGTAGATATTACTCGTTGAAAAATACTTATCAAGCCCTAGTTTTTTGAGAGCATTGTGCTGGGCTCTCTACTGATTTGAACAAAAAATGTGCAATTTTTTAAAAATCACATTTATTTTTAAATTGGTGCTTAATTTAGAAGTTGTTTCCATAAGCATCACCTCACTCACTCTGGTATAGGTAAGTGCTTTTCAAACTTAATATGCAGAAACGTCTCCTAGGGATCCTGTTAAAATGCAGATTCTGATTTAGTAGGGTGGGATGGGGCCCAATATTCTGCATTTCTAACAAACACCCAGGTGGTGGGGATGCTGCTGGTCCCTCCCGCTGCACTTTGAGAAGCAAATCCTTAACAGCACCACTTGCTGATTAGGTAGAAGGGCGGTTCAGAGAAGTGGCCCAATGGCAGGCTGCCCAAGTCCAGTACTCCTTCTGCCTCCCACGTGCGTTGCCTGCTCTAGGAACATCTGTGGTTGCCGCCCGCTGTTGATGTCTGCGCGCTCCTCCCTCTAGGGGTCATCACTCTGGACCCTCAGACCGCCAGCCGGAGCCTGGTTCTCTCGGAAGACAGGAAGTCAGTGAGGTACACCCGGCAGAAGAAGAGCCTGCCAGACAGCCCCCTGCGCTTCGACGGCCTCCCGGCGGTTCTGGGCTTCCCGGGCTTCTCCTCCGGGCGCCACCGCTGGCAGGTTGACCTGCAGCTGGGCGACGGCGGCGGCTGCACGGTGGGGGTGGCCGGGGAGGGGGTGAGGAGGAAGGGAGAGATGGGACTCAGCGCCGAGGACGGCGTCTGGGCCGTGATCATCTCGCACCAGCAGTGCTGGGCCAGCACCTCCCCGGGCACCGACCTGCCGCTGAGCGAGATCCCGCGCGGCGTGAGAGTCGCCCTGGACTACGAGGCGGGGCAGGTGACCCTCCACAACGCCCAGACCCAGGAGCCCATCTTCACCTTCACTGCCTCTTTCTCCGGCAAAGTCTTCCCTTTCTTTGCCGTCTGGAAAAAAGGTTCCTGCCTTACGCTGAAAGGCTGAAGTGGGGCGCGCGAAGGGCGGCGAAGCGGAGACGGCGGCTCTCCGGGATCCAGCTCCGCCCCTGGCCAGTGTGCGGCCCGGGGGCTCCCTGTGCCCGCGTGAGGCGAGAGAACAGGGGACTTGAGTCTCGAACAGCGGTTGTTTTTACTTTATTTATCTTAGGCCCTCAGCTCCCTGACGTCCTGAGCCTCCCTGTGACGCTCTGGCCTTCTCTGTACCTCAGAGTGCAGAACCACAGACGGCTTCGGCTGTGCCTAGGGCAACAGCCAACCTAGGAGCCAGCGGGCTTTCGGGGAAAAAAAAGAAAAAGACATCTAAAATAAAATGTTTAAACTGTTTCAAAATAATTATCTTGGGAAAAATCAGGGTTTTGCTGGACTTGCACTAATTTGTACAGTTAACTTCGTACTTTGACACACACCTGAAGATGCCTCCACCTTTGTAGGGCTTAGGGCCTTTTTATCAGCCCTGGGTGGACCCCAGGGCCCCTTCCTTTCCCTTCCCTTCTGGTCATTTCTCTGGACTTGTAGAGAATGTCCTAAGAAAGTGTGACTCACAGACCTCTGGATTCCATGTGTCCAATTAGCGCTGATGGGACTGGAGAAAGGCTTAAATCCAATGGGATCTGCCTGTGTTGGCAATTTAGGGCCGAGATGGCTCGAGGGAGTAGATGCAGAGAGGAAGGGTGATGATCCCTCTGTGACCAAGACACAATCCTGTCCCTTCTTTTAGTCAGGATATCCCTGATGACAGACAGTGGGACAATCACCAGGCCCCATTGTTTAAGAAAACGAGGCTTTTGCTCAGGTCTAACTAACCTCTCAAATATTTGTTATTACTGCAGTTATTATTTGGACACAGAAACAGACCACAGGTTAAAATAACTTTAAAAAGCAAAGTATTAATCCCTATACAAGTGATGTTTCCTTCCACCCCTACCCTTTCTCCTCTCAAGTTGAACACTCACATTCTCACCCTTCCACCCCAACCTCTGAAAAAAATCTGCCTTCAACTCCAATCCAGGTTCCCTGTAGTGTAAGACAATACCCTGTGTACAAGAACACTTTAGGGTCGGCACGGTGGCTTGCGCCAGTAATCCCAACACTTTGGGAGGCTGAGGCAGGTAGATCACTTAAGGTCAGGAGTTTAAGACCAGCCTGGACAGCATGGTGAAACCCTGTCTCTATTAAAAATATAAAAATTAGCTGGGCGAGATGGCAGGCGCCTGTAATCCCAGCTGCTCAGGAGGCTGAGGCAGGAGAATCACTTAAACCAGGGAGGCGGAGGTTGCAGTGAGCTAAGATCAAGCCACTGCATTCCAGCCCGAGTGACGGAGTGAGACTCCATCTCAAAAAAACAAAAAACAAAAAACAGGCTAGGCGCGGTGGCTCACGGTGGTAGGCCGAGGCAGGTGGGTCACCTGAGGTCAGGAGTTTGAGCCTGGCCAACATGGTGAAACCCCATCTCCACTAAATATACAAAAATTAGCTGGGTGTGGTGGCAGACCAGCTACTTGGGAGGCTGAAGCAGGGGAATCACTTGAACCCAGGAGGCAGAGGTTGCAGTGAGCTGAGATTGTACCACTGCACTCCAGCCTGGGTGACAGAGTGAGACTCTGTCTCCAAGAAACAAACAAACAAATAAAACAAAGAACATCTTCATTATTGCGTAAGCCCTGCTCCTAAAGCATGGGTCAGATGTTTTAAAAGCACTCAAAGAGTTTGGACCATATGTGAATTTTATTTAAAAATTGTAACATGAATCAATGTGATGTGAATAATTAACCCTAACTTGACTGTTGGGGAAATAGAGGTTCTTGATATAAAAGAAGCCAGACAATGTGGGGTTTCTTCTGCCCCCCAGTGTGGTGAGCAGAGCCATCCTTATCTGACCCAAGTGGCTTGGTAGTCCAACCTAGTAGTAGTAGTAGTGGTAGTAGTAGTAGTATTGCCCAATGCTTATTATAAAAGTTGTATATGCTCATGGTTAAGAAAATTCAAACATTTTCAAAGTGTATAAATAAAAACCTCTTTCCCCACCCACTCAACACTTCCCCTTGCCACTCCCCATAGTTAAACATTGATATCAATTTTTTGTATATCCTGCAAGTTTTGAATACAAATATATATTGCTTTCTCTTTTTTTTACATAAATTAGATTATGCCATAAGTATTCTTTGCAACCCCTCCAAAAGAAAAACTATGTGCAACACATGCTAATTGTACCATTGGTCAAATTTGTTTTAATTATATCTTCATTTGAACCTTACAACAAGCCTGTGAAATACATAAGACCTATTTTGTTTTTCTCATGTGGTGGTTGAGAAAACTGGCACACAGTTAAATGAACTTGTCTAACAATTTTCACAGCTGGTCCTTGTGACCTGCTGAAGTAGAATCTACCTGTCCTGGAGCTCAGTGCAGTCACATTTCCACCACACTCAGACTTCTAAAACAGACACATCCCAATGGGGCTATGTTTCATTTGCTACCCATTGAATTCATGTTTTAGACAGGGCATTTTTGGTTTCATATGAAACAGAAAAAAGAAAAAAAGAACCGATGAACCATAAGCACACTGTATTTCCAAGTCTCTGGTACTTCTAATTTTAGAGTGGTCCAGATAATTTAAAAGTGTGGATATGCACATTTGGAGGCTTTGTGCCTATATTAATAAATTGTTCTGCATAAGAAAGGAAAGAGAAATTTAGAAGCCAAAAGAAATTTGGGAGTGGCTAAGACCTCAGGGTGAGGACTGAGAGCTGCCTGAAGGAAAAGCAGAGGAAAATTATTCATTTGGTGGTCCAGCTGGAGCCACAGGATGGCTGTGTTCCTGTGTTTGTGATGTAAAACTGTCCTCTATCTCCCCTACAAGATCCTCTGCACAACCTGCCTTGCCCCTAATGCTTTTTGTAGGTGTTCCTGAATTCCAAGTGCTGAGTTCTGTCCACTACTGGGCAGGAGGCAAAGAGATCCCACAAAATAATTGCTGGGCTGCTGGACTATGTGAGGAGCAGTCACACTGATGTGCCTCGGAGAACCAGAGGGGTTATTGTAAGGACCAAGGTGGGACCTATAAGGGAATCTCTCTGGAGCCCAGGAACCGTGATGACAGTGAGCTGGTTGTAATGGGAACTAGAGCCTAGGCAGATGCATTGTCTCTCTGGTCGGCTTACTTTGCTCTGGATGTGGGGCCCATTCTCCTGTCTATAAGGAAGCTTCCTAGCTCTACTCATGGCCTTTATTTTCTTTTTCATTTTCAGTTCTTTCCTTCTTTCAGACTTCCAGTGTAGAGTGTTGACTCAGTCATACCTCTCAGTTCTTGGAACACTATCATCATCAGTCCATGCAAGGTCTTCTGGTTTCATTTGTATTTTCTCCTCTCTCCCCAATTTTTATTCCCATTCTCCTCACTCCCAAAGGCAGCTACTCCCTAATGTTTTTCTTTTTTAAAAAATTTTTCAACTTTTAAGTTCAGGGGTACATGTGCAAGATGTGCAGGTTTGTTACATAGGTAAATGTGTGCCATAGTAGTCAGCTACACAGATCATCCTATCACCCAGGAATTAAGCCCAGCACCCATTAGCTATTCTTCCTGATCCTCTCCCTCCTCCCACCCCCGCCCTCCAACAGGGCCCAGTGTGTGTTGTTCCCCCCGCCTCCTGCCATGTGTCCATATGTTCTCATTATTTAGATCCTACTTATAAGTGAAAACATGCTGTATTTGGTTTTCTGTTCCTACTTTAGTTTGCTAAGGATAACAACCTCCAGTTCCATTCATGTCCCTGCAAAGGACATGATCTCATTCCTTTTTATGGCTGTAAAATATTCCATGGTATATGTGTACCACATTTTCTTTATCCAGTCTATCATTGATGGGCATTTAGTTTGATTTCATATCTTTGCTATTGTGAATACTACTGCAATGAACATACACATGCATGTATCTTTATAGAGAACGATTTCTATTCCTTTGGGTATATACCCAGTAAATGAGATTGCTGGGTTGAATGGTATTTCTGCCTCTAGGTTTTTGAGGAATTGCCACACAGTCTTCCACAATGGTTGAACTAATTTACACTCACACCAACAGTGTTAAAAGCATTCGTTTTTCTTCACAACCTTGCCAGCATCTGTTGCTTTTTGACTTTTTAGTAATAGCCATTTTGACTGGTGCGAGATAGTATCTCATTGTAGTTTTGATTTGATTTTCACCTATAACCATCTGATATTTGACAAACCTGACAAAAATGTCTCTAGTAGCAAGTATTACTAATCTATTAATTACTAAACTCCCTTTAATCCAAGAGTATTTGTTCTTTGTGCTCAGGATTTCTTTGGCTATTTGGGCTTTTTTTGGGAGGGGGGGGTTGGTCCATATGAATTTTAGGATTTTTTTTTCAAATTCTGTGAAGAATGATGTTGATATTTTGTTAGGGATTGCATTTAATCTGCAGATTACTTTGAACAATATGGTCATTTTAATGATGTTGATATTCCTTCTAATCCATGAGCATAAGGTGTTTTTCCATTTGTGTTGTTTTGAATTTCTCTCAACAGTATTTTGTAGTTTTCCTTGTAAAGATCTTTTGCCTCCTTGGTTAAATTCAATCCTAAATTGTTTTTGGTAGCAAAAATTTCTAAATGAGATTGCCTTCTTGATTTCTTTGTTGGCTAAATCATTACTGATGTAAAGAAATGCTACTGACTTTTGCATATTAATTTTGTAGCCTGAAACTGTACTGAACTCATTTATCATATCTAAGAGTTTTTTGGTGAAATCACACATTGTGTTTCTTTCTTTTGCCTGATCCTTATAGCTAGGATTTTAGTACTATGTTGAATAAGAGTATTGAGAGTAGACATCCTTGCCTTGTTCCAGTGCTTAGAGGAAAAGCTTTCCACTTTTCCTCATTCAGCATGTTAGCTATGGGTTTGTTACATACAGCTCATTTGAGTTTGAGGTTTGTTCCGTCTATGCCTAGTGTGTTGTATGTTTTTATCTTAAAAGAATGTTAAATTTTATCAAATGCTTTTTCTGCATCTATTAAGATGATCATATGGTTTTTGTTCTACATTCTATTGATAATATGTATCATGCTTATTTATTCATATTGAAACATCTTTGCATCTCTACTATAAATCCCACTTGATTTTGATGTAGTATTTTTCGATGTGCTGTTGGGTTTGGTTTGCTAGTATTTTGTTGAGGATTTTTGTATCTATCTATGATTTTGTATCTATGTTCATTAGGGATATTGACCTATAATTTTCTTTTTGTTGGTGTTGTGGTGTATCTGTCTGGTTTTAGTATTAGGGTGATGCTGACCTCATATAATTAGTTAGGGAAAATTCCTTCCTCTTTGACTTGTTTGAACAGTTTCAGGAGGATCGGTATTAGTTCTTTGTATGTTTAGTAGAATTCAGCTGTTAATCCCTCCAGTCCTAGGCTTTTCTTCTTTGAGAGACTTTTAATTACTGATTCAATCTTGCTATTAATTATTGGTCTGCTCAGGTTTTCTATTTTTTTCTGATTCAGTCTTGGTAGGTTGTGTGTTTCCAGGAATTTATCCACTTCCTCTAGATTTTCCAATTTTATCTAGTTGTTTATAACCGTCTCTGATGATCTTTAATATTTCTGTGATGTCAGTTGTAATGTCTCCTTTTTCAATTCTGATTTTGTTCATATGGGTCTTCTGTCTTCTTGGTTAGTCTAGCTAGTAGCTTATCAATTCTGTATATCTTTTCAAAGAACCAATTTTTCATCTCATTGATCCTTTGTATTTCTTTAAGTCTCTACTTTCTGCTCTGATCTTTATTATTTCTTTTCTTCTGCTAATTTGGGGTTTGGTTTGTTCTTGCTTTTCTAGCTCCTTCAGGTACATTGTTGGATGGTTAATTTGTAATCTTTCTACTTTTTTAATGTAAGCATTTATTGCTGTAAACTTTCCTCTTAGCACTGCCTTTGCTGAATCCCACAGGTTTTATGTTTCCATTTTCATTTGTTTTTAGATTTTTTTTTTAATTTTCATCTTAATTTCTTTTTTTTTTTTTTTTTCCAGATGGAGTTTTGCTCTTGTCTCCCAGGCTGGAGTTCAATGGTGTAAACTCGGCTAACTGCAACCTCCACCTCCCGGGTTCAAGCGGTTCTCCTGCCTCAGCCTCCCAAGTAGCTGAGATTACAGGCGCCTGCCACCACGCCCAGCTAATTTTTTTGTATTTTTCACAGAGACAGGGTTTCACCATGCTGGCCAGGCTGGTCTCGAACTTCTGACCTCAGGTGATCCATCCGCCTCAGCCACCCAAAGTGCTGGGATTACAGGTGTGAGCCACCATGCCTGGCCTTCTATCTTAATTTGTTCATTGACCCAGTGGTCATTCAGGACCATGTGGTTTAATATCTATGTATTTGTATAGTTTCCAAAGTTCCTCTTGGTATTGATTTCTCATTTTATTCTATTGCAGTCTGAGAAAATATTTGATATGATTTTAATTTTTAAAAATTTATTGAGACTTGTTTTGTCACCTAATATATGGTCTATGTTGGAGAAGGTTCCATGTTCTGATGAAAAGAATATATATTCTGCAGTTGTTGAATAGAATGTTCCGTAAATGTTAGGTTCATTTGGTCTAAAGTCCAGTTTAAATCCAATGTTTCTCTGTTGATTTTCTGTCTAGATAATCTGTCTAATGCTGAGCATGAGGTGCTAAAGTCCCCCACTATTATTGTATTCCAATCTGTCTCTCTCTTTAGAGCTAGTAATATTTGCTTTATGAATGTGGGTGCTCTGGTGTTTGGTGTATATATATTTAGAACTGTTGAATCTTCTTGCTGGATTGATCCCTTTATCATTATATAATGACATTTTTGGCTTTTTTTTTTCACAATTCTTGACTTAAAGTCTGTTGTATCTGATATAAGTATAGCTACTCCTTCTCACTTTTTGTCTCCATTTGTATGGAATATCTTTTTCCATCCCTTTACTTTGTCTATATTTGTCTTTACTGGTAAGAAACTTTACTGAGTTTCTTGAAACAGCTTACAGGTGTATTATCTTTTTAAATAAATCCAGCCATTCTACATCTTTCAAGTAAAGAATTTATTCCATTTACATTCAAGATTATTATTGATATATGAGACTTTGTTCCTGTCATATTGTTGTTTTCTGATTGTTTTATATATTCTTTGTTCCTTTCTTCTTGTTTGTCATTGTGGTTTGGTGGATTTCTGTAGAGGCACCATTTGAGTCCTTTCTCTTCTTCCTTTGTGTGATTGCTTTACTAGCGAGTTTTATACTTTTGTGTGTTTTTATGATGGTAAATATCATCCTATCACTTCCAGGTTTAGGACTCCCTTGAGCATTTCTCGTAGGACTGATCTAGTGGTAACAAATTCCCTCAGTATTTGCCTGTCTGGGAAAGACTTTATTTCTTTTTCCTTTATACTTTAATTTGGCTGGATCTAATATTCTTGGCTGACAGTTATTTTCTTTCATCATTTTGTATATACCATCCCATTATCTTTTGGCCTGTAGGGTTTCTGCAGAGAAATCCACTGTTTGTTAGTCTGATGAGTTTTCCTTTTAGGTGACTAGGCACTATTCTGTTGCTATTTTTAGAATTTGCTCTTTATTTTGACTTTAGACAGTCTAATTATAATGTGCTATGGAGAAGACCCTTTGCATTGCATCTGCCTGGGAAACATTGAGCCTCCTATACCTGCATGTCCAAATCCCTTGCTAGGCTTGGAAAGTTTTCATCTATTATTTCATTATATAGATTTTCTAATCCTTTCATTTCTTCATCATCCTCGGGGATACTAACAATTCATATATTCAGTTGCTTTATGCTGTCCCAAATATCATGAAGGCTTTGCTAATTTTTTTATCTAGGCAAAGTAAATTGAATTTTTTAAAATTATTTTTTCTTTATTTTTGTCTGACTAGGTTATTTCAAAAGAGCTGCCTTCAAGCTCTGAGACTCTTTCTTCTCCCCAATCTAGTTCTATTGTTGAAGCTTTCAAAGGTATTTTGTATTTCCTTTAATAAATTCTTCATATCCAGATTTTCTATTTTTCTTTTAAAAAACAATCTATTGCTTTATTAAATTTCTCATTCATATCCTACATTATTATCTTTTTTCTTTCTATTGTTTTTCAGAATTCTCTTATATATCACTGAGTTTCTTTTTTTTTTTTTTTTTTTTTTTTTTTTTTTTTTTTTTTTTGAGATGGAGTCTCACTCTGTCACCCAGGCTGCAGTGCAGTGGCACGATCTCAGCTCACTGCAAGCTCCGCCTCCCGGGTTCACGCCATTCTCCTGCCTCAGCCTCCCGAGTAGCTGGGACTACAGGCACCCACCACCACACCCAGCTAATTTTTTCTATTTTTAGTAGAGACGGGGTTTCACCGTGTTAGCCAGGATGGTCTCAATCTCCTGACGTCGTGATCCACCCACCTCGGCCTTCCAAAGTGCTGGGATTACAGGCATGAGCCACCGTGCCCAGCCTACTGAGTTTCTTTAAAATCAGTACTTTGAATTCTTTATCTAGAATTTCATGAATTTCTTTCTGATTGATAACTGTAGCTGGAGAGGTATTGTGTTCCTTTGTTGGTGTCATATTTCTTTGTTCTTTAGTTTTCTGTGTCCTTACATTGATATCTGCACATTTAGTTGCAACAGTCACTTCTTCCATTTTTGAAATTGCTTTCATAGGGGAGGATTTTTTTCCTGAAGATTTTACGTGTTGTTTGTTGAGTAGGGTGCTTTGGCTTTGATTTTGAGTGCCTATAGTAGTGTGATCCCTGTATGATTTATTTGGCAGTATACAACATCAGTGGTATCTGTGACTTCCTCATTGACTTAAGGTGCACTTATTAGTGAAGGCTGTGGTGAAGTTTGGCTGGGAACTAAGATGCTAGGTGGGCCAGTCTTCAGGCCCTAGTGATGGCAGCGGTGGGTTGAATGAGCCTGTGCTAGGGCCCACAGAGTGGCTTAAACTGACAACAGCGTTAGTGGGTCTTGGAGGGCCAATTATTGGGCCTTCAGGTGACTTGCTCAGATGCTAGCAGTGGCAGCAGTGGGCCAGACATGTGGGCAACTTCTCAGGCTCCTGGGCAGCTGGTGTGAAATGGGTAATGGCAGTAGCAGTGGTGGAACAACCTGCTAGGACCCAAGCAGTCTGTGCTGGTGTTGGTGGTGGCTGTGACAAGTTGGGCAGGCTAGTACCCTGACCCACTGGTAGCATGTGTGGGTGGGTGTCAGTTGTGGTGGTATTGGTAGATTGAGTTGGACTGACCTCAGATCCTGACAGGAATGATTCAGATGCCAGTGGTGGTAGATTGGGCTGGGCAATTTCCGGGCCCCTGGATGATGTGCTTGTGTACTGGGGGGATGGGATCAGGCCAGCAGACCTGTCCTCAGGGCCCCCTGCAATGCATTCAGGTGCTAGCTGTGATAGACAAGAGATGGAGAGGTCCCCAGACCACTGGCAGAATGCTCAGGTGTGGGCTGGCTGTGGTGGCTGCACTGTAGTCCTGCAACCAGGGAAGGCAGGGCCACTCTCAGCTGGCGCATCATGAGCAAGTAGCTGTGGGAAGTGTCATCTGCTCACACCTTTGTCCACACCAGCCCATAGCAGCAGTGGTGGGATTTGTCCTAGGAACGTGCGGAAGTGCCCCGTCTCTACTCTCCCTCCTCAACTTAGCCTTGGCTTGGCGGCAGCAGCCCCAGCCAGGCCCAGGGGCAGAATGCAGACCCGGGTGGTTGAGCTCTCAGAATAATGACTACAGGTTTGCCACCGGGAGGGCAGGACCCCTCTCAGGTGGAAGAGCAAGGACAAGTAGCCACAGGGAGTGCAGTCTTCTCAAGCCCTGGTCTCACAGCAGCCTGTAGCAGTGGCGATGGGATTTGTCCAGGGGGGTGCATGGGAGTGCTCAGTCTCCCATCTCTTTTTTGCCAGGTGGCAGCAGTAGCAGCAGCAACAGCAGCGCCACATCAGTCCGGCCTCAGGTCAAGACTTATGTGATAGGCATTATTCTGGGTACTTGGGATGCATCAGTTTTTAAAAAGTTTCTTTTTAAAGCTCATGCCTGTAATCCCAGCACTTTGAGAGGCCAAAATAGGTGGATCACCTGAGGTCAGGAGTTCATGAACAGCCTGGTCAATATGGCAAAACCCCGTCTCTTCTAAAAACACAAAAAAATTAGCCAGACATGGTGGTGTGCGCCTGTAGTCCCAGGTACTTGGGAGGCTGAGGCAAGAGAATCGCTTGAACCTGGGCAGCGGAGGTTGCCAGTAAGCCAAGATCATGCCACCGCACTCCAGCCTGGGCAACAGAGCGAGACTCCGTCTCTATTAAAAAAAAAAGAGAAAATCTATGGCTCTTTCTGTTCTCCCATAACCATACTCTAAATGCACTCTTTCTGTACCCAGTTTGTCCCTGCTTTAGGACTTTGCTGTTCCCTCTAGCTGATGTGATCTTAGACCTTCCCTCTCACCATTCTGATTTCAGCTCTCATGCCATCTTTTCAGGGAACTCCCTTCTGATCACACATTATAAAATAGATACTAGGTCACTATCTATCACAGACTTATTTCACTTCCTTGCATAGTGCTAATTACTTTTTTTTTTTCAATTTTAACATACTGCCTGTCACCATTTGCTGGAATATAACCTCCAAGAGTGCAGAACTTTGTTAACCTTATCACTGTTGTAACCTAGAAACATCCTGGCACATCACGGGTACTTAATAAATGAATTCAGGAGACATATGAAGCCTGGAGATAACAGATTTGAGAGAATACAGAAAATAGGAGGAAAAGTCAACAAGAAATAATTCAGGCAGGGCACAGTGGCTCACGCCTGTAATTCCAGTACTTTGGGAGGCTGAGGTGGGAGGATCACTTGAGCCCCAGAGCTCAAGGCCACAGTAAGCTACGAGTGCACCATCACTAGAGCCTAGGTGACAGAGTAAGACCATGTCTCTAAAATAATAAAAATTCAGCCAGTTGTGGTGGCTCACACCTGTAATCCCAGCAAGGCAAACACAAAATAGTTTGCTGAAAGGTATGAACTGGGTCTTTGGAGGGAGGTATGGGGCAGGGAAATGTTCCTATTTGTAAGAAGCACTGTAGAAAGTTTACCATATGTGCAAGTAGAGTTATACAAAATGAAAAACTATGAATATAAAAAATAAAAAGGGAAAATTTACATGAGCCCACAACTTAGAGAACAGAGAGGAAATATGCTCTTTGCCACTAGCGTAATTTTACAGGTAGTTTCGTATAATCCTCCCTTTTCCATCTTTAAGATGGCAATTTAAAAAATCAGAAAGGACTGCTGGGCGCGATGGCTCACGCCTGTAATCCCAGCACTTTGGGAGGCCGAGGTGGGTGGATCATGAGGTCAGGAGATCAAGACCAACCTGGCTAACATGGTGAAACCCCGTCTCTACTAAAAATACAAAAAAATTAGCCGGGCGTGATGGCGGGCGCCTGTAGTTCCAGCTACTCGGGAGGCTGAGGCAGGAGAATGGCGTGAACCCGGGAGGCAGAGCTTGCAGTGAGCCGAGATGGCGCCACTGCACTCCAAACTGGGAGACAGAGTGAGACTCCATCTCAAAAAAAAAAAAAAAAAAAAAAAAAAAAAAAAAAAAAAAAAAAAAAATCAGAAAGGACAAGAAAAACAGTTGACTGTGTTAGGATGCAAGGCTGAATCTCTGCACATTCTATTTCCTCTGAGGCAGTGCTTATTTTCCAAGGAAGAATTTTTGGGTGTGCTATACTGGAGGTCTCCCTTCTCAGGGAGAGTCATCACTTGCTCCAAAACGCTGGACCTCAGCTCAAGGGCACCACTGCAGGAGGAATAAAAAGGTGGAGCCACGCAACAACTCGTCTGTGTTCCGCAGTAGGCTCTTTTTGAGGGACTTCCAGAAATGACAGCATGTGTGCAGAGAACAGAAAGCAAAGTTACACTGTTACAGAAGGCACAGAAGGAAAACCTTCGGCTACTGCTATCAGTGGAATTTCTCTGTAGCCAGACTGAGGTCTGGTGGCATTTGAGATATAATATAGATATAGACCTACAAATACAGATCTCCAGGCTGTTCATTCAACAAGTCTTTATTGAGCACCTACTCTGTGCCCAGCACTGCACTAGGTGCCATGAGAATACAAGAGTAGTATAAGATGTTATCCGCCCTCCAGGAGCTTACAAAACTAGAGGCAGAAATAAGATGTACATGTGACTCAGGCAGCATGTGACACACACAAAGTGGGCAGCTCTGAGACAATGGTGGTCAAGTGACCACTGAGGCCCAGAGCCGTTGGAACAGTCTCTTAGAACAGGGTGGAGGACTTAAAACTTGGATGAACAGGGGCTGGCAGAGCACTTGGAATGGGTAAGGACAAGACTGGGAGATCAATTTGGCTGGAGCAGGGGAGCTTGTGTTAAACTGTGATGATGAGGGGCACCTGGACAGAGGTTGGGTCCGTGGGCAATGAGAAGACATGTTACTCCCTCTCTTGACATGAAGACCTGGTGGGCTTGTGGCCTCCTGCTGCCTTCCTTTCCCTGTCTTCCCATCTCCACTCTCTCCTAGGAAAGTGGAACCTGGATGCTGGTAGGGCCAGAGACAGAGGCTTAACACCCTGCTGGGGAACCCGGTCAGAACTCCCGAGGCAGGAGAGGTTCTGCTCCACTGGATGTTTGTCTTGGTGTTTTTGGATGTGCTGATCAAGAGCAAGATGTTCTGGATTCTTAAAACTCCCCTCACAAGGACCAATCTAGAGATAATTTATTGATCAGTGATCACAGCTTGTACCCCAAAGCCGTGTATGTCTGGATCCTTCCCTAAGACCACAGATAGCTCCAGGGAGTCCCACCTCCTTGGCTATGGAAATATGCTCAGCCCTGGTTTCAGAGAAGCCTGGACTCCACTCTGGACCCCATGAGATGATATGCGCTGGTACTCCAGGCTTTAAATGGCCTGGGAAGCCTCAGTGGATTTTGTTTATTTTCAGCATTGCCATGTATGCTTAACTCTGAGTTGGGGTGGGGTAGGTCTGTTTAAAATGCCAGGGAAGGTGGGCAGCAGAGTGGATTTGTGCAAGAAGGAACCTGGGGGGTTTAAGGACAGCAAAATGATCTTAGGCGTAATTGACTGGTTTTTCTGAGGTCTTGCCACACTGGGCAAGAAAATGCTGCATCGGGCCCTTATTCCAGAGAGTGCAGAGCTGGGGCCAAGGTCGTGGTCAAAAAGGAAAGGAGCCCTCATGGACTCCAGGGTCAGAAGTTCCCTCGGGAAACCAGCAGGAGGTGGGAAAAGAGCCCCATTAGGGCAGTAGATGGAGCAACAGCACTGAGTGAGATTTCAGGGGGCCACAGCAATGGGGAGGTGGCTACCAGTGGATATGGGGTCCCCTGCTCCAGGTGCTTAGGCCAGGCATCCCGTCCCCCCATTGAGAGTCCTGGAATTCCAAAGAAGTGAAGCATCTGAGGGTTGGGGCTGGGGGCAGATGTCAGGGCTCAGGGTCTTAGCAGGAGGCGTGTTCCTGGCCACTTGAGCCACAGGAAGGGGACCAGGCGCCGGGTGAAGGTGGCAGTGAAGGTGTAGATGAGTTCCTGTGACTCTGCGTTGGTGAAAGTCACGGTGCCCCCTTCATAATCCAGGGCGATGCCCACTCTCCGGGGCCGCAGTGCTGGGAAAAGCTCAGCCTCGGGGCTGGTGTTGGCCCAGATGCCGGAGGAGGAGAGGCGCAGCGCCCACACGCCATCCTCTGGCCGCAGGGAGAGGTCTCCCTTCCTCTTCACAGAGTCTCTAGCCACCCCCACCATGCAGCTTTCCAGAACTTCCTCCTCTTCCTCCTCCTCTTCTTCCTCTTCATCGCCCAACGATTCCTCATCTTCGTCCGTTTCCCAGTCGTCATATCCATCCCCATAGCCGGCCTCCTCTTCCTCCTCCTCCTCTTCTCCCTCTTCCTCCTCATCCCCCTCTTCTTCATCCTCAGACCAGCCCTCCCTCTCCACTTCCACTTCCCAGTAGACCTTGCCCCAGGTGAAGCCCTTGCTGCCTAGCACCCCAGGCTCACAGTCAAACTGCTGGGGGTGCAGGTAGGCACTCTTGTACAGGCTGGTGTAGGTCACGCACTTCCAGTCCTCTGACAGCTGCAGGTACCCACTGGCCGACTGTGGGTCCAGGGTGACGCTCACTGTGGGGACAAGGGAAAAAAAAAAAAACAGCATCACTGTTTTGTTTTGTTTTTTAAGTCAGAGGGAATAAAATTTATTTTGGCAGATAGCGTTAAACAAAATTAAAGTTGCATACATTAGTAATATAACTCAACATCCTTAATTTGGTATAAGTGTGACACATTTTCTGGCTTTGTATTCTGCTAAATCACCATAACTAAACTGCTTTATAAACATGATATACTGAAATTTAACTTGACTGTTTTCGCTTACGCTCTGATTCCAAACAAAACTTTTCATAAGCTTCCTCTATCTCTGGATCTCTGGGTCCAACTCATCATTAATATCATCCAAGTGTGGATCACCAGTCCCTGAAAAATCTGTTCCATTTTCTTCATAATCCAGAAAAAAAGTCCTCTTTTTCAAGTAACTCTTGATATGCTTCTTGGTAATCCGGATCAGCTGCAGTGAAAGGAACACTATGAAACACAATAACTATGTGAATGACCACTATAAAATGTTGGTTCATTCACATAGTAATTGGGATCTTTTTTGGCTGTTGTATTTCTGTATGATGAAGTTGCATGGACTCTACCCCAATTACTGCACTGGGGTTCTACAAGCTTCAAGAGCATCTGTTTCATGTCTCTGCCACAGCTTGCATCTATAACAACATTTTCAATTTCCTGAATAATTTCTTCCATATCAGTCCTTCCTTTTCCTTCCAAGAATCTTCCAAAACTGACCCTGTCAACTTCAGCAATTTTATTGCACAAATTAAGCTGTCATCCACGGGATTAGAAAAGAGGGCATTCAGGCATTCGGCAACTCCTGAAGACCAACCTGAAGAATATCTGCCCTTGTAACCTGTCCATTTGTTCCTCTGATCTCCAGGTTATGATAAAGCTCTCCCAGAAAGGGTACAAATGCATGAAATTGTTTTGGAGTAACTTCATCCCCTTTTGCAGCTTGATCTTTAATGTCATATTCAGTCCGACATCTTTGAAGTAGAAATTGGCGGAAGGTGCTACTCTCTGTGCTAACTGTCAGATGATGTCAGGTAATTACACAGGTGAGCTCCCATGTAAGAGAAATTTGGGGCTGGGCACGGTGGCTCACGCCTATAATCCCAGCACTTTGGAAGGCCGAGGCGGGTGGATCACAAGGTCAGGAGATCGAGACCATCCTGGCTAACATGGTGAAACCCCATCTCTACTAAAAATACAAAAATTAGCCGGGCATGGTGGTGGGCACCTGTAGTCCCAGCTACTTAGGAGGCTGAGGCAGGAGAATGGCGTGAACCTGGGAGGCGGGGCTCGCAGTGAGCTGAGATCACACCACTACACTCCAGCCTGGAAGACAAAGCAAGACTCCATCTCAAAAAAAAAAAAAAAAAAAAGGCCGGGCGCGGTGGCTCACGCCTGTAATCCCAGCACTTTGGGAGGCCGAGGCGGGTGGATCACGAGGTCAGGAGATCGAGACCATCCTGGCTAACACGGTGAAACCCCGTCTCTACTAAAAATACAAAAAATTAGCCGGGCGAGGTGGCGGGCGCCTGTAGTCCTAGCTACTCGGGAGGCTGAGGCAGGAGAATGGCGTGAACCCCAGGAGGCGGAGCCTGCAGTGAGCCGAGATTGCGCCACTGCACTCCAGCCTGGGCGACAGCGAGACTCCGTCTCAAAAAAAAAAAAAAAAAAAAAAAAAGAAATTTGGGACAGATGTGGCCTCTGAGTTCCACAAGTTCTTGCAAAGCATCATCTGTTGTAACACAAGCATTCAGGGTCTCTGTAAACTGTTCAATTTCAGTTTCAAAACTACCAGCCTGCTCTGTAAGATGGTTCAAGAAACCCTGAACAGGTACTGACAGAGTGGGATAATCCTCACCATCATCCTCATAGGATTCTCTATAATTAGAATAACCTGATAGGTAAAATTTGACGGTATTCACAGACAGCTCAGACATTAATAAAGAAGCTACAACCACCTAAGGTTTAACCACTGCTAACTCAGTTCTGCTATGGGATTTTATCCTGTGAACTAGATGAAGCTCTCAGGGCCTCGTTTGCTCCCAGACAGGCCGACCTCCTCAATGGTTCTCACGAAAGCAAGTGTGAAAGTGAGCCAGGAGGAGACCACCAGTCTTCACAATCCAAGGGGCACCATTCACATCTTGGTCTATGTGGATGGCGCTCCTTGGTGGTTGGTATGCAGTGTACAACCTAACTGCAGGGCTGAGAGGGGGCACAATAGTGGGGCCTGTGGTGGATATGGCCTCTGGTCTTAGGTTGCCCCTGCTGTTTGCTCTGAATATAGGAGCCATGCAGCCAGGAAGATGAGAGAAAGCTCGGCCACAGGAAAAGGACTGGTGGTAGGACCTGTGAGGATAGGAAAAAGAAAAGCAAACACAGGGCAGAGAAGGATCAGACTAGCAAGCAGAGGCCTCTACTGCAGACTAAAGAGTAGGCTGATTAGAAAGTGCAAAGAGGGAGGGGGGCTTCTATTGTGCAGCTGGGAAATTCTTCCTGTTGCAAAAGGGGCTACCTGGGGGAAAAGTGAGCAGTCAGAATCTCTGCAGGCGGAGTTTTCTATATTTGATGTACATCTGGGAAACACCCTCTAGACACTCACCTGTCTTATATTCCAAGTCTCTCAGCAGCTTCCCTGGGGAGAAAAAAGGACAGCAATGACTCAAGTCCCGAAAATTTATGAGCCCATTTCTTGCTCGGGCAGTATCAATTTCCTGATAGGGATCCATGTCTAAGACAAGAGGCCCTCAGAAGAGTGAGGATCGACAAGGTGATGGAAAGGAGCTGGGTGCGCTCTTTCTACGAGGTAGCCCTGCTCTGACTCCCACCCTTTGTGCGCTCCCCAACCCTTACCCTGGAATTCCCTCAGGCCTCGTTGCAGAGAGAGGAGTTTATCTGAGAATTCTCCGGTCTTTTTTTTAACCACTCGAGCAATGGGTTTCCCAACCCAGAACTTCTTCCGTGGATACCTAAGAAGATGACATACATAACAAGCTGTTACTCAGCTCTTCTTACTTTCCTTCATACTTATCTCTCAATCCTCATGGCAATTATGAAGGGGAGAGGAAAGGTATGATTATCCCCAAACAAGTGACAGAAAAACAGTGGCCCAAAGACACCAGCTGAACCAGGGCTTCAGAACATCAGTAGACTCCACATCCAGGGCGCTCTGTCTACTAAGCCATGTTTCTAACCTCTCTGCTCTGTCCCACCTCAAATAAGGCCAGTGGGCCAAGGAGCTGGGGCTACACAGAGAACCATAAGGAGGAGAGCAAGTCTCCAGTTCTCAATGATGTGTCCTGCTCCTCAGAAGGGCATCAGGATGAACCATGGGATGTGAGTACCTCTGGCACCATACCACTCCCCATGAATTCAAATGCACCTGGTCAGAAGCGGGGGAACATAAACAAGGGGGATGAGGTACGCCATGGAGAGGAGACTCTTTTACCTGTTTAGGAAGTCTCTCGTGTCCTAGAAGGGAAAGAAAAAAGCACAAGTATCAATATGAATCAAATAAGACTTCAATGCATCTGCACCCAACACTGTAGCAGAGATGGGACATATCAGTGAACAAAACAAATGTGGTCCCTTTTTTATGGAGCTGACATTCCAGTGGGGTCACTGCATAAAACAACAAGAAAACAAACAAAATCGGCACAATGACAGAAGCCACAATGGCTGGGAGATGACATGGGCAACCTCTCTGGGAGATACCTGCGCAGAGAATTGACGGATAAGAAGTACTGGCCGGATGAAGAGAGGTAAGGTAAAACAGGAAAGGGCTTGGTGAGAACGGCAGAGGCCAGACTGCGCAGGGCTGGATATGCATGGTAAGGAGTTTCACTTTTGCTCCACGTACAGTGGAAACCCACCAAGGGTTTCAAGTAGGGGCATGATATGTGTGATCCGCTCTACATGTGGCTGAGACTGCTGTGTAACCTCCAGAGTCCACTCTCCCCTTCCTCCTTTTAATAATAGAACCCCCGGAGTTATTGCTGGTCAGGCGGCCACCTGGGAAGACTACATTTTCCAGATCCCCTACGACAAGGTCTGGTCATGAGACTAAGTTCCAGCCAATGGAATGTGATAGAAAGCAATGACCATAATTCTGGGCATTGTCCTTTAAAAAAAGAAAATTGCTTTCTACTTCCTTTTTACCCCAACTGAATTTTGGACATGGTGGTGGTGAGCCCAACTTTGACCACGCAGCAGAGGACAACATCCCTAGAAGCTGGTGGAAGAACCACATGGAAGTAACCCAGTCCCTTGGATAAGCTTATGTACAGCTACTGTGATAGCTCTAGACCCTGCACCTCTGAACTGTTAACTGAGGCAGAAATAAACTTCTATTCTGTTTGCGTCACTGTACAGCAGTGAGCCAAAACCCTAAGTGACCACTCACTTGGCTGCCCCACAGAGAAGGGACTAAGGAGGCAAGAGGAACATGGGGAGGTTGGTCCGGAGGCTTTTGCCGTGGACCAGGGGAGAGCTAAAGATGGCCTGAACTAAGGTGGTGGCAGTAGGGAGAAAAAGAGAGAAGCAATACATTCCAGGTATTTTAGAGACAGATTCAACTGGACATACTGGTCAAGGATAAACAAGAACAGAGCATGGTTTGTACAGGGGGGAGAATGGTGGTGCTATCTCTGTGACAGACAGGTGGTAGGGCAGGGTGAGTGGGAAGAGGGCTATTCTGACATGCTCAGATTCCCTTTTGTGAGTCAAAAGCCTCCTTAATACCCTGTATTAATTGATTTTTGCCTTCCTTTCACTCATTCCACAAATATTTATTAAGTGCTTCCTAGGTACCAGGCACTCATCTAGAAGCCTCAGAACAGTTAAAAAAAAAAAAAAAAAAAGAGAGAGAGAGACAAATCCCTACTTCTGTAGAGCTGACATTCTAGCAGGGGGAAGCAGACAATAATCAATGTAGCAAATACATCATACTACGTGAGTGATACGCACCACGGGAAAAGAGAGCAGAGTGAAGGGGGATGGGAGCAGGGGCCGGTGGGGTGCAGGCTGGCTTCCTGGAGAGGGTGAGATTTGGGAAACAAATGGAATTAACAAATTGTGGCTGCTGATGACTGCTTCCAAAAGTTTGGGAAGAGTTGTGAGCTTTACTCCAGAGGAATAAGACAAGAAGTCAGAGGCACATCCCAACCCCCCGCTATGAAGCAAGTGCCCAGAGACTGGTAGCACATTTCTGGCCAAGTCCTCTAACATGCCCCTCAAAACATGTAAGTCCAAGGCGGCTTCAGAGGACAGGCAACAAAACAGACAGTGTGTCCTGACAGCTCTGCTGACAAAGGTGGCATAAAAGAGCAAATGAATGGAGCAGTAGCTGGAGTGTGGGCCAGAGGCCCATTTGGGCATATTTCCTGACATGGAAGTTCCTAGAACAGTAGAAAGGGAGAGAATCATACAGGAGAAAGAAGAGTCCTCTAAAGGTTAAAGGTTGTGAGCAGCCCAGAGAGGGTGGGTCCCGAGAGCCAGGGCAGGGCTGGCCCTGAGGAGAAGAGGCTGAAAGACTCAGGAGCCCCCATCCACAGCCACATACAGGGCCTCTGGAGGGAAGTGATCCGCCCAAGTCTCCTGGAGGACTCTTCTCACCCAAGACATCTGAAGCTGTCATGAAACAGGCAGAGCCGAGCAGTGGGGCTGCGGCAATGAGTCATGGCAAGCTCCCGGAGGGGATGTGCCCGGTTACTAAGAGAGAGCATCAAGAAAGTTCTTCACGGGGGTGTACAGCAGGAGAAGCAGGGTACAAGCATGCCACCTGATCCTGCAGGGCCTGCCCGGGTTACCAGGGCAGGATGCAGTGTCTCTCTGGGCCTCTCCTGTCACCCCAATCCCTTTAATGTCTTCTTGATGCTCCCAGCCCATAGGTTTGTCTTTCCTTTCCTATCACCTCTATCAAAAGGTCTCTTCTATTTTACACATTTTGTCCTGCTGCTTCTCCCTCTCACCTGTATTTCTATTTTATTTTAATTTTTTTGAGACAGGATCTCACTATGTTGCCCAGGCTGGTCTCAAACTCCTGGGTTCAAGCAATCTGCCTGCCTCAGCCTCCCAAAGTGCTGGAATTATAGGTGTGAATCACCACACCAGCCTCACCTGTATTTCTCTATCAGACTTCTGGACCCTATTTTAGGTCTTTTTCTTACTATACTTTGACAGCCAAATAATCTCTGGGAAAATATTAATGCTAATTAGGGAGGTAGCTGTCCAGTTCCCACGCAGTACAATCAAACTCAAATAAGCACACAGACAAAATCTACCAATACCATTTTTCTGCGTATGGTTGGTTACCCAGTTTTCCTAGCACCATTTATTAAAGAGACTGTCCCTTCCCCATTGTATGTTCTTGGTTCCTTTGTTGAAAATCAGTTGGCTGTAAATATGTGAATTTATTTCTGAGTTCTCTACTCTGTTCCATTGGTCTATGTGTCTGCTTTTATATCAATACATGCTGTTTTGGTTACTACAGCTTTGTAGTATATATATATATATGTATATATACATATATATGTATCTATATACATATATATGTGTATATATATATACATATATGTGTGTGTGTGTGTGTGTGTGTGTGTATATATATATATATATATATTTTTTTTTTTTTTTTTTTAATGGAGTCTCACTCTATTGCCCAGGCTGGAATGCAGTGGCACAATCTCGGCTCACTGCAACCTCTGCCTCCTGGATTCAAGTGATTCTCCTGCCTCAGCCTCCCGAGTAGCTGGGATTATAGGTGCGCACCATCACGCCCAGCTAATTTTTGTATTTTTAGTAGAGATGGGGTTTCACCATGTTGGTCAGGCTGGTCTCAAACTCCTGACCTCGTGATCCGCCTGTCTCGGCCTCACAAAGTGCTGGGATTACAGGTGTGAGCCACCACAACTGGCTGTAGTATATTTTGAAGTAAGATAGTGTGAGGCCTCCAGTTTTGTTCTTTTTGCTTAGGATTGCTTTGGCCATTTGGGGTTTTTTGTGACTCCATATGAATTTTAGTTTTTTTTCTATTTTTCTGAAGAATGTCATTCGTATTTTGATAACAGGGATTGTATTAAATCTGTAGACTGCTTTGGGTAGGACAGTCATTTTAACAATATTAATTCTAATCCACAAGCATGGAATATTTTTCCATTTGTTTGTGTCCTCTTCAATTTCTTTCATCAGTGTTTTGTAGTTTTCATTAAAGAGGTCTTTCACCTCCTTGGTTAACTTCATTCCCAGGTATTTTATTTTACTTTTGTAGCTATTGTAAATGGGGTTGCTTTCTTGATGTCTTTTTTAGCTAGTTTGTTATTGGTGTATTAAAAATGCAGTAGACTTTTTATGTTGATTTTGTATCCTGCAACTTTACTGAATTTGTTTATTAGTTCTAAGGGTTTTTTGGTGGGGCCTTTAGGTTTTTCTACATATAAGTATAGCCGTTACGGAAAACAGTATGAGAGTTTCTCAAAAAACTAAAAATAGAACTACCATATGATCCAGCAATCTCATTACTAGGTATTTATCCAAAGAAAAGAAAATCAGTATATCAAAGGGATACCTGCACACTCATGTTTATTGTGGCACTATTCACAATAGTTGAGATGTGGACTCAATCTAAGCATCCATCAACAGATAGATAAAGAAAATGTAGCATATATACACAATGGAGTACTATTCATCCATAATAAATTTGAGTTCATGGAAGTAAGACAGTAGAATAGTAATGATTAGAGGTTGGGAAGGGGGCTGGGGAGAGGAGGGTGGGGAGAAGTTGGTTAACAGATACAAAGTTATAGCTACATGGGAAGAATAAATTCTAGTGTTGTGCAGCATTGCAGGGAGAATATAATTAACTATAATTTACTATACATTTTCAAAAAGCTAGAAGAGAGGATTTTGAATGTTCCAACACAAAGAAATGATAAGTGTTTGAGGTGACAGATATACTAATTACTCTGAGTTGATTATTATATATTATATACTTGTATCAAAGTATCACTCTAGGCCAGGCACAGTGGCTCACGCCTGTAATCCCAGCACTGTGGGAGGCTGAGGCAGGCGATCACCTGAGGTCAGGAGTTCAAGACCAGCCTGGCCAACATGGTGAAACCCTGACTCTACCAAAAATACAGAAAATAGCCAGGTGTGGTGATGTGCGCCTGTAATCCCAGCTATTTGGGAGGCTGAGGCAGGAGAATCGCTTGAACCCAGGAGACAGAGGTTGCAGAGGCAGGAGAATTGCTTCAACCCAGGAGGCGGAGATTACAGTGAGCTGAGATCACGCCACTGCACTCCAGCCTGGGAGACAGAGCGAGACTCTGTCTCAAAAATAAACAAACAAAAACCTCTACATCCCATAAATATATACATTATATAGCACTAAAATTAAAAGAGAAAACACAAAACAAAAAAAGAAACCTACCAGTACCAATAACATTTCCTATACTAGTTTCAAGCTGACACCATTTTCTCTCCCTTCCCTTGACCTTATCCCACCCCAGGGAGAGCTGCAATCTGAGTGCTCTGAGTCATTGAGGGCCAGGCTTCTGCTCTGAGGGCCACTTCTCTGGGTGCATTAGGAAAAGGCACCCCTCCGGGCAAACACAATGGATTTCAGCCCCACCACATCCTCAGCTGTGTGCCTCTGTTCCACACAGTAGGCATTCACACATGGCAGGGGCGTGAGGAGAGGAAGGAGAAGAGAAACGGGCAAAAGGAGATGCAGAAAATGACCCAGTCAAAGAGTATGACGAGAGAAATCTGAGAGAACAGAATGACATCTGGAGGAAAAGAGGGGGCCAGAGAGACATTCTGGACAAAATAAGAACAAGAGCTCAGAGCCCAGGAGTCAGGACATCTGGGCTCAAGCTGTGACCTGACACCCACCCCATGGCCTGGGACAAACTCCTCCCACTCTCTGGACCTCAGTGACTTCATCAGTAGGGGCTGAACTGGAAGGTCTAAAATCCCTGCCAGTCCTCATTCTGTACATCTGAATTCACAACAATGAGGAGCAGGTGGCCGCCTCCTTCTGCAGTCTGTCCCAGTGCACATACTGCAGAGTCTGCCTTGCTATCTCTCCCTCCTAGCTATTGCCCTGCCATTAGCCTGGGACTCCACCTTCCTAGAGATCCTGGGTGGCTCTGCTGCTGACAGACAGACCCAGCCACCCTAAACAGTGCAAGTGGGGGAATACCATCAGAGAGCCCCTCCCCTCCCAGCCTATGAGAGCAGGAAGGTTGAGCCCTCTACCCCTCCAAAGGGGACTGGGCCCTCTTCAGGGTAAGTGTGATCCCCAGAGGCTCCCGGGGGGGAGGAGATGTGGTGCCATTTCAGCTTCACAGCCAGTTCTTCAGCCCCAAACCCTCCCTTTCTCACTATCAAAGCCCCCTCCTCTAGGAGGTGCCCCGAGGCCCCCTTGTCTGCTTTCCATCTTGTTCTCTGTGTGGTAATCCCATGGGCCAAAGAAAACCTGGCCATCTCTGTCTCCCTTCCCCAGTTACCCTATCTCTTCCAGATCCTCTGGGTCTTTGAGAGGAGCTGCTGGTCAGCCCTCCCTCAGCCACCCCCAACCACAACACCATAAAAAGCTTCCACCAGCTGCTAAGTGTCTGCCAATGACTTGTTAAGAGGGCTTGTGATGGCAGTGATGAGGATGGAGGATGGTAAATGATATTAATAATCTTCCCTTCCATTTTCTACTATACCATTTAGTTTTTTGAACAGTTTTGTGTAAAAAGTTTATTTTTTGAAGTGACAGCATGCCAGTTATTTCATTTTATGCTCATGCAATCTACAGACTAATTGGCAGCAGTAAGGATTATCATCTCCATGTTTCAGATGACAAAACTGAGCCCCCAAGTCTTCTAAGGTCCTGCAAGTGAATGGCAGGGCTGGGACCCACCGTCCTGGTCCCTGGCGCCCTGCCCAGGGACGGCCTCTCACCTGCATGAGCTCTGCAGCTGGCTGCTGCGCCTTGCCCTCCAGTTCGGAGATGACCAGGGCCAGCCGGGCAAGCTCCCCGACGCCCCGGCTCTTGAACTTCTCCCTGCCCTCCGTGAGCTCCTGCTCCAGCTTCGCCAGCTGTTCCAGCAGGTGTTCCTCCCGCTCCCTCAGGAACTGATGACCCTGCTCAAACTCAGCCACAATGTACTGCCTCTGGTCCTGGAGCTTCTTCTGCAGGGGGCAGGAAGGGGAGAAGGGCTGACACCTCTGCTCAGGGTGGAGGGCCCAGTGCTGGAGGTGTGCAAGGCTGGCTCGTTCACCTCGCTACCCCCGTTCAGGAATTCTACAGGATCTGGAGTGGGAGGAGCTACAGAGGGTTCCTGGTCCACACTCCGCTTCTCAAAGAAGACTCCAGTAATGAATTAGTTCAGTTCACCCCACCACTATATGGTCAAAACCCTGTCTCCACCTGACTGGTCAGCCACAATCTGTTCTAGCTAAACCAGTACGCTCTGGGGCCCCTAGAGAAACTCTGTGGGTCTCACTCATGAGCCGACGCACTTTTCCCTCCTGGACAAAATCTGTCACCTCTTCCAGGAAGTTTTGCTTGATTAATGTCATCTAAGCCTGACCAGCCCTCTCTTCAGCACCCCACTGTTCAGTCTAAAATATCTATATGTACCCCACCCCTGCCATGTAAGACTGCATCCTGTTTCCTCAGCAAAATTGTGTGACGTCTGTGCTTAGGGACTATGTCCTTTCCTGCCTCCAAATCTCCTCCCCAGCTGGGGTTGGGGGAGTCCTCAGTGGCCCTGTTGACTGGTGCTGAGCTGGGGGCAGCCATGCACACTGAGGGCCTGGAGGGGTCCTTGGACTTGGCTGTCTCTAGCTTACTGTTTCCCTCTCCCTAGGCCTAATGACTCACCACTGGCCCTGACCCCACTACTCCTCCACTGCCCACTTCCTCAACATACACAGTTCCCCAGAAAATCAGAACCATTTGATCAGTTCCCCCCAACCCCATCTCTAATCAAGTACATAATGTGCTGCCTGTTTTCTAACTACAGTTGTCCCTTGGTATCAGTGGGTGATGGGTTCCAGGATCTCCCTCCCCAAGGATACCAAAATCCAAGGATGCTCAAGTTCTTATGTAAAATGGAATAATAGTTACATAAAATCTACTATATACTTTAAATTATCACTAGATTACTTATAATGCCTAATATAATGTAAATGCTATATAAATAGCTGTTACACTGAATTGTTTAGAGAATAATGACAAGAAAAAAAATCTGTACATGTTCAGTAGAGACGCTTTTTCTTTTTTCTGAATATTTCTGATCCATGGTTGGGTAAATTCGCCGCTACGGAACCCACAGATATGGAGGAGGTCCCACTGTACTGGCAACCATGATCCTGGGCCTGGACCTCACTACATACAGTGCCATCAGAATTGGCAGACCTGCCTTAGCTGTTTTCTAGCCCTTCCCTCTCAGTTCTTACCCTGGAGCCAGCTCCCTCCTTCTAAACCCTCTCCACTCTCAGGCAACCTTGTCTCTCTCTCTCTCTTTGAAAGGAAGAATGAAGCCACACCTTCTTCAGTCCCCTGGCAGAAGAGAACCAGCAGCTGGACATGGGCCCTGCCTTCAAGGTGACAGTCACAGAAAACGGAAGGGACTCTAGCTGACATCCAGGCAGCCCACTTGTCTCTCAGACAAGAAACAGGCCCAAGACTACACGGCTCAGAAAGACAGCACTTGGGCTAAAACCCAGGTCTGCTACTGCCAGGCTGACACCCATCCTCCCTGTGAGCAGCGCCTAGAAACACCTCCCAGCTGCCGCCTACTTGCCCAGGCTCACCCTGCCCTACACGGGCGCACCGCCTCAGGGCTTCCTGAAACAGCCTCACTTACCAGCGCGGCCAGGATATCAGCTTCTCCCTTTGCCTGGAAGCCCTGAATTTTGTCTCTGTCCCTCCTTAGGGTACTCAGGTGGTTCAGGATTTTTTCCTGTGGAAAAACAAGCAGTGGCAACAGGTGGATGCTCTGGGCTGGGGCAGGAAGGGAGACTCAGGCTGAGTCCTCTGAGGACTGCAAGGTGGAGCATCCAGAGAAGGTGGCAAGGCACCCTCGGGGGTGAAGAGGGCTTACCCTGTGGGGCTGGGCGGCCTTCTCCATGAGGACGGCCGTGTGGGGCCTGTGCTCCCGGGACTCCCGGCACATCACGCACAGCAGCTTCCCGTCGTCCTCACAGTAGTAGTGCAGCTTCTCTCGGTGTCGCTCGCACAACTTTGCATCCTGCTGCTCCCGGGTCACCTCTCCCGGCTGCCTGCCCTTGTCCACCTTCAGCCGCTCAATGTTCTCCACCAGGCTGGCCAGTTGCCACACGGGTCGGATGTTCTCCTTCTTAAAAGGCTTCTTGCAGAGTGGGCAGACGGGGCGGCTCCCTGAGATGGGGCGGACGTCTGTGGTGCAGCTGCGGCAGAAGACGTGGCCACAGTCAATGGTCACAGGGTCCCGCAGGTAATCAAGACAGATGGAGCAGGTCACCTCCTCTTCCAGGCTCCGTAGTGGGGCTGACGTGGCCATGGTATCCTTAGTTCAGAGAGGTCTCCGTTCACTGGTGAGGACTTCTTCTCCTTGGAGACGCGACATAGAGTCAGGAGCAAGCACAGTAAAGGGGCAAAGGTGGCAGCCTGCACAGGGCTGCCAGCTCCAGCACTCAGTCAATCGACAGACACCACCAGCTCCTACAAGGTTCACACAATGTCAACGAGAAGAGGACCTTATAGATCTAGTCCAACTTCCTCATTGTACAGATAAGGATATGGAAACCCAGAAAGATTAGCTTGGTAGAGTGAAGAGCAGGACAGCCACTAGCCTATACCTTGCTGTTGGGAGAGCCTCAACACCCTTTCCTTCTATCTGTTGGAAAATCGCTGTAATGCACCAACTGTAATAAAAAATCTCTCACTACCTGCTGGGAAACTCATAATGATACACATATAAATCTACAATGTCTACTGTGGACACAGTGCTCCTTCACTCAACTGTGCAAAGCACAAGACACACGAGCAGTCATGGGGGTCCTGACAGAGTCAAGAGACCGCCCGTTTTTTTTTTTTGGTTTTTTTTTTTTTGAGATGGAGTCTTACTCTGTCGCCCAGGCTGGAGTGCAGTGGCGTGATCTCAGCTCACTGCAACCTCCGCCTCCCAGGTTCACACCATTCTCCTGCCTCAGCCTCCCGAGTAGCTGGGACTACAGGCACCCACCACCACACCTGGCTAATTTTTTGTATTTTTAGTAGAGACGGGGTTTCACCGTGTTAGCCAGGATGGTCTTGATCTCCCGACCTCGTGATCCACCTGCCTCGGCCTCCCAAAGTGCTGGGATTACAGGCGTGAGCCACTGCACCTGGCCAAGAGACCCCTTTTGTTTGCTCCTCAAGGTTTCAGGTTTCAAGAACTAAGAGAGGGCAATGTGACATGGCTCACCCTGTAAATCCAACACTTTGGGTGGCTGAGGCAGGAGGATCACTTGAACCGAGGAGTTTGAAACCAGCCTCAGCAACATAGTGAGACCCTGTCTCAACTAAAAAAATTTAAAAATTTTTTAAAATACCCCAGTGTAGTAGCATGCATCTGTAGTCTCAGCTACTGAGGAGGCTGTGGCAGAAGGATTACTTGAATCTGGGAGGTGGAGGCTACAGTGAGCCATGATTGTACTACTACACTCCAGACTGGGCAACAGAATAAGAGACTGTCTCAAAACAAACAAAAAACCAGAAAACATTAAAAAACAAACAAACAAACAGCACTGAGGTTCTTTACCAAAACTCGAGAAGCATCAGGAAGCTTCAGGAGTCTGACTGTCAGCATTTCCCTTTGTGAGTATTTCCCTGGGCTGTTCTATAGTTTGGGTTTAATTTGCTTCCCCTAGAAGGCTGGACTCTAAACACAGCCCTCCAGAGGAGCACAGCTTAGCCTCAGTGGACTTGTTCTTGGCTGTAACTGCCTCGTCTAGATGGCAGGAATCCTCAGGTGGCTGTGGCTGCTATGTGCTGTGAGGCCTTGGCTTGTACAGGGAGCGGGGACACACAGAAAGGACTCTGCTTCTGTTTACCTTTGTAGTCCTGACCCAGTTCCAGGCTGAGGTTATGAGCCTCAGCACATCTAACCCAAGAGCAGCCTCCTGCCCCTGACTCTGTGTGACAATACAGAAGTCACTTAAGTACTGAGCCTCAGTGTATCCATCTGTAAAATGGGAAGAGTGATACTTACCTTTAAGGGTTTCTAAGCAGGTCATGTGAAAGAATTATGGGAAAAGTGCTAAGCACAAGCCTGGTACACAGACGGAAATCTAGGAGAGAACCCACAACCCCTGGTTTCCAAATCCAGTGAGTGTCCAAACCACAAACAAAGAGTTAAATTCAAAAGTGGCAGCAAAAGAGGAAGTGAGCAGAACCAGCCACAGTGACACACGTGCTACAGAGTTCAACAACATCGTCACAGGGCAGTACCTGGAGGACTTGCTCTCCTATAGATCCATGGAAGGCAACTACAGCAGCGCTGGGAAGACAACCAGCAGGGCACAGAGGTGACTGCGAGGCTGGAATGAAGCAACCTGAATTACAGGCAAATCAATACTATTAATGATTATGTATGGTGAAAGTCCATCACAACAGAGTTCAGTGGCCTCTGTCAGTAGTGACATTAATGGGACAGAAATAAAACCCCCAGTCTATAAGACCCAAGAGTAAACAAAACAGGGATATAACGTCCACTCATTGAGGGTCTAGTACAATAATACATAAAAAGTGTTTTATAACGTAAAAGGACTACATAAATATAAGAGATTCTTATAGTGCTGATAATAAATTCCAACTGGAAGCACTAATGGATCTAGGTATGTGTGACTTTAAGAGACATAATGAGGGGAAAATCAAGCACCTTCAAAGCTCAAATGAAGGATTCAAGGAATTTAACTGTCAAGTGAAAGTAATATCAAGTTCCTACATGTTAGTAATGCTGGTAGAAATGCTAGGAATTGGCCGGGCACGGTGGCTCACACCTGTAATCCCAACACTTTGGGAGGCCGAGGCAGGTGAATCACAATGTCAGGAGATTGAGACCATCCTGGCTAACACGGTGAAACCCCATCTCTACTAAAAATACAAAAATTATCCAGGTGTGGTAGCATGCACCTGTAGTCCCAGCTACTCAGGAGGCTGAGGCAGGAGAATCAATCACCTCAACCCGGGAGGCAGAGGTTGCAGTGAGCCGAGATCGTGCCATTGCACTCCAGCCTGGGTGACAGAGTGAGACTCCATCTCAAAAAAAAAAAAAGAAAGAAATGCTAGGAATTGCCTGGTCCAACTCCTTGGCTTTACTGTTGAGGAAATAAGCCTGGCTCAGCAGTTTTTCAGTTGTAACATACTGCAAGTGTTTGGAAAGAGGAAAAAGGAGTGGTACTGGGCGTGTCTGTGGGCTTTCAAGCCCTTTATCATGCCTCTTTGCCAAATGGCCTAGAAGTTTAAAAGCTGAGGTTTTTCTTTGTTGAAGGATAGCCTGTGTTATCTTTGGGTTGGGAACTTATTTTGCAATTTACTTGCAAAATAAGAACAATAAAAGGACTATGAAGAGCTCAGCTACAGCTCTTCTTCCATGCAAAACAGGACACCTCATCACCCAGGCTCCATGCTGGGGTTTGATGGTCTCTAAACCTCCTGAAACTGTCTAAAAATTATTGCATATGTACTAGATACCTAAAATTGTCTGGGGATTACAGAAGAATAACCTTCTGTAAGATTAATCAGCAAATAAGTAGAAGAGGGATAACAGAATTAGAAAATCATTTTGCGACTGCCATTATAATAGCACAAGGATCATCAATAGATGCTAAAACTATTAGGTGAAAAGTTTTGGGGGATGAGATAGTACCCATGGTGCCAAAGCACCAATGAATGGATTACTTCCTGACATACCTTCATAAGGAAGAGATCCAGTGGTTATCTTAACTAAGTGACCAAATCCAGCGTCATCAGCAGACGGGGCAAAGTGGCATGTGCTTTCTGGCATGGCACTATATGAATCACACAACATTACCTATGAAGTGTTTGTGCCAAAAATGTTTGACTTGAATGAATCTAGTCAAGACTTTAGATCTAACTTCCAGTTTATAAAAAATATAAAGGAAAGGAATACTCTGAAGTATGTTATAACTGAAAAAGTACCGATGGAGGAATTAAACCACACCATAAGGAAAGAACCAGATAAATCCAGAATGCTGGACATTGCACATGGCAACTGGCCTAGTCTTTTAAAAAGTCAATGTCATAAAAAAAAACCTTCGAAAGAACTGCTTTTGATTTTTACAGACTAAAGAGAAATAATAACCAAATGCAATACGTGAACCTTGATTGGATCCTGTAAAAAGAAAAAAAAGGTTATAAAAATAGTCTTGGAACTATTGTGGGAAATTTGTAAGTAGGCTGGGTGTTAGATCATATTAAAAAATTATTTCCTCTCTTTCTTTTTTTTTTTTTTTTTTTTGAGACAGGGTCTTACTCTGTCCCCCAGAGTGCAGTGGAACTATCTGGGCTCACTGCAACCTCGGCCTCCCTGGCTCAAGCAATCTTCTCATCTCAGGCTCCCGAGTTGCTGCAACAACAGGTGCATACTACCACACTTGGCTAATTTTTAAAGGTTTTTGTAGAGAAGAGTTGCCACTATATTGCCCAGGCTGGTCTCAAACTCCTAGGCTCAAGCCATCCTCCCACCTCAGCCTCCCAAAGTGCTGGGATTATAGGCATGAGCAACTGCACCATGTCTAAAATTATTTTCTTAATGGTATTTACTGAGGTTATGTATGAGAATGCCTATACTTCTTATTTATTTATTAATATATTTATTTATTTTTGAGATGGAGTTTTTCTCTTGTTGCCCAGGCTGGAGTGCAATGGCGCAATCTGGCTCACTACAACCTTCGCTTGCCAGGTTCAAGCGATTCTCCTGCCTCAGCCTCCCTAGTAGCTGGGATTACAGGTGCCCACCACCACATCCGGCTAATTTTTTGTAGTTTTAGTAGAGACGGGGTTTCACCAGGTTGGCCAGGCTGGTCTCAAACTCCTGACCTCAGGTGATCCACCTGCCTTGGCTTCCCAAAGTGCTGGGATTACAGGTGTGAGCCACCGCGCCCGGCTGAGAATACCTGTATTTCTAGGCAATGGATGCTGTAGTATTTAGAGCTCCATGTCTCCCACCTAATTTGAAATGGTTCCTTTCTTTTTTTTTTTTTTGAGACAGGGTCTTACTCTGTCCCCCGAGTGCAGTGGAACTATCTTGGCTCACTGCAAAGCAAAATAAAAAGCTAGAAAAGTTTTCTGGGGAGGGAGCTACAGTTTTCTATCACATTCTTAAAGAGGTCTGTAGTAACCATCAAAAATGGTTAAATCACTGATACAGAGATCATGGTGCTTGACACCTTGTAGAAGCTCAATACACATTTACTGAACAAGTGAATGGATTCAGGGGAATTGCAGACAATGTTAGTTGTATAGAACCATTTGTTTTTGAGAGTCTGCCATAACCAGATAAATGAAACACAGTACCACTTCTATGACCAATCCCTTCCCTTGCTTATACAGACTCCTTCTGAGGAAACTGAGGCTCAGCAGGGTTAAGCAACTTGCCCAAGAGCACATGGCTAGGAAGCAGTGTCTGGTGCCAAGGCCTCTGCTCAATCCACTACACTCTCTTCCCTACCCAGGCACACTGTAAAATGGGGTCTAATACCAGCTCCTTTGTTAGGAAGCTCAGATGAGGTCATCTACATGGAAGGGCTTTGTAAGCGGAGTAATGCTGACAAAAGAAAGGGGGCATATATTCTGCTGATACTGACCAAAAGCACCCTAGCCTTAGCTATGACAAACTTTCACATATGGGGTGAGCAATAAAGTGTCCCTGTTGGACAGTAGTTTTCCTTCTTAGTGATAGAGGATCTCAAGATTTCAGAATTAGGAGAAATGAGGTTGAGTATGAGAGATGTGAGCAGACCAGAATAACCGCTCCCCTTCCCCATACACAATTCTGTCAGGTCCAATGCAAAATTCACCCTCTCCAAAAACTCTTCCCCAACTTACCGCACCCTGCTATGGTTCTGCCCTTTTATGCCGTCAGTATATTCTCTGTGATCTCAACAGGTTTCCACAATAAGAGGTAAAACCATTACCCTTCTCTCCATTCCTGACTCCTGGGCAGACAGAAACCAAAATCAGAGCCAAAAAAAAAAAACCTCAGAGATGACCCACTCCACCCCCACTCCCTTTACTCAGATGAGAATTCTGAACCTGAAGAAGTCACTTCATGAACTCCCTTGCACCAGAGGTCACACATCCCTGCTGGGGGTGAGGGGGTATTTTTCTGTCTCTTCAATAAACCAGAAGCGGCCGGGCGCGGTGGCTTCTGCCTGTAATCCTAGCACTCTGGGAGGCAGAGGCGGGTGGATCACCTGAGATCGGGAGTTTGAGACCAGCCTGACCAACAAGGAGAAACCCCATCTCTACTAACAATACAAAATTAGCCAGGTGTGGTGGCGCATGCCTATAATCCCAGCTACTGGGCAGGCTGAGGCAGGAGAATCGCTTGAACCCAGGAGGCGGAGGTTGCAGTGAGCTGAGATCACGCCAATTGCACTCCAGCCTGGGCAACAAGAGCAAAACTCCATCTCAAAAAATAAAAATGAAAAAATAAACCAGAAGCTAGCTGCAATTCTATAGAACCAGGAAGATGCAACAAACAAGCCCTGCAATGTCCTGGTACCCTCCTCACAGGCAGAACTGCAGACACTCCCTACCTTTCTCTAAGAGGTTCCCTTTTCCCTGAAATCCACCCCTCCCCTATAAGTCTCTGGATCTCATAAATACCTAATCTGCATATGTCAACAGACTGGTCAAGGTGACACCATGTAATTTCAAGATGTGGATGCATGCACGATTATTGGCTCCAAGAATAATCACTATGAGCTACAAAAACTAGCTGAAAGCCGGGCACGGGGGCTTGTGCCTGTAATTCCAGCACTGTGGGAGGCTAAGGCAGGAGGACTGCCTGAGCCCAGGAGTTTGAGACCAGCCTGGGTAATATAGTGAGACATTGTCTCCAAAAAAAGAAATTAGCTGAATTAGCTGGGTGCGATGGCACATGCCTATAGTTCCAGCTACTTAGGAAGTTGAGGCAGGAGGATCTCCCGAGCCCGGGAAGTTGAGGCTGCAGACAGCCATGACTGCGCCACTGCACTCCAGCCTGGGTGAAACTCTGGCCTGCCTCCGGCTCCTAGATGCCACCCAGAGAGGTGCCCTGGTAGACAGTGAATCCCAAATGTGGACTCTGGGGCCCAAGAAAGTAAATGGAGAGGCCTGGGTTTTCATCCTGGCCTCCAGGGTACCAGTTCAGGCCTCTCTTGAGTATCCCAAGCTGCTTCTCAAGCATATGTCTGGACCTCCAAACAAGAGCAAAGCACCTGTAATCCCAAAGCACTTAGCCTAGAGCTCCATTCCCTGTGGGTACTCCATTTAAGGGCTCCTGGGTCCCAGATTAATCCCCATATTTTAATCTGAGATAAGCAAACTCTCCATGGGGTAAACTTCCGTGAGACACCTCTAACAAACCTGGAGAGGCCAGAATTCGGGGCAAAAAGCAAGTGATCTGGATGTGCATACTAGGAGTGACTGCACCCCTACTGGCCAGGCCAAAGGCCTGGATCCCAGGCTGTCCCAGGAGATCCCAGTGACTGTGGATGATGCGTTCTTGTGGTCACACTTGGCTTACTTTCCCCACGGAGCCGAGCATCAGTGGTGCTCTGAAGCACAGTGCAGGCCACAAAAACTACCAGGGCTCTGAACGCTAGAAATCCCCACAGGGCTCAAAGAGGGGCAGGAGGTAGCAGCCAGCTGGGAGGTGGATGAGACAAGGCGTTAAATTGCCCTGGTCTTGTGGCTGACCCACAGGGGAAAATTGAGGGTTCTTCATATTTGTGCCAGAATATCTGTCTAATGTTGAATCATGAACCAAGCTCTCTTGTCTAAAATATTCCTAAGTGTCACTTGGTGCTTTGCACCAAATATAGGAAGGAATCCTTTATCATCTTGTGGAATGGTTCAAACCTTGACTACACATCAGATTTGTAGTCTTCAAACTGGTGAGTCTTCAAAACATACCTAGACCAACTGACTTAGGATCTCCAGAGGTGGCCCAGGCTCTGGTATTAAAAAACAAACTTCCCAGGAGATTCTAAAGTCTATCCAGGACTGTGAATCACTAGAACCCCTTATTTACAGAGGAGGACAGTGAGTGCCAGAGCCTCGGACTCATTTGCCCAGCAGCAGAGCTGGCTGGCAGCAAGGCCAGCACTAGCACGAGGTGGGGTGAGGTGCACCTCCCAGCTCTGGGCTCCTTCCATTCCACCATACACTGCACTTTGGTGCCTGGAAAATGAACTCTTCCCTGCCCATATGGAGTGCTGTGGAGGGTTAGCCTCACAGGCAGAGGAAATCATCCGCCGGAGAAAGGGTAGCGGTGAATTTGAGGAGCTGACAATTGGCCACAGGTGGAGTGCAGTGAGGCGAGCAGAGGAAGGGTGGAGAAACAGGAGGGAACAGATTATGCAAGACTGTGACCCAGGTTAAGAATTTTGGACTTTATCCTAACAGCCCTGGGAAGCCATTGAGGGTTTAAGCAGCAGGATGTTGAAAGTTATTCAACAGCTAGCAGATGTTTATTAGGTGCCGACTATGTGTCAGGCACCGAGGTTACAGCAGAGAACAAAAGTGGCAAACTCCCTGTCCTACCAGAACTTACATCCAGTGACCTGAGGAATCCTTTAGAAGCTGAAATCAGATCCAACTGTGGGATCATCAAACCCTCAAGGGTTTCCTGATTTACATAAACCTCCTCTCCCCTTTGCTGCCCCAGTGCTGCAGCCACTCTGGCCTTTTGATCCTCAAACACACTCGGTCACGTGTTAAACTGCCAATCTGCCCGGGTGACCAACCAGGTTAAACCCCTCAATGGCTTTCTGGTGCTCCAGGAATAAAGTCAAAACTCCTGTCCTTCCTTTCTTCTGTGAGGAGGCTGTCCCAGGAGATCCTAGCTGGATTCCCAGATAATCATGGCCCAGCCTGTGTCTCCAGGCTCATTTCCTGCCACTCCCCACCTCAAACTCACAGCCAAACCAAACCGCTCTCCATGCCTCAAAGTGCTATGCTCTTTCCTGGCTAAGCCCTTCGACAATGTAATTCCTTCTGCCTAGAACACCATCCCTTTCCCACTTAGCAAATGCCTTTTCTAGCTTGAAGTCTCAGCTGAAAGCCACCTCCTCTGGCAATTCTTTCCTGACCTGTCAGATTGGGTCCACATGTAGTCTAGTTATACAGCCCCAAAACACCCCATGCTGCACCCTGTACTTCTCTGCAGTTTTAAGTCCTGACTTATTAGTGTAATTACTCGCTTAACACCAGCTTTTTCCATGAAACAAGGAGAGAGATTGTGTCTGTCTTATCACCAGAATCTACATATTACTTGGCACAGAGTAGACAATAAAAACTGACTGAGAAAACAAAGCACAAGCACAGAGTATCTGACACAAAGAAGATGCTTCCTACACATCTGCTGAAGGAATGCGAACAATCTTAGCCACCTGCCCTTTCTCTCCAGCAAGATGGTAGTAAATTGGTAGAGAGAGAAGCAATTTCTTCATATTCCCTGTAGCAGCAAGAACAGTGGGCTGCACGTCACCAGCAAATCATCGTATCCAAGGTTTCGCTCCAGCAACTTACAGAAACCAGGAGAAGAAAAAGCTGTGTCTGAGAAAATGGTTGTTGTGGAGTAAATTGTAATAGTGAGAATCACTCCTTCCCTTTTCTTTAGTTTTAGACCTAGGTATACACCCCATAAACAGAGTTTATTTTCTCAGGTTTTGAGCCTCAAATGAATGGAATTTTTTTCCTTTTTTTTTTTTTTTTTTCCATGTATTTGGGTGGGGGGCTGTCAACATGTTTGTGAGGCTCATCCATGTGATTATGAGCTGATTTTACTTAATTGCTGCTCTCTAACTATACAATTTTTAATGCAGTCTACTGATAGCCATATGAGTTGTTTCCAGTTTGGGACAATTACAAACACTGCTTCAGTGAATATTTCTGCATACATGTTCTAGCACACACAGGCAAGATGTACCCTCAATTTGACTAAGCAGGCCAAACTGTTTCCAAAGTGACTATAGTGCTATGTAGTCTGCTCAGCAGGCTATGAGCACTCATGATGCCCCACAGCCTCACCAACACCTGATAATATCAGCTTTAATTTTTGCCACTCTGGAGGATGGGATATAGAATATGTGTGTGTGTGTGTGTGTGTGTGTGTGTGTGTGTGTGTGTGTGTGTATTTAACTCCCCAAAAGGAAACAGCATGAGACAGGCCCAATAACAGGCCAAGGAATCCTATAGCAGCAGACCAGATATTGTGCTCCTCGACCCAACCAGTAAATGTTGTAAATGTTTATCTTTGGGGAGAGAAGGGGAAGGGCCCACCCAGCTTCTGTTCTTCTTTCCCTTGGTAACTTACCATCTATGAGTTAGTGAGATGGAGACATCCTAACCATTAATCCAGGGAAAGGGAGGAATCTAAGCCATCAGCAAGGGAGTTAGTGCTTTTCATCAAATTTGAGACACCTGTGACATCACATTTTAGCATCTCTGAAATGTGATCAATTGCATGTCATAATTTAACTGGCAAAATATTTTTTTGATGTGGAGCATAAAATAAGGGCACATAAAAGATTTGGTGGTGCTGTGGTTTGAACATGTCCCCCAAAAGTTCACGTGTTGGAAACGTAATTGCCAATGTAACGGTATTAAGAGGTGGGGTCTTTAAGACGTGACTGGGTCATGAGGGTGTAACTCTCATGAATGGATTAATGCCTTTCTTGCAAGAGTCCATTGGCCAGAACCGTGAGCTGAATAAACATCTGTTGTTTACAATTTACCCAGTCTGTGGTATTCTGTTACAGCAACAGAAAATGGATTAAGACAAATAGCATCTTAGATTTGGTGAGATGTGGCATATTTCCTAAAAAGTGCTGCCAGGATCATCCTTCTAGCACACAGGATCTCATCCTTGTTATTCTCCTGCTTCAAATCTCCTAGCTGAGGCTGGGTTTGGTGCCTCATGCCTATAATCCTAGCACTGTGGGAGGCTGAGGCAGGAGGATCCCTTGAATCCAGGGGTTCAAGACTAGCCTGGCCAACATAGGGAGAGACTGTCTCTAAAATAAAATAAATAAATAAAAATAAAAATAAAAATAAAAACAAACACACCAAAAAAACTCCTACTAGCTGAGGTCAAAACTGCACAGGTGGCCGGGCACGGTGCCTCACGCCTGTAATCCCAGCACTTTGGGAGGCCGAGGTGGGCAGATCATGAGGTCAAGAGATCGAGACCATCCTGGCCAACATGGTGAAACCCAGCCTCTACTAAAAATACAAAAATTAGCCGGGCATGGTGGCACGCGCCTGTAGTCCTAGCTACTCGGGAGGCTGAGGCAGGAGAATCGCTTGAACCCAGGAGGCGGAGGTTGCAGTGAGCTGAGATCACGCCACTGCACTCCAGCCTGGGTGACAGAGCGAGACTCTGACTCAAAACAAAAAAAAAAAACTGCACAGACATCCTCCCCTGCCCTGCATCCGGCTAGCCCCAACTTACCCATCCAGCCCCAAATCCCTCCTCGTCCTACCTAATTCTCTGGCCATTAGATACACTGAACCAGGAAGACAGCCCCTTCTTCACTCCCCACTCTCCACCCATTCCCTTGTACATGCTCTTCTCTCCAGTCCAGCGCATCCTTGAAGGCTTGAATACAATTTGTCCCCTTATCTGTGAGGTGTTTCCTGTACCCATCCCACCTCTGAGTTGAATGTATCCCTCCTCCTGCAGCTTTGCATACACTGTATTTCTACAATAGCACTATCACAGTGCTTCATACAGTAGCACCCCCCATCCGCTAAAGATACATTCATACAGGAGTCCCCTCAATCCTCAGGAGATGCATTCCAAAACCCCCAGTGGATGTCTGAAACCTGTTTCTCCTACACATACACACTTGTAATAAAGTTTATAAAGTAGGCACAGAAATAGATTAACAATAATAACACAACAGAATAACAATATACCGTAATAAAAGTTATATGCATGTGGTCTCTCTCTCTCTCAAACTATCTTGTACTGTACTTACCCTTCTTGTGATGAAGGAACAGTGGGAGGGCAAGAGATTTCATCATGCTACTCAGAACAATGCACATCTAAAACTTATGAATTGTTTACTTCTGGAATTTTCTGTTTACTGTCTTTGGGCTGAGGTTGACCATGGGTAACGGAAACCACGGAAAACTAAGCTATGGATAAGTGGCTGTAATTGATATTTTTATCTGTCTTCTCTCCCACCAGAATGTGAACCCAAAGGTCATGCCTCACTGACCTTTTTATCTCCAATATCTGGCACAAAGTAGGGGGTCTGCAAATGTTTGTGAAATGAATGACCTCCTCTAATTCCAGAGCCCTGCCATCTCCATTCTTCCCCCTTTCACTACACACCCCCCTTTCCCACATTAAAATTCTGCTTCAGCAGCAGGCTTCCAGGGCTCTCTTTAGATTAGACATTCTTGCCCACACACATTACCTAGATATCTCTTGGCCTCCCTCCACACACACACAATTTTGGGGGGAAGAACAAAATTCCATTTCTATAAAGCTGGCAAAATCTAATTCATCCTGATGCCAGCCAATTTATGTTTTTGTCTTCTCAAACCAATTTCCCATTCTCTGTGTCTTTTCTATTCTGATCCTGGGGGGGTCCAAGTCTGAAGTCATTCCAAGAAGCCTCAATACAGACCATGGACTCTCTTCGGGGGTTTGCAGTGTCTTCTGTGGTGGTCACACACAATCTGAGTCCAACCTGTTACTCCCCTGCAGGAAGTGATATCTAAGAAGTCACCCACTGCCTTAGGCCTTCAGTCTCCTTACCTCTTAACAAGGGGAAAATATTTTGCCAAGTTTACCAGGCTATTTGAGGTTGAGGCAAGGTCACATAAGTACGAGTGTCTCATTAGCAAAAAGCTCTATAAAAATACTATGAAAGAGCACAGGAGCCAATGTGAAAAGAGCTCCCAACAGCCAAAGCCACAGTAATTTGAGCAACAAAATTAAGTAGTATTGGATTATAAACCAAAGTATAAAATAAATGTCCCTGAGTCTACACTGAAATTAATGATTGAATAAATTAATAAATTGGGGGAAGAGAGAAACAAATCTTCCATGCAGAATAACTGCAAACAATAATATGTAGATACTTGCCCTCAAGAAGGGGGAATATAACTCTTGGCTCCCTAGGTATGGGCTGCACTTAGTGACTTCCTTCTAAAGAGGACAATACACGCAAAGAGTGGAAAAGAGACTAACTGTACAGTGGAGAAACCTGAAAAACACTATCTCACCCAAATCAATATTAAGTCATAAATCATGTTAGTACATGCCCTTGATACGATGGGATGATAATGGCAATCTACCTCTGTGGTCTTCCTCCCAGTTACCCATAAGCCCAGTCTTAGGAGAAAAACATCAAATTCCAATAGAGGGGCATCCTACAACATACACGACCAGTATTCTTCAATGCTGTCAAGGTCATCAAAACAAGTCTGAGAAACTCCCACAGCCAAGAGGAGCATAAGGAGACATGACAACTAAATGTAATGTGGTAACCTCCATGGGATCATGAAACAGAAAAAGTACTGAGGTAAAAACTAAGGAAATCTGAACACACTATGGACTTTGGTCAATAATAATGTATTGATATTGGTTAACTGCAACAAATGTACCACACTGAGGTAAGATGTTAATAACAGGGGATCCGGTTTGGAGCATGTGGGAAGTTTGTACTATCTTCTCAATTCTTCTGTAAATCTAAAAGTGTTGTAAGAAATAAAGTCTACTTAAACAATAAAATTGCAATTTTTGAAACATAAAAAGCCTATTTTTTTTAAAGGTGATTTTTTTGAACTTGGGGAAAAACATGTTAGGGATTATGATTTCAGCTAAGAGTTAAAAACAGGAGGTTAAGGCATGCATAAACGAATGTCATTCTCCCCTCTTTTGAAGTACACACAAATCGTGGGTCAAAATTTGAAATCTACTGGAGATTTGGAAGTGTGTCCCTCCCATTTACTCCACAGAGTTAAATTTACACTTTTTTTCTAAGGCCAAATAGGGAGAAAATCAGTAAGAAAAATGCTAATGAGCTGGAAGGAGTGAAAGCACAGCTCCAAGTATTTGTGGCTAAACCGGTTTACTCCGAACAAAAAAAAAAAAAAAAAAAAGAAAGAGAAAGAAAGCATGACACTTTGGTCAGGGAGCTGGATTAGTCGCCTATCTACCAGGCTCCAAGCAACCGGACGGTCATCCAGGCCCCGCTTACTTCTGGTTCCGCAGACTAGAATGGATGGGAGTCTGAGTAGGATACCAGAAAGCGAGAAAGACCCAAGAGGAGGGGGAGAATGTAAGGACAAGCAAACAGGAGGGATCTGGCTGGCAGGGAGGACGCAGCGAACTTGACCCCCTCCTGAGCCCGCCCGGGGGCCTGGCCCCGTTTTGAACCCGGGCCCGGCGGCTGCGTTGGGTCGCCCCAAACCCGGTGAGCGTACGAGACTGTTGCTTCGCTGTATGTCTCATGTGCACCCCCTACTCACCGGTCCCGAGCTCCGGGCCGCGAATCCCGGCCGGCACCCCTCCTCTCTCACGGCGGTCTGTTCCGGGTCCCGCTCCTGCACGAGCAACCAGCGCGACAGCTCGTCCCCGCCCCGTAATCTCCCGGCTATTCGGGGCCCTTCGCCGAGATTTCTCCCGGACCAGCCCCGGGATTGGCTCCTGCCGAACTTCGCCATCCAATGGGAACCTTAGTCTCTTTTACGTCACTGATCACCGGGCAAATCCCCAGACAGCCGCGGGCGGTGGGGCACCAGGGGCAGCGAAATGGAAACTGAAATCAGGCGGGACCGAGGCTGCGCCAAGAGCCGCAGCCTGAGTTTGGCGCGTAATTGGGGTGGCCTGTTACACGGTCTAAGGGAGTAAATGCTAAGGCTTAGGAGTCACCTACGTAGGACTCTTGAGAGGGCAATAATCCCCTTTCCACCTCTCGAGACCCCTCACTGCCCAACTCTGGCCTTATGCTGGATCAGGGTCCGAGGGCGCTTTGAGGCGAAGGTGGCGCTCGCCAGGTGCTCAACATCAAATACGAAGTCCCCGCCCCTAACGTGGCCTAAATTTGCTTCCAGGACAAAGCAGGATTTTAGCAAGCAAATACTCTCAGAGACCTATTTACGAAAATTATTACTTCCTAGGTAAAATAACGTTCAACCAGACAGCCATTGTCGCCATTCGACGGAAGGAAAAACTGAGGTTCCAGGAGCTTAAGGGTCTGGGCCCAGTTCAGGGGGGTTGTTTTCGCTCCTCGACGCTGAATTTAGAAACCAGAGGCTACAAAGCGGGCCGAGACTTGGGTTCCCCAGGTCCTTGGTGGGGAGGTTTCCAGGAGGCTCGGGCGCGCCCCCGTCCACGGCCCCGGAAGCTGACGTCGCCGAAGCGTACGCCGCTGCCCAGCCTGCGCTCTCTTCCTGCTCTGCCTGCAGCCGCCGCGTCCGGTCCAGCCGCAGGGCCATGCCCTGTGCTGCGGTTGCCGTGTCCCAGGCGCCGCCGCGTCAAGATCCCCGTCTTTCCCGGCCAGCCAGGCGGCAGCGGCATTCAGCTCGTGCACTGGGCTGGCAGCAGGCTGAGAAGAGGCGGCGCAGGTTCTCCGGGTCAGCCAGTGCCCTGCTCCTAAGGGTAGAGATCTAGCTGGGGACACTGGTCGTCCGCCTAGGCAGTGGTGAGAGGGTGGGCTACAGTTGTTTGGGTATTCATGAATGGAGGAGCTCAGGGTCCTAGACCCTAAAACCTGCTGAATCTTCACCCCTCCTCCGCTGGGGGTAGGGAAATTTGCACTGCATTTAAGCAATGTATAGTGGAGTGGGTGGGACATTCAGAAGAAACCACGCCCACATTTAACACCCGCGTCCTTCCCTTCTACCCCAGCCCAGCATTTTGTCTTTTTCCCCTTTGTCCAGCAGTATAACTCACGCTGCCCCTCCGGGCTGAGAGGAGTGTAGACCTCACCTGCTGAGCACAACTCTGGCGGGCCTGTGCTCTGGAGGTGGTCTCAGCACCTACCTAGACCCTCTTGATACCTGCTTTTTTAGTTGGTGGTGTGGGAAGAAAGTGTGTTTAACATGCTCCTTAAATAATGCTCTGCCGCCGAGCGCGGTGGCTCACGCCTGTAATCTCAGCACTTTGGGAGGCCGAGGTGGGCGGATCACGAGGTCAAGAGATCGAGACCATCCTGGCCAACATGGTGAAACCCCGTCTCTACTAAAAATACAAAAATTAGCCGGGCGTGGTGGCGCGCACCTGTAGTCCCAGCTACTCAGGAGGCTGAGGCAAGAGAATCGCTTGAACCCGGGAGGCGGAGGTTGCAGTGAGCCGAGATCGCCCCACTGCACTCCAGCCTGGGGACGGAGCGAGACTCCGTCTCAAAAAATAATAATAAAATAAAAAATAATGCTGTGCCACTAAGCGTTTTCTCCCTGTCCTGAGGTCTTTGGCCTATTCACAGACCATTCTGGGCAGACTCCAGCCACAAATCCACCACCCCACTTAAAATTCTCTATCCTCTCAGCACACTTAGAGGGGCATGGAAGACTCTTGCAGGGGCTGGGGCTCCTGACATGACAGCTCTGCTTAACTCTCTGACCTCCCTCATGCCACTTCTCCCTCGGTCCCTGTGCTTTCACCTTACACCTGGTCTTGAAACTCCCTGCCCCAGCCCCTTGCATGGCTGCCCGCTTCTTGTCAGTCATGTCTACATCTCAGAAAGGTCTTCCTCCCTCACCCAGTTGAAACCAGTTCCCCATCATGCATTATTCTGTTTCCCTTTCTTCATGCATTTGTTGCCATTTGAAAGCACCTTGTTCATTTCTTTGTCAATGTGTTTATTTTCGATCTTCCTCCCCCTCAGTGTACGCCCCAAGAGAGTTGAGACAACACCTGTCTTCCATGCACATGGCTTCCATGTAAATAAATGTTTGTTAAATGAAATGAGCTCAGTGTGGGCATTTCTTTTTCTTTTTGTAAAAAAATTTTATTATTATTACACTTTAAGTTTTAGGGTACATGTTCACAACGTGCAGGTTTGTTATCATTTAGCATTAGGTATATCTCTCCTAAAGCTATCCCTCCCCCCTCCCCCCACCCCACAACAGCCCCTGGTGTGTGATGTTCCCCTTCTTGTGTCCATGTGTTCTCATTGTTCAATTCCCCAGTGTGGGCATTTCTAAAGCTGCCTGGCCCTGCTTGGCTGGGTATCAGTCATGCACTGAGTCCCTCTCCCACCACACTACATCTTGATTGATACAGCTTCTCAAGTCCAAGTAAGGGTAACAGAAATGGATGCTGGGAACACAATTTCTGCTTTGTGTTGGAGGAGACAGCTTTGGAGCAGCTTTGTAGCTTTGTGCCCCTCTACAGCTTCCTGCTTCATTTAAGGTTCTGAAGCAGAGTTGAAATTCCTTCCTCCAGCTCTCCATTTCTGTGGTCATACCAGATGGAGGCCAAGGCAGCATATGGGGCTGGGTAAGAGTTCTGCGTTGAATTCTCCAGTCTGCCACATTCTGTGAGGCTTTGGGGCAGCTGCTCAACCTCTGTGTGCCACAGGTTCTTCTTCTGTAACATGGAAGTAGCTAGATCTGCTTCGTACGGTTATTATGAGGCTTAAATGTAAAGCTTTGAAATAGTGAATCAGTGCTGACTAGGCCAAAGGGTATGGTATAATTATTTGCATTTGAAATAAATATCTTAAATGGAGCAAGAAGATTTAGTAGGTATATTCCTTGAGCAGCTCTGGTTTAACCTCAGGAGGAACTAAAGGCCGCTGTCTAAAAATGAGTTTGTATATGACAGGGTACAGGAAATGCCACCCCAAAATATGGCACCTTGGAAATTGAGAAAATAGCAGAAACAGGAAGGTTTCTCTGACCTCTTGCTCCTTTCTGCCCTGAAGCAGGCCATAGAAACTAGAGTTCCCCTCGCCCCTTCTTCCCTGAAGCAGGCCACAAAATCTAGGAAGGTCACTCTCTGACCTGCTCCCTCCTTCTCCCTCCTTCATCTGAGGCCCCTTATATAACAGGCATCCTCTCCTATGCCCTGAGGGAGGGACTGCCACACAGGTATGCCAAGAAGAAACTGAATAGACAGGCCTTTCCAACTTCTCAGTTTATCACCGTTAGCTCATACACTTTTGTCCTTGCAATCATACATCTGCCTGACTGTCTATACAACTACACAAATGTCCCCATTTCTTTGGGTTTTCGTTTCTGAAAGTTCCCATGTCATGTAAAACTTGGATAAAATAAATGTGCATGCTTTTCTCTTGTTAGTCTGTTTTTTGTTATTGAAGTCTCAGCATAAACCTTGTGATGGGTAAGGAAAATATATTAGTTTTTTTCCCCTAAGTTTAGTATAAACATATTGAGCTAAATCATACCATTCAGAATCTCAGGATTTTAAGAATACTAGAGTGCTTGGAAAGAGGCCTCCAAACAAAAAACAAACAAACAAACAAACAAAAACTTGAAAACATGAAACTCCCATTGGTAAAGATGCAAAGAATCTGTTTGAATCTTTTGTGTGAAGGATACCTTGGTATTAGGGCCAGAATGAATAAATGAATATCTGTAAAGGAAAAGGTAAAAGTTACATCAATGAAACAATTTTAAGCCAACATTTCTGTTTTCTGGTAGAGGCATAAGCTAATAAATAATTTTGTGCTACTAAAATCTGCCTGCTTTTGTGCTAAGAACTGGCTGCAGGATAAAAAATAACAGGTTTAACTGTCCTTTTTAAAAGGAAAAAAAGGCATTTTGAATGCTAATAGCATTAACTACTGGGTTTTGAACAGAAAGCGTAGGCTGAACCAATCTCTTATATGACTTGGGATGTCATTTAAAATACTTTGTATTCCAAATTTGGTGACTTTTAAATGTCTATTAGCTCAAAAGTTAGTGAAAATATATTGTATAATATATAATGACAAATTCAACTTAAAAAAAATTTTTTTTTTTTTTTTGAAACAGGGTCTCACTCTGTCACCCAGGCTAGAGTGCAATGGTGCAATCATGGCTCACTACAGCCTCGACCTCCTGAGCTAATGCAATTCTCCCACCTCAGCCTCCTGAGTAGCTGGGACAGATGTGTGCCACCATGCCCGGCTAATTTTTGTATTTTTTGTACAGACAAGGTCTGGCCATGTTGCCCAGGCTGGTCTCAAACTTCTGGACCCAAGCAATCCTCCTGCCTTGGCCTCCCAAAGTGCTGGGATTACAGGCTTGATACAACGCGCCCGGCCGACACTGTAGCATTTTCTAATAGGCCTACGTAAAAATTATCTAATTCTCTAGGGTAGTTTAACTTTGATTTAGTATTTTAGGGTATTTAGAGTACTCCTTAGGGGTAGACATTAACTTGTAGAAAAGTGATATCAATGGAAATGATTCTTGGTCAATAGCAATGTCAATGAATTTTGTTCAGTGGAGGTATAGAAGATGTATGTCCAGTGTATGTATATTCAATCTTCCAAATTCTCTTTGAACTAGTTCTTTTTTTACTAGTCTCTTGTTAGTACATCTTTGATACATGCTCACTTTTTCTTTGTATAGGATACTGTCATTGACTTTTAAAAATTATATTTTGGCAATACATTGCATTTTATTATTATGTCTCTTAATCTTATTATAACAATCTACCCTTCCCTTATTTTCATTCCATTAATTTGCTGGAGAAGCCAGTTCATTTATCCCATAGAATGTTCCCAGTACTGGATTTGGTTGATTGCTTCCTCATGGTATCAATTAACTTGTTCCTCTATTTCCTGTGTATCTTAGATAAGATTCATAAGATAATAAAGGATGCTATGTAGTCATCTCTCATTCTAAGCAATCAAACATTTTCAATATCTTTCACCATATGTCCCTAACCCAGATACTACTAGTCCGTCTCTCTCTGCTATAGAGGTAAGCATCACTCTGCATTTCTGTGATAATCATTCCTTAGCTTTTATTTTTATTTACTTAAAAGGCTTTATCAGATTTGGGGTTTTTGTTTGTTTGTTTTTGAGATGGAGTCTCGCTGTCATCCAGGCTGGAGTGCAGTGGTGCAATCTCGGGTCACTGCAACCTCTGCCTCCTGGGTTCAAGTGATTCTCCTGCCTCAGTCTCCTGAGTAGCTAAGATTACAGGTGCCCGCCGCTATGCCAGGCTAATTTTTGTATTTTTAGTAGAAACGGGGTTTCACAATGTTGGACCAGGCTGGTCTCAAACTCCTGACCTCAGGTGACTCGCCTGTTTCGGCCTCCCAAAGTGCTGGGATTGCAGGCGTAAGCCACCACTCCCGGCTGGGTTCAATTTTTTAAGGAGAATACTTCAAAAGCAGTGCTGTGTACCTATGGTATCACATTTAGAGGTATATGATCTCATCCCACTATTAGTGATGGTAGATTTGATGGAAGATTCAGGTATTGTCAGCCTGATCCCTCCATTCCCCAGTTTGTGAGTTATGGATTTACTGCCTCTCAGCTCCAAAAATGATCCTGAATCTTTTAATTATGTTTTCTTTGCCATCTGGCCCTGAAGCTTTGTCAGTAGAGGGCACTGGAGAGTCATTGCAGGGAAAAACGATTTTGCTTCCTGGTTCTGGTGTGCTGTTTGCCAGGTTCCTGCAGTGAGTGCATGGTTTAGCAGCACCTGCTCCTGCAGCACCCAAAACTTACCTAGTGTCCAGTTACTTCAGTCACAGTCAGCAACACCCAGCAGTGAGCAGCTTCCTTAGGCACCCCTCCTGAAGGGGTTTTATACTGGAGTGTCTCTGGTATGAACAGCTTTTGCCTGCACCCTAGAGAGTGGGTTTCCAGCAAGTTCTGCCATAGCAGAACCACCTTGATGTCTCTACTCTCCCTGAGAAGGCTAGATCCCATCCTCTCTTGTTTTCTCAAAAATGGACTAACCATCTATAAATATCTACTCTCCTGCTTCAGCAAATTTTTTTTACCGTTTCACTGAATTATTCTCATGAGCATACAAACATGTTATAATATATCGCTTTAAAAACCAAAACAAGACAAACTCCTTGATACCATAAGTTTTTTTGTTTTTGTTTTTGTTTTGTAGAGTTTTGCTCTTGTTACCCAGGCTGGAAAGCAATGGCACGATCTCAGCTCACTGCAACCTCCGCCTCTGGGTTTCAAGTGATTCTCCTGCTTCAGCCTCCCCAGTAGCTGGGATTGCAGGCGCCCCCCACCACCACTCCCGGCTAATTTTGTATTTTTAGTAGAGACGGGGTTTCACCATGTTGGCCAGGCTGGTCTTGAACTCCTGTCCTCAGGTGATCCACCACCCCCCTCCCCGCCCCACCCCGGCCTCCCAAAGTGCTGGGATTACAGGCGTGAGCCACTGCGCCTGGCCAGTAACATAAGTTTTTAAAAGGTTTTTGCTTCAGGTACTCTCCTATTTTCCTGCTCCACATTTACAGCAAAATTAGAAAATATTGTCTGTACCTGCCCTCTGTTTCCTTTTCTCTCCTTCTTTAATCAAAAACTGTGAAATATATATTCAAAAGTGTACATATAATCCATATACACATTTTAAAGTATTGATGAGATAATAAAGGATGTTATGTAATCATCGGTCACTCTAAGCAATCGAATATTTCCAATATCTTTTATTACGTGCTCCTAACCAATAGATCACTCTCCCTCTCTCTTTGCTAGAGCTGCATTTTTTTGTGATAATCATTCCCTAGCTTTTATTTTTATTTTTATTTTTTGAGACAGAATCTCGCTCTGTCACCCAGGCTGGAGTGCAGTGGCGCAATCTCGGCTCACTGCAACCTCCGCCTCCTGGGTTCAAGCGATTCTCCTGCCTCAGCCTCCTGAGTAGCTGGGACTACAGGCACGTGCCACCACTCCCAGCAAATTTTTTTGTATTTTTAGTAGAGACAGGGTTTCACCGTGTTAGCCAGGATGGTCTCAATCTCCTGACTTCGTGATCCGCCCCATCAGCCTCCCAAAGTGCTGGGATTACAGGCGTGAGCCACCGCACCCAGCTTTTATTTTTATTTTTAAGAGATTAGGTTTCAGTCAGTCATCCAGGCTGGAGTGCAGTGGCACAATTATAGCTCACTGCAGCATGTGAACTCCCGAGCCCAAGGGATCTTCCCACCTCAGCTACAGGCTCATACCACCACACCTAGTGAGCTTTTCTTTTCGTTTGGTTTCACTTCTTTTTCTTTCCTTTTTTCTTTTTTTTTTTTTTTTTTTTGAGACAGAATTCCGCTCTTGTCACCCAGGCTGGAGTGCAATGGCGTGATCTCTGCTCACTGTAGCCTCCGTCTTCCAGGTTCAAACAATTCTCCTGCCTCAGCCTCCCAAGGTAGCTGGGATTACAGGTGCCCGCCACCACGCCCAGCTAATATTTTTGTATTTTTAGTTGAGACGGGGTTTCACCATGTTGGCCAGGCTAGTCTTGAACTCCTGACCTCAGGTGATCCACTTACCTCAGCCTCCCAAAGTGCTGGTATTACAGGTGTGAGCCACCGCGCCCGGTCCCAGTGAACTTTTCTTCTTATTATTATTTTTGTAGAGATGGTGTCTAGCTATGTCGCCCAGGCTTGTCTCAAACTCCTGGCCTCAAGCAATCCTACTGCCTCAACCTCCCATAGTTCTAGGATTAAAGACAAGCCACCACACCGGCCATCCTAGCTTTTCTTTTTATTTATTTATTTATTTATTTATTTTTTATTTTTTAGTGTTTATTGATCATTCTTGGGTGTTTCTCGGAAAGGGGGATGTGGCAGGGTCATAGGATAATAGTGGAGAGAAGGTCAGCAGATAAACACGTGAACAAAGGTCTCTGGCTTTCCTAGGCAGAGGTCCCTGCAGCCTTCCACAGTGTTTGTGTCCCTGGGTACTTGAGATTAGGGAGTGGTGATGACTCTTAACGAGCATGCTGCCTTCAAGCATCTGTTTAACAGCACATCTTGCACCGACCTTAATCCATTTAACCCTGAGTGGACACAGCACATGTTTCAGAGAGCGCAGGGCCGGGGGTAAGGTTATAGATTAACAGCATCCCAAGGCAGAAGAATTTTTCTCAGTACAGAACAAAATGGAGTCTCCTGTGTCTACTTCTTTCTACACAGACATAGTAACAATCTGATCTCTCTTTCTTTTCCCCACATTTCCCCCTTTTCTTTTCCACAAAACTGCCATTGTCATCATGGCCCATTCTCGATGGTCGCTGTCTCTTCGGAGCTGTTGGGTACACCTCCCAGACGGGGCAGCCGGGCAGAGGCGCTCCTCACTTCCCAGACGGGGCGGGTGGGCAGAGGTGCTCCTCACATCCCAGACGATGGGCGGCCAGGCAGAGATGCTCCTCACTTCCCAGACGGGGCAGCTGCCAGGCAGAGGCGCTCCTCACTTCTCAGATGGGGCGGCTGGGCAGAGGCGCTCCTCAGTTCCCAGACGGAGTGGCGGCCGGGCAGAGGCGCTCCTCACATCCCAGACGGGGCGGCCGGGCAGAGGAGCTCCCCACTTCCTAGATGGGGTGGCAGCCAGGCAGAGGCTGTAATCTTAGCACTTTCGGAGGCCAAGGCAGGCGGCTGGGAGGTGGAGGTTGTAGCGAGCTGAGATCATGCCACTGCACTCCAGCCTGGGCAACATTGAGCACTGAGTGAGCGAGACTCCGTCTGCAATCCCAGCACCTCGGGAGGCCAAGGCGGGCAGATCACTCGAGGTCAAGAGCTGGAGACCAGCCCGGTCAACACGGCGAAACTCCGTCTCCACCAAAAATACAAAAACCAGTCAGGCATTGCAGCGCATGCCTGCAATCCCAGGCACTCGGCAGGTCAAGGCAGGAGAATCACGGGAGCCCAAGGCAGGGAGGTTGCAGCAAGCTGAGATCATGGCAGTACAGTCCAGCCTCTGCAACAGAGGGAGATCCAAGGGAAAGGGGGAGAGGGAGAGGGAGAGGCCAAGGCCTAGCTTTTCTTTATACTTCCTTGATACATGTATGTATCCCTAAACAGGATATTGTCTAGTTTTGCCTATTTTTAAACTTTGTATACGTGGAATTGTAATGTATGTGTTCTTCTGTGACTTGTCTTTATTTCTGAGATTCACCATCTTGATGCATATAGCTTTGGCTTGTTCATTTTCACTGCTGTGTGGTATTCCAAATTTGAAAGTCCCATGTTTTTTTCTTCTCCATTTTACTATTCTTAGAACTTGGTTTGTCTTCATAGTTTTGCTGTTATGACCAATGATGCTATGAACATTCTCATACATGTACCCTGGCACATACCTGCAAGACTTTTTAGAATATGTAACTAGTAATGAAATTTCTGAGTCTTAGAATGTGGTTGCAGTATATATAGTGTTACTTTGTGAGGGGAGACTATTTCCCAGGGGTTGTATAATCTACATTCCCTTTAGTGGCAGATGAAATTCCCATTAAACCACATCTGCAACTTCACTTGGAATTGTCAGACTTTTGACTTTTTGCCATTTTGATGTGTGTGAAATGTTATCGCATTTGGTTTTAATGTGCATTTTCCTAATTATTAATGAAGCTGAGCATTTTTCTTTTCTTTCTTTTTTCCTTTTTTTTTTTTTGGCCAGTTGTATTTCTCTTTCTGTATAGTGTCTTTTATGTTTTTTATACTTTCTTCTATTGGCTATTTTTAGTTTTCTTTTGGATTTGTTACCAAAATGCCAAGGGTTTGGTCTAGGTTGCTCACTGCACAGTAAGCCAATCACTGAGACAACAAGTATTGTGAGGGAAGAAGGCTTTATTCAGGTGTTGCAACCGAGGAGATTGGAGATCAGTCTTAACTCTGTCTCCTCTTTTCAACAGATTAAAATTAAGGGTTTATAGAGCAGGGAAGAAAGGTAACTACATATGGGAAAACAGGAATTAGGGAGGGGTAAGGAAGAGGAGTTGGTCAACAGGCAGCCTGGGGTCAGTTAGGCAGTCATGAAGGGTGAGGGGTCTGGTGTCTTAGCAGATGCAGTGAAAGGTAAGTTTCAGTTTCCTGATACTACCAGGGAGCCCTGATCATCAATTTCCTGAGAAAGGAACTCAGATAAGACAAATGTAAGTTTCTCAAGTTTTAAGACTTGTAGGGTAAATTTCTATGTTTATTAAAAGAAAAAAAACATAATCAGTCCTATGGGACAAATGGGTTGGTTTCAGATTTATGGGAAATATTTGTTTTTTGTATATTCTGGACACTAATTCCTTGTTGGTTATATGTGTTACAAACATCTTCTTGGAGTTTCTGGCTTGTTGTTTCTCTCTCTTTATGTCATCTTTTGAGAAGAGAGAAGCATTTGTTTTTTCATTCTAAAGTAGCTAAACGTATCAATCTTTATGTTTTGGACTCTTGGTCTAGTTTAATAAGTCCTACCTTGTCTTGAGATTACAAAGATAATCTATATTATTGACTAAATATTTTTCAGTTTAGCTGCTATAGACTGAATGCTTGTGTCCCTCCTAAAATTCACATGTTAAAACCTAATCCTCAGTGTGATGGTATTTGGAGGTGGGGCCTTTGGGAGGTGATTAGGTCATGAGATCAGAGCACTACTGAATGGGATTTGTGCCCTTATGACAGAGACCCCAAAGAGCTCCCTTGTCTCTTCCACCATGTGAAGACACAATGAGAAGTTAGCAGTCTGCAACCCAGAAGAGAACATTCATCTGAAACTGACTGTGCACCCTGAGCTCAGACTTCCCCTACCTCTAGAACTATGAGAAATAAGTGGTTGTTATTTAAGCCACCCAGTCTATGGTATTTTTGTCATAGAGGCCTGAACAACTGAGACATTTGCCTTTCATATGTAAATCTTTATATATCTGGAATTAATTTTTGTGTTTAGAGCAAAATATATATTTGTTTCCCCTTTTTTCCATATGGTTAACTAATTATCTCAGTGTCATCTAATGCACAGCCTCTAATTTTCCCCACTGTTTTACACTGCAAGCTCTGTCATATGTTATATATCCATCCATGCCTTCACCAATACTCATTGAGCATCTACTTTATGCTAAGTGCTCTTCTGGGTCCTGGGAATAAAGCAGTGACAAAACAGACAAAAATCCCAGTGGAGCTTGTGTTCTGTTGGAGGAAGGCAAACCACGAACAAAGTAATAAAAAATTTGTAATACTCCGGATGCAGTGGCTCACACTTGTAATCCCAGCACTTTGGGAGGCCGAGGCGGGTGGATCACGAGGTCAGGAGATCAAGACCATCCTGGCTAACATGGTGAAACCCTGTCTCTACTAAAAATACAAAAAATTGGCTGAGCGTGGTGGCACACACTTGTAGTCCCAGGTACTTGGGAGGCTGAGGCAGGAGAATCGCTTGAACCTGGGAGGCAGAGGTTGCAGTGAGCCAAGATCCTGCCACTGCACTCCAGCCTGGGCGACAGAGCAAGATTCAGTCTCAAAAAAAAAAAAAATTTGTAATATTAGATGGTGGTAGGTACTATGAATTAACACAAACCAAGAAGGGGAACAGGGAGTGGGGAGAAAATATTACAATTTTAAATAGGGAGGTTAGAGAAGTCCTTACAGAGAAAGTGATATTTCAGCAAATGCCTGAAAGAGGTTAGAGAGCCAGCTTTGAGAATATCTGAGAGAAATGTGTTCTAGGCAACGGGAAGAGTCTGCACAAAGGCCTTGAGGCAGAAGCATGCCTAGCAAGTATAAGGAGCAGTAGGGATGCCAGTGTGTCTGGACCAGAGTGAAGGAGGGGTGAAGTGCAGGACATGAGGTCATCAGGTGAAGTGCAGGACATTAGCTCAACAGAAGTGAGCGGGTCCAGGCTGGGTAGGACCATGTGGCCCATTCTAAGGACTTTGATTCTACTTTGAGTGAGATGGATGGCACTAAAAGGACAAAGGACTGATAGGCTCTGACTATAGGCTTTAACTCATGTTTTAATTTCTCTGGCTCCTCTGTTGAAAATAGAACCAAGGAAACAAGAATGGAGGTAGCAACATCTGTCAGAAGGCCATTGAAATAAACTAGGCAAGTGATGATGGGGGTTGTGGGAAATAGTCAAGTTCAGAATACATTTGAAGATAGAATTAACACAATTAGGTATGGTGTGATAGGAACAATAGAGACAAGGATTATGCCCAGGTGTTTGGCTTAAGCAACTGGAAGGATGCTGAGATGGGAAAGACTTGATAGAGGGTAGGGGCGTGGGCAGGGACAGACCAGGGGAGAGGATTTGGATCTGATTTTGGATATGCTAATTTTGAGATGTCTATTAGACATGCAAAATGTAGACCAGACTCTCGACTCATTTAAACTACTATTAGTGGCTAGCCTTTTCTCTTACCTTCCAGATTTCTGGGCAACACTCCACTCTTCCTGATGCACACTCTTGCGTTGCAGCCTGGGACTCTACATTTCAAGCAAGATATTCTTACACATAACAAAGCTTGAAAAGCATTGCTTTAAGCTTTCCTTTGTCTCTCCAAGTACCTCCAAATGTGTATTTAATGCTTTTATAATCAGAAAAGTGTTACAAAATCAAATACCCAAAAAAAATTCCCTATTTTCACAGCATACCATACAACTACTTTCTACAGAGTTTCCAACATTTTGCAGTAAAATCATTGTTCACAATTTTTTTGGGTCACAGTTTTTGGCAAATGAAGCATGGTATAGGATGCCTGGGACTGTGGAGTTTCCCAGGACACAGGACTTTCCACGCAAAACCAGAAAGGTTCCGGACAAACCAAGAAGAGTTCTTCACCCCAGACGTGTGAAACCAGTGGCAAAGTGCCTGCTTTAGGGAAGGCAGCATGGGACAGTGAATCAGAGTGGACACTGAACCTGGGTCCATTTGTGGAAGGTGGTCCTGTTACAGGAAAGAGGTCCCAATCCAGACCCCAAGAGAGGGTTCTTGGATCTCGTGCAAGAAAGAATTCAGGGCAAGTCTGCTGGAGTGCACAGCAAAAGCAAGTTCAGTGGTGAAAGAAGAGCTAACCCATAGACAGAGTAGGGCATTCCAGAAAGTAAGAGGAGGAACGCGTCCACCCTAGGTACAATGCTTATATATATATCTTTATATATATATCATATATATATATGATAAAAGAAGATCATGGGAAGATGTGCTCTGCTACAAGAGTTTGTGATAAAGGATTAATTTCCTTAATTACTATGTTTTGCAAGAATCAATATTATTATCTTTAAAGCAAAATTAGAAGTGCCTTTGTTCTCCAGGTGTCAGGATTATCTGGACATTGCTAAATCTGGGTCAGTTTAGTAAACTTTTTTTTTTTTGAGACAGAGTCTCCCTCTGTTGCCCAGGCCAGAGTGCAATGGCACAATCTTGGCTCACTGCAACCTCCGCCTCCTGGGTTCAAGCGATTCTTCTGCCTCCATTTCCCGAGTAGTCGGGACAGGCACATGTCACCACACCCAGCTAATTTTTGTATTTTTAGTAGAGACGGGTTTCACAATATTGGCCAGGCAGGTCTCGAACTCCTGACCTTGTGATCCACCCACCTCGGCCTCCTGAAGTGCTGGGATTACAGGTGTGAGCCACCTTTCCTGGCCTAGTAAATATTATTAATCTATTCCCTTAACCATAAATGTCTAGAGGCTAGGAATACCTATATTTCTGGAAATGCACCCCGCCAAGTTGCAGCCTCATTTTCCTAGCTCTCACTCAAAATGGCGTCGCTCTGGTTGGAATGCCTCTGACAGTCTTTATGAATGATAAAAGAGTGTAGTCAATCATAAAGCTCTGACTCACTCCCAGTTTGCCCTTTCCTTCCTAGAGAATGTCTTTCAGGCTCTTCCTCCCCTCAGAAGCTTTCAACATCCACTCCATTCCCCTAAACTGGGGACCGAGGACATTGCAGCTTCTTTGGTGCTTCTAGGGACCAGAACATAGCTTCTTTTAGTTATGGATTAGGTTTTTATTGCTGCTGTAACAAATTACCACAAACTTAGCTGTTTAAACAACACGAATGTATTCTCTTACACTTCTGCAATGTCGTTGGTGGGCCAGATTCAGATTCTGGGCCACACAAAAGAATTTGAGAGTGAGTCCAAAATAAGACTAGGCAAAGGAGTTTATTGCAAAGTGAAAGTACACTCTGAGAGGCAGAGTGGGCTGCTCAAAGCTAGCTCAAAGCTAGAGGCAGTAGTTAGTGCCTTAAGGGGAATTTCCTTTGTGGAAACTGTACATACATATTAATAAAATACTGGTGAGATCAAGTAAGCAAAGGCAGACCTGTGGTTAGCACATGAGCTACTTGGTCTAACACGCATCCCATGTATCATTAGCGTATAAAATCCCCACGTGGTGGTGTGTTTTTTGCTATTACAATGAGGAAAAGGTCACCATAAGCTAAACCTTGAGCCTAGCTGTGTATGCAAGACCCTGGAGAATTTCCCAGTCACACCTCCACCCACCCCAACCAAGGCAGGAATTTGTAGCTAATAGCTTCTTGGGCTTTTGGTGCTGATTGGCTGGAGATGGGTAGCTACATCATGAACAAAGGGCTTTCGTTCTCTTTCCCAGGCTGTATAGGGTATCAAGAACTTGTAACCACCTGGCAGAATCCTGCAGGACTGCTTGTCTTGCAAAAGACTTCAGTGCTGATGCAGGAGGGTGCAAGTGAAAAGAATTCACTGTAAAAGGAGCCGTGGGGCTTCACACATGGGACAAGTTAGTATGGCCTCCTAACCTTACTTATCTTGCCTCAGTAGGTCAGAGGTCTGAAACAAGTCTCAATGGGCTAAAATCAAGTTGTCAGTGTGGTTGCATCTCTTTTTGAAGGCTTTAGGGGAAAATTTGTTTCTGTTCATTCTGGTTGCTTGCAGAACTCAATTCCTTGTAGTTGGAGGACTAGGTTCCTGTCTTTTTACTGGCTTTAAACAGAGCTGTTAACAGCTCAAAGGGCTGTAGAATTCCTTGGCTCATAGCCTCTTTTCTCTGTATTCAAATCCAACAACAGTTGGTTATGTCCATCTCATGTCCTATCTCTCTGAGCTACATTCTGCTTCTTCTTCTTTCCACTTTTATTAAAGATTGGTGTGATTAGATTGGACCTCATACGGCCTAATAACCTCCCTTTTTACAAAGTCAACTGATTAGCAACCTTAATTCTCTTTTGCCATATAACATAATATAGTCAGGTTCTAGGGATTAGGACATGGACATCTTGGGGATAGGGACATTCTTCTGCCTTCTACAAGTTATATGGGATATATTGAACCTCTAATATGTGCCAGGTGCTATCATAGGTTCTGGTGATACAGTAATGAACCAAACAAAGGCCCCAACCTTCATGAGTTTATGTCTCAGTGAAATCCCATATGCAATACTATGAATGTATCTCTTTATTTTTTAGTACACCTTAAAAATAGCTTTATTGAGTCCAACTGATATTCAATAAACTGCACATATTTATGTTTTTCATGCTCTCTCAAGATGTGGAACAAAAAAATAGCACACATATTTTTGTACCTGCCTGGTAAAAATTCCCAAAGCTTTGCTTAATTCTATTCAGGTTGTTGAACAAAATTTACATTAGCAACAAATACCAGGGAATGAAAATAATGCACTTTTGTTGATAAAGTAACAGATTTTGCCTGGTTGTCTTTGGAGCCGTCATGCTCTGTGTGTGTTTCTGCTTCCAGATTTCTTTTTTTTTCTCTCCAACTTTTATTTTAGGTTCAGGGGTACATATGCAGGTTTGTTACATGAATAAATTGTGTGTCACAGGGGTTTGTTGTACAGATTATTTCATCACCCAGGTAATAAGCGTAGTACCTGATGGGTAGTTTTTTGATCCTCACCCTCCTTCCACCCTCCATCCTCAAATAGACCTCAATGTCTATTGTTCCCTTCTTGGTGTCCTTGTATACTCAATGTTTAGCTCCCACTTATAAGTGAGAACATGTGATGTTTGGTTTTCTGTTCCTACATTAATTTACTTAGGATAATGGCCCTCCAGTTCCATCCATATTGCTGCAAAGGACACGATCTCATTCTTTTTTATGGCTGCATAGTATTCCATGGTGTATATGTACTACATTTTCTTTATTCAGTCTACAGTTGATGGGCAGTTAAGTTGGTTCCACGTCTTCACTATCGTAACTAGTAAACTGCATGTATTTAAAGTATATAATCTGATGAGTTTTGACATAGGAATCCACCTGTGAAATCATCACCACAATTAAAATAATGAATATATCTGTCACCCCCCATAGCTTTTCCCTGCTCCTTTGAATTCAACCCATCCTATAATCCATCCCCAGGCAAATACTGGTCTGCTTTCTGTCACTATAGGTTGGCTTCCTTTTTTAGAATTTTACATAAATGAACTCATAATATGTACTCTATTTTTGTCTAGATTCTTTCATCCAGCATAATTATTTTGTGATTAATCTATGTTGTTGAGTGTATAAATAGTCCATTCCTTTTTATTGCCATATAGTAGTTTATTGTATGGATGTACTACAATGTGTCTATTCATTCAAATGTTGATGGAAATTTAGATTGTTTCCAGTGTTGCCTGCTTCTTGTTGCATTTAGCAAAATATTATAAGAAAGTGCAAACTCAGGCAAGAAATGACCAGATTGCAAGCAGAGATTGAAGGAAATAGAGTCCAGAGATGTGAGTCTTTACAAGATTGAGAAATGCTTTTATATTTCAGATAACAGGAAATATGGCTTTAGTTGCTTGTGTTAGGCCAAATAATGACTGTCCCCCCACCAAAATGTCCACATTCTAGTCCCCAGAATCTGTGAATATGTTACCGTACATGGCAAAAGGGACTTTGCAAATGCAATTAAGGACCTTGAGATGAGGAGATCATCCTGAATTATTCCAGTGGGCCCAATTTAATCACATGAGTCATTAAAAGCAGAAGATCTTTCCCAGCTGCAGTAAGAGAGAGACATGTGATGATGGGACAAAGGGTCAGAGAGATGTGTTATATTGCTGATTTTGAAGGTGGAGAAACAGGGCCATAAGCCAAAGAATGCCAGCAACCTCTAGAAGCTGAAAAAGGCAAGAACACAGATTCTCCCTGTGAGCCTCTAGAAGTAATGTGGTCCTACTGATACCTTGATTTTAGCTTAGCGAAACTAGTGTTGGTTTTCTGACTTACAGAACTGTAAGATCATAAATTTCTATTATAAATATATAATATATATTATATTATCATAAATTTATATTTATAGATTATACATTTATATTTAAGCAACTAAGTTTGTGGTAATTTGTTAAATCAGTGATAAAAAACTAATACCTTCCTCTAAGCTTTTCCCAAAGGCCTTGTATTAAGGCAAACAGAAGGACAGACGCCTAAGGAAACAATTAGATTAAAGGAGTTTTCTTCCCACTCAAAGTTGTTACCATTAAATTAAGAGTGACATGAGTCATTCAACAGAGCTTAGAACAAAAGATTTCAGAATCAGACCTAGAAAAGAACTTTGGTTGTGGTCACTGATGCATGAAACAAATAAACAAGAAGCCCTTTTAGTTTTTGAAGAAATTGTATTCCCAAGGAAGCCATAAAGCCTAACATAAAAAAGCCTGTGGTTAAGCTTAAAATAACTCATAGGCCCTCAAATTGCAACCACAGAAGTCAGGCTGCAAAATCTGTACGGGGCAATCCTAAGAAATGAGTACTCCTCACTTCTTCTTATATTGGCTATGGTAGATAATGGAGAAGAAAGAATCTTCCAGAAAGCAAAGCCAGTGGTCAGGATGACAAACAAAGGAGTTCCTCCCACAGAGAGGACCAGTGATAGTCAGATGGACTAAGCTTGGAACTTACTCCATTGAGAGGGCAAGGATAATTTAGGATTCCTACCCAGTAAGATTTAATCATTGCTGTGGGCCAATGATTGTGTGTTTCTGTTTTTTAAATAAGAGTTTCTTTTGCCATTATCCTGTTCTCACTTCACCATTGTATATTATCTGTGTTTACGTGGTAGAGGGTGATAATTTAGATTTTATTACTTTATGGGTCACTGGGCCATGAGGACTCAAGTGTATATCCAATAGAAAACTGCATGTCACCTAAAGATCCTGGATTTTGAGCTGGATGTCATAACTGGATGAGATATTTCCCTAGGGGGTGAGGTGAGTTTTTTCTAAATGTGAAAAGTAGAGTATATGTGGATTATTGGTGACCATTGCTGGTCTGTGTAATGACTTCTAACTGACCACAAAATCCATTTTCCTTCTCTCAAACAAATAAAGTATAGCTGAGACCTGGCCGGACCACATTTCCTAGCCCTCTTTGCAGTTAGATGTAGCCATGTGACTAGGGTCTTGACAAAGGAATATAAGTTGTGATAAATGAAACAGTCACCTCACAGATTAAAGAGACCTTGAACTTCAGCCCTTCTTGAAACCCTTCATCATTGGTTGAAGCAAATTGATCTTGTAATCACATGTTGAAGATAGAAGAACTTCTAATAGCATGCATCCCTAAGTGACTTCATAGAGTACAACCACTCACCATCTTGATAAACCTACCCAGGACTGTTGAGATGGAAATAAACTATTTTGTTTGAGTCATCTCATTTACAGTTTTCTCCATTATTACAGTTTTGTTTTCTACCCTAACATGCAGAATAAAATAGCTATAGGAAGAAGTAAATAGTTTTCATGTATCCAAATCAACATTTAGGTAGAAGATATAACAGAAGAAAAGATACTATTTATAATATCAACAAAAAGATAAAATACTCTGGAATGAACTTACTTTGAAATGTGTGATACCTATATGTAACAAACACTTAAATACTTTAAAAACCTGAAATATTTCTCGAATACATACATTGATCATCATAAAGTTATCATCCCTCCGGGCTAATCTTAATTTAACTTGTAAAAAATAAAAATACCAGAGGTGTTCTTTTTTTTTTTTTGAGACAGAGTTTCACTCTTGTTGCCCAGGCTGGAGAGCAACGGCACAATCTCAGCTCACTGCAACCTCTGTCTCCCGGGCTCAAGCGATTCTCCTGCCTCAGCCTCCTGAGTAGCTGCGATTACAGGCACACACCACCACCCCAGCTATTTTTTGTATTTTAGTAGAGATGGGGTTTCACCATGTTGACCAAGCTGGTCTCGAATTCATGACCTCAGGTGTTCCTCCCTCCTCAGCCTCCCAAAGTGTTGGGATTACAGGCGTGAGCCACCGTGCCCAGCCAGGTGTTCTTTTTAACTAGATAAACTGATTCAAAGATTCATATGAAAAATAAAGAAAGAATACCAACTAAACCTCAGACAAGGGGAGCTTGAGAAAAACTGGCTTTGCCAAATATGAAAACATTCTAAAGCCTCAATAACAAAAAGAATGTGATGTTGGTACATAAACAGACAGATCAATGAAAAATAAAAGGAAATCTAGAAATAGACCCAAGCATACAGTAATTTAGTGGATGATAAAAATGGGATCTCAGATCAGTGGAAAAGATAGATGACCATTCAATAAATGCTTTTGAGATAACTGGATAACTACATGGGAAATAATATTTAAAGTTGGGCACAATTCCAACTGTATAGCATGATAAACTCCAAATGGGTCAAAGTTTTCAATGAAAAAAAGGAAATATTCCTTTCTAACTTTGGAGGAGGGCTATCTAACTGTAACTCCAAATCGTAAAAGCCATAGGACAGAAAATTAATAAACTGAACTACATAAAATAAAAAGCAGTTCCGAGTAGCAGAAAATATCATAAAAAATCAAAAGACAAATGAAAAACTTATAGAAATATTTTCATGCATATCACATCCAAAGAAATGACCTCTTTAGCAATTAAAATGCACCTTAAAATTGAGAAGAAAGAGACTAGCAATCTCTGAAAGAAAAAGTAAAAAGAATTTTAACAGACAATTGTTGTTGAAATTCTGTCTGCTGAAATCCTTTTTCCTTTTTTCTGTCTCGGGAACTGTGAAGAAACTCAGAAAAGGAAACAAAAATAGTTATTAAACACATGAAAAAACACTTAACCTTGCTTTTACCAGAGGAAGAAGAAAAACTACAGGAGATATCATGTCTTTCCTGTCAGATTGGCAAAAAGTTAAAAGTTTGGCAACACCCTCTGTTGACAAGGCTATGGAGAAACAAGCACTTTGATTTATTGGTTATAGGAGTCCAGTTTGGGACAAACCTTTTGGAGGACAATTAGGCAATCAATACCTTTCAAAATTGTTTGTGAATACAGCCTTAAACCTTTCAATTTCATTTTTTGAAACTCATTCTACAGATATAATTATACACATGCAAAAATATTATGTACAAGTTTATTCAATACTGCTTGCCTTAACAAAAGATTGGAAAAATTCATGCACCTATCAATTTGAGACTAACTAAACACTCACACACACACGAACAATGGAATATTATGCAATGAAAATCTAATCACAACGCAGGAGGTCTCTGTGTGCTTTTGGTAAGATCTCCAAGATATATTGTGAAGTGAGAGAATGAGGTGAAGAACGTTGTATAACAGGCTACCTCTGTGTCAAAAAAAGAGGGAATGAAGAGTCATTATTATATTATCATGAAAAAATTGGAAGATACACAGGTAATTAACAAAAGAGATTACCTCTTTGGGGTAAGGTGTAAACTGGACAGATTGTGGACAGGATTCTGAGTGAGATCCTTCACTGTTCAGTCTCCTTTGCATCAGTAAGTGTCTCTTAAAGTAAATGGACAAGTAGAGGAATGGTGTCAGCATAATGTGGAAGCTGCATTGTGTAATATACAATTTCCCCCATATGTTAATGTTCTGCACTGAGTAATAGCAGCTGTACCAAAATAGCAGCCAAGTCCCAAACACGATTTAAGGGAGCAAGCTATGAATACAATGCTGTGCACAATGCCGTTGACTCCTTCTCCACTTTACTCATTTTAGCTACATTCTCTATCCTGAAGTGCTTACTAAGTAGTTCCCCCAATTTTCATGCACTTTTTCTGAACTATTTTGAGAATGGGAATATTAAGATGTTGCCACAGTTCCATAACAACTTGTTGCTGAGATGCCCCTTAAGAGTGGGGAAGAAAAATCCATTAGACTTTAGAATAATTCCACAAGAGCTTTCTTTTTCTACTTTAGGTGTGATTGACATGCATTTGTAGATGTGTTAGTGCAGATTGCACTTCATGGCACAAGGTCCTATTTGGAGCCATAACAGCAGCTTCTTAATGAAAGAAGGAAGGTGGCAATACAGAAAAAAAAAAATCAGGTGTTTTTTTTTAAGCAGGTGCAAAACAAACAAGCAGAAAATAACCATCCAGAGCTACCCATCTTTGTCATCTACATTTTGTGCAAAGCTTCAACTGCTTATCCTCTATAGCTTCTCATGGTGATGTCCCTCCACCTTGTCTCCATAAAGCAGCAGCTTCCATCTTTCCTTATCCCCTTGTATCTTTAGTTCCCCCTTTATTTATTTTATTTTATTTTTTCATTCTTTTAATTGTTATTTTTTTTGAGATGGAGGCTCGCTCTGTCGCCCAGGCTGGAGTGCAGTCGTGCAATCTCGGCTCACTCCAACCTCCGCCTCCCGGGTTCAAGCCATCCTCCTGCCTCAGCCTCCTGGGTAGCTGGGACTACAGGCACGTGCCACCATGCCTGGCTAATTTTTTGTATTTTTAGTAGAGACGGGGTTTTACCGTCTTAGGCAGGATGGTCTTGATCTCCTGATATCGTGATCCACCCACCTCGGCCTCCCAAAGTGCTGGGATTACAGGCATGAGACACTGCACCTGGCCTCCTTTTTTAAATTTTTTTTGAGATGGAGTCTTGCTCTGTCACCAGGCTGGAGTGCAGTGGTGAGATCTCGGCTCACTGCAACCTCTGCCTCCCAGGTTCAAGCGATTCTCTTGCCTCAGTCTCCCGAGCAGCTGGGACTACCGGCGCGCACCACCATGCCCAGCTAATTTTTGTATTTTTAGTAGAGATGGGGGTTTCACCATCTTGGCCAGGATGGTCTCGATCTCTGGACATAGTGATCTGCCCACCTCGGCCTCCCAAAGTGCTGGGATTACAGGCATGAGCCACCCCTCAGCCTAGCTCCCCCTTTAAAAAGTCTTTCATCTATTTAGAGTTTAACAAGTCTTTTTTTTTTCTCTTTAAAAACTATGCTAGTATTTTTATTCGAATTGTTATTGCTTTGTTAGTGTTATGAGTATGAAGATGAATAGATTTTGAGTTGCCTATCAAAACTCTGTTTTTCCTACAAACACTTGTTTTTTTGTGAACATTTCCATATGAATTCAAGGACCTGCTTTTCCATATCTGTTTAAAAGGCTGTTGAAATTTTGATAGAGATTAATTGAGTCTGTAGATCACTTTGGATATTATTGACAACTTAACAATTTTAAGTCTTTCTACCCATCAACACAAGATGTCTTTCCATTTATTTAGATCTTCAATTTCAGCAATTTTTTATAGTTTTCAGTGTACATTCTCACTTGAGTGTACATCCTCACTTCTCCCTCTCCTTCTCGGTCTCTGGTAACCGCTATTCTCCTCTTCCCTTCTATGAGATCAGCTTTTGCAGTTCCACATATGAGTGAAATCATGTGCCATTTGTTCTTCATTGCTTGGCTTACTTAATATAATGTCCTCTTGGTTCATTCATGTTGTTACAAATGACAGAATTTCATTCTTTTTATGGCTGAAAAGTATTCCATTGTGTACATACGCCACATTTTTAAAAATCTATTCATTCTTTGATGGCCACTTTGGTTAATTTCATATCTTGGCTATTGTGAATAGCGCTGCAGTGAACATGGGAGTGCATGTATCTCTTTGACGTACCAATTTCATTTCCTTTGGATATATATCCATTAGTGAGATTGATGGATCATATAGTAGTTCTACTTTTAATTTTTTGAGAAGCCTCCTTACTGTTGTCTGTAATGGCTTGGATAATGGGGTGGCTATTGGTACGTGTTCCTGAGGAATAGGAAGAATGAGAGAGATAGTGGATTTGGATGTGTGAGTTTAAGGTGCAAGATTCAAGTGGTGGTTCAGTAGGCCTTGGTAGCTCCCCAGAGTTTGCATCTGTAGGTAGAGGTCACTGTTAGTGATAAAGTTGTGGTTTGATTTGTTTTTCAAAATGTAGGTGATACCTACTGTCATGAAACCAATTTTGCAGGTTATAACCAGCATTTTTAAAACGGACTGTAATTTAAAAATCAGAATATATTACAAATAATAAAGAAAAATGGTACCCAACAAAATGTGTGTGTGTGTGTGTCTGTGTGTGCATATGCATGTATATTAGACTGGGACATGAGTGACTTTTTTACTGTGATGTTTCAAAACATGTTTGAAAAAAATTAGTTTAAACCATGATGAAGAGATTTCTCAGGCAGTGTATGAATAACAGACCTGTGGATGAACCTAGTGCATTCTTTTCTTTTCTCTTCTTTTGTGACGGAGTCTGGCTCTGTCGCCCAGGCTGGAGTGCAGTGGCACAATCTCGGCTCACTGCAAGCTCCGCCCCCCGGGTTCACGCCATTCTCCTGCCTCAGCCTCCCGACTACCTGGGACTACAGGCGCCCGCCATCACGCCCGGCTAATTTTTGTATTTTTAGTAGAGACGGGGTTTCACCGTGTTAGCCAGGATGGTCTCGACCTCCTGACTTTGTGATCCGCCCGCCTTGGCCTCCCAAAGTGCTGGGATTACAGGCGTGAGCCACCGCGCCCGGCCAAAACCTAGTGGTTTCTAATATGTAGCTCTCATGTTTTCAGATGAGTTTTAAGATACAGGCCCAAATTTTGTTAGTTCTTATTCTCTACTTTTGAATTATTTACAGGAAATATATTTTACTGAGCTGATCTACTGAGAGGTGGGCACAAATCCTTTAGACTTTATTGAAAAATTAGTTGTCCAAAATCTTCTAGGATACTCCCACTTAATTACATATATGAGGCCGGGCGCGGTGGCTCACACCGGTAATCCCAGCACTTTGGGAGGCCAAGGCGGGCAGATCACGAGATCAGGAGATCGAAACCATCCTGGCTAACACGGTGAAACCCCGTCTCTACTCAAAACACAACAAATTAGCCGGACAAGGTGGCCGGCGCCTGTAGTCCCACCTACCTGGGAGGCTGAGGAAGGAGAATGGCGTGAACCCGGGAGGTGGAGCTTGCAGTGAGCCGAGATAGTGCCACTGCACTCCAGCCTGGGCGACAGAACGAGACTCCGTCTCGGGGAAAAAAAAATTACATATATGAGCACCCTTTGAAATGCTTACAGCAGAGCTAGCTGCCTAAAATTAACATTCATCTAACACTGCAAGCCAGAACGTGTTCTGAGTAGTGCTCTGGAAGGGACTTTGGATTTTGAGAAAAAAGGTTGGGAGCAGTTTGAACATAAAAACTATTTTCTCATGGGTTCCATTTTGATGTTCATTAAACTCACAACTTCTTTGTTTTCTTCATGTCTTCTTAGAAAGTGATTTCTCACTTTGAGAGTGAACTCTTTGCAGGACTTGAGCATAGTGATCACAACTGCTGCCTCCCCTCTGAGAAATCTGGAGGATGAGGTTCTCCATCTGTCTTGACTACTTGAGAGACCCAGTGACCATTGACTGTGGTCATGTCTTTTGCTACCACTGCATCATTCAGGTCTGTGAATCTACTAGGCAACCATTACATTGTTCTCTGTGCAAGCCAGCTTTTAAGAAAAAATATCTGCCATGTGTGGCAGATGGCCAACCTGATGGAGAACATTTGGAGAATGAAGGTAGATGAGGAGAGACAACCCAGAGAGGAAAGACCACCTGAGCAAAAAGCAGAGAAGCTGTGTAGGCGACACCTGGAGAAGCTCCATTAATGCTTCAAAGGATGACCAGCAGATGGTGTATGTGATGCGTTGGAGTCCCGAGAACACAAGCACCATGCTGCTGTTCTCCTAGAAAAGGCTGCACAGCCTCGTCGGGTAAGAATCGTGTTGGACCCCAGCTCTGTTCTTTTAGCCAGAAAGTTCTATGGTACCTTCAGGATAAGGTGCAGGTTTTTTGCATTACTTTATTGAGGTATGATTGACATGTAAAAGCTATACATATTTAATGTATACCAATTAATGAGTTTGTAGATGAGTATACACCTCTGAAACCATCATCACAGCAAAAACACGTCTATCACTTTCCAAACTTTCCACACACCCTCTTTATTGTTATTATTTTGTGTGTGTGATAAGAACACTTAGTCAAAGATCTATTCTTTTAGTAAATTTGAAGTATACAATACAGTGTTTTTAGCTATAGGCATTATGCTATATAGTAGGTCTCTAGAACTTCTTTATCTTGCATAACTGAAACTTTGTAACTTTGACCATCAACCCTCCATTCCCCGTCCCCACCAGTCCCTGGCAACCACCATTCTACTCTGTTTATGTAAGTTTGACTGTTTTAGATTCCACATATAAGTGAGGTCGCACAGTATGTGTCTGGCATATTCACTTAGCATAATGTTCTCAAGGTCCATCCATGTTGTTACCAATGGCAGAATTTCCTTCTCTTTAAGGCTGAATAATATTGCATTGTATGTATATACCACATTTTCTTTATTCATCCATCAGTGAACATTTAGGGTTTTTTAAATCTTGGTTATTGTGAATAGTGCTGCAAAGAACATGGGAAGTATATGGGCTATAAATACCCAGAAGTGAAATTGCTGGATCATATGGTAGTTCTGTTTTTAATTATTTGAGGAGCTTCTTACTGTTTTTATAATGGCTGTACCAGTTTGCATTTCCACCAACAGCGTATCAGGGTTCCCCTTTCTCCACATCCTCACCAACGCTTCTTATCTTTTAAAAAATATAATAGCATTTCTAAGAGGTGTAAGACAGTTCAAATTCTTTAGCATGAAAGATTCTTGGTAAAGTACTACCCTTTGCATTTGGATAATAAAGCTGGTTTGGTTTTATATCTTTTATGGAAGTAAGTCTATCACATTGCCTTGATGGTTTCATCTCTGAGGTTCAGATCAAGTCTTATCAGCTATACAGAATACCAGCACTCCTGATAGCTCTCGTAGTATATAGCTTCAAGTGGTATGTACACAGTTGTTATAAAAATATTTTTGAGGTCTGGTGCGGTGGCTCACGCCTGTAATCCCAGCACTTTTGGAGGCCGAGGCGGGCGGATCACAGGGTCAGGAGATCGAGACCATCCTGGCACACACAGTGAAATCCTGTCTCTACTAAAAATACAAAAAATTAGCCGGGCGTGGTGGCGGGCGCCTGTAGTCCCAGCTACTCGGGAGGCTGAGGCAGGAGAATGGCGTGAACCCGGGAGGCGGAGCTTGCAGTGAGCCGAGATCGCGCCACTGCACTCCAGCCTGGGCGACAGAGCGAGACTCCATTTCAAAAAAAAAAAAAATTTTTTTTCACAATATTTCAGCCTGTATAAAATCTATGTAATTTTTCTTTCAGAATTTAACAAGGAAAATATTATTTCCTCTGGGGTCCTAGTATGTTTCTTCTTGCCTGCTAAAGAAACATCAGGCCAGGCTTGGTGGCTCACATCTGTAATCCTAGCGCTTTGGGAGGCTAAGGCAGGTGAATCACTTGATGTCAGGGACTCAAGACCAGCCTGGCCAACATGGCAAAACCTCATCTCTACCAAAATTCAAAAATTAGCCAGGCATGGTGGCATGCACCTGTAATCCCAGCTACTTGGGAGGCTGAGGCAAGAGAATCGCTTGAACCCAGGAAGCGGAGCTTGCAGTGAGCCAAGATTGTGCCATTGCACTCCAGCCTGGGCAGCAGTGTGAGACTTTGTCTCAAAAAAAAAAAAAAAAAAAAAAGAAAAGAAAAAAGAAACATCAGGCAGTTCATTGTTTCCCTTTTCTCTTTGCCTGCCAATTTAGTCATCCTCTTAATAATCTGGAGTTGCTGCCAGGTGTGGTGGCTCATGCCTGTAATCCCAACACTTTGGGAAGCCAAGGCAGGAGGATAGCTTGAGAACAGGAGACCAGCCTGGGCTATAGCAAGACCCCATCTCTACAATAATAATAATAATAGTTATTATTATTATTATTTGGAGTTGGCATATATACTTTCCTTGACTTTTTGTGTTAATTTTTTGTTTCTATTTTTTTTTCTTTTTACAAGACAGGGTCTCACTATGTTGCCAAGGTATGCCCTCAAAGACTTGGGCTCAAGAGATACTTCACCCTTATTTTCCCAAATAGCTGGGACTACAGGCACATACCACTGCACCCACCTTCTATTTTTGTTTTATTAATTAATTTTAATTTTAATTGTCTGTATTTTTGGTAGAAAAGGATAGTGTAAATATAAATTAGAAACTATACCATAAGTCTTGTTAGTTATAATGATAATACGATATTATTTTGTCTTACTTCTAAGAAATTGCTCTAGGCCATTGTATCACTCAATGGATCTTCCTTATTAACTAGAATGGAAATTGTTCCACACAACCATTATTAAACTACACATGGTCAAATGCAGTTGGATTTCACTCTGGAATCACTTTGCATCTCCCTTTTTTCATTGAGGTCATTTTCATCTTGATCTTGAGACTATTCAAGTTTATTTTCTTTTTCTTTTTCTTTTTTTTTCTTTTCTTGAGACAGAGTTTTGCTCTTGTTGCCCAGGCTGGAGTGCAGTGGCGCGATCCCGACTCACTGCAACCTCCGCCTCCAAGGTTCAACTGATTCTCCTGCCTCAGCCTCCCAAGTAGTTGGAATTACAGGTGCTCACCACCATGCCCAGCTAATTTTTGTATTTTTTAGTAGAGACAGGGTTTCACCATGTTGGCCAGGCTGGTCTTTAACTCCTGACCTCAGGTAATCCACCTGCCTCGACCTCCCAAAGTACTGGGATTACAGGCATGAGCCACCACGCCCAGCCCGAGACTATCCTTGTTTATTTTCATAGGGCAAAATTCTAAACCATCGGAAGATTCTGAAGGGATACAAGGATAGCATTCAGAATTCTCAATCTATGGGAGAAGATGAGATTCAGGCCCTGGTGGTAAGAGAGGTCTCTAGTAAATGTTCTGTATGAATGTGTGTATGTGTGTAGGGCAGGGGTGTGTGTGTAGGTAGTAGCGGGGCATAGGTTAAGGAGAGGAAGGGGTATGTGTGTGGGGGAAGTATTGAGGAATGGGGAGGGGGAGAGTGATCAAAGAGATTTCTGTTCTGAACTCATCCTCAGAAGATCTCACACATGTTCTGGTGTTCCCTAGCCTCTCAAAAAGGTCACTTTTCTCTTTCTGCATTTACTGTAGACAACATTTCAGAACCACAGGCAAGACATTGTATCAGTGTTTGAATAGGGCCATCGGTTTTTGAGAGAAAGGGAACAGTACCTGTTGGAGCAGCTGGTAGGGCTAGAGCAAGAACTCACCAAAAGGAGGAACAGCCGTGTCATCAAGGGTTCTGAGGAGGTGGTCCAGCTTGGGACCCTGATCACTGAGTTGGAGAAGTCTCGGCAGCCAGCACTTGAACTTTTGAAGGTAAAGGACCAACCAAACTGTATCTGAGTCCTCTTGCTCTATGACTACGGTGTGGCCTATTTGCAAGAGATTTGGACCAAGAGTCAAGAGAGACAAGGTGTTATTCTCATTTACTGAATTCTTTAATAACTGAATTAGCCAACCAATAGGTTTTAAGCCCCAAAGTGCAGTGGGCAGGGGTCTATAATATGCACAGACCATATAATGGAATATTAAGATCTGTACATTTATAATTACAACAAATAATCTGATGTTAAATCTTCCAGTCAGATTGGATGCCACAAGAATTCTGGAAACAGCTAGTGTTTAGTCAGAGAAGCCTTCAAAGAAGAGGCTTTTGATGTTGGCCTTGAAGGAAACGTAAAGATTTATTTTATTTTATATTTATTTATTTATTTGAGATGGCATCTCCCTCTGTCACCCAGGCTGGAGTGCAGTGGCGCGATCTCAACTCACTGCAACCTTCACCTCCTGGGTTCAAGTGATTCTCCTGCCTCAGCCTCCTGAGTAGCTGGGACTACAGGCACCCATCACCACGCCCAGCTAAGTAAGATTTAGATTGTCAGAAAGGAGCTAAACATTCCACTTGGTAGGGGGTGGGGACACACTAGTTACAATTAGATAAATGAATGTAATAATAAACTTGGTATATGTGTTGGCAGGTGGGCATAGGTGCTGGGGAAGATAGGAGTAGGAAGACTGATAAGAAGGGGACATAGAATGAAGGTAGCTACCTTTCTGGAAGAGTCAGATTAAGTGAGGGAGAAGTGAAAATTATGATGGGGCCAACTGAGTTGAGGCCTTCCAAAGCAGGCTGAAATTTGAGCCTTAACTGAATAGACAATGGGATTCTTAACAGATTTTTATCTGTCTATAAATCAAGAAAGGTTTCTGAAGAGGATAGTCTAGAACTCGAATGAAAGACATGAAGGGGAAGCATTTGTCCTTATAAATTGAAACTGCAGGCCAGGCACAGTGGTTCACACCTGTAATCCCAGCACTTTGGGAGGCCAAGGCAGGCAGATCATGAGGTCAGGAGATCGAGACCATCCTGGCTAACACAGTGAAACCGCGTCTCTACTAAAAAATACAAAAATGAAGCCGGGTGTGGTGGTGGGTGCCTGTAGTCCCAGCTACTCCGGAGGCTGAGTCAGGAGAATGGCGTGAACCCGGGAGGCGGAGTTTGCAGTGAGCCGAGATTGTGCCACTGCACTCCAGCCTGGGCGACAGAGCCAGACTCCATCTCAAAAAAAAAAAGAAAGAAACTGCAGGCTGGGAGTAGTGGCTCATGCCTATAATCCCAGCACTGTGGGAGGCTGAGGCAGGCAGATAACGAGGTCAGGAGTTCGAGACCATCCTGGCCAACATAGTGAAATCCCATCTCTACTAAAAATACAAAAATTAGCCGGACATGGTGGCAGGTGCCTGTAATCTCAGCTACTCTGGAGGCTGAGGCAGGAGAATCGCTTGAACCCGGGAGACAGAGGTTGCAGTGAGCCAAGATCACACCACTGCACTCCAGCCTGGGTGACAGAGTGAGACTCCATCTCAAATGAAAAAAAAAATAAAAAAATAATAAAAAAATAAAAAAAAAAAACAAGAAAAGAAAAGAAAAAAAGAAACTGCAACAGAGGGAGGACAGGTCCGGGTCCATCAGAATAATTCTCTGTTCAGTCCTGGTGTATACCCATTTCTCAATGATCCCACAGTAGAGAATGATGACGGCTCCTGAGAACTATTTTTATGACAATGTCTGTGTTCTGTTTTTTTCCGGGACCCAAGTGACATAATATGCAGGTAAGTGCTGCTTGCTTTTTTTCTTTTAAATTTTAACCACTTATGTCTCCTTATTGTTTTCTCTGTCTATCATCTTACTGAAATTTGACAAGTGCTGGAAAGGGATTGTTTAGAAGGGAGAGAGGTTATTCTGGTTAGTGTATGTTGAAAGGTATTCTATGGAATAGAGGAGGGAGTTCTAGAAAAAAATATTGTCATGGAACTTACGATGGTAATGGGCTGAGAAAAATAAAATGAGAGGAGATTATAGAAAAGTATTGGAGAAAATTTAGAATCCATGTTCATTTCTAAAACTAGTTTCCTTTCATTCTTCCCCTTCCTACATGGTTCCCAGCCTCCACTCCTGGCCACAGTTTCTCCCATATTCTGTAGAGCACATTTCATTATCAGATTGTCCTCTGCCTGATAGTGAGGTTTCCTGCATTCTGGTTGTCCATAGAAAGCAAACACTTCTATGGCTCACAGGGATAATGATTTCTTCCTCATGTCTTTCATTTGAGTTCTAGACTGTCCTCCGCAGGACATTCCTCAGCAGTGGGTCTGAGGAATATGTTAAACATTTAACATTGACAGTTTTCAAAATCATACCCACATGATACAGAGAAGCTTTGAACAGAGAATAAAGTCAGGCATTTTGATAATACACAACTTATCTGCAGAGACACCCAGGACTACTGGCATATACTGAGCATTTCCTGTGGGCAAAACACTGGGTAGAAAGGCGTGTGATGAGATAGGTTACCAGATTATGGCTGGGGATACCAGATAGACACATATGAGAGATGAATAATGATATAAAAAATGAGGTTGACACAGAATGGGTAATACTTCTTGCCTTGAAGTGTTTTGTCCGCTTTAGCAAAATTATTCCAGCTTTATATTGATTAGTGTTCACATGGCATTTCTTTTTCTGTCCTTTAATTCTCAAACTTTCTGTGTTTTTTAAAAATGTCTCTTATAAGCAACATAAATTTTGTTCTGTTTTTAAATAAATCCATTCTGACAATATGCAATGGAATATTTAGTATTTATCCATGGAAAATTACTATTTCATTCACATTTTCAAAATAATTTGCATAGTTGATCAAGATAATGTGCTTAGATTTACTAATTTTTCTTTTTATATCTGAATGTTTTCATTTCTTATTTTGTGTATTTCTACCTTTTTCTTTTTCTTTTGAGCTGGAGTCTCGCACTGTTGCCCTGGCTAGAGTGCAATGGTACAATCTTGGCTCACTGCAACCTCCGCCTCCTGGGTTCAAGAGATTCTCCTGCCTCAGCCTCCCAAGTAGCTGGGATTACAGGTGCCCGCCGCCATGCCCAGCTAATTATTTTTTGTATTTTTAGTAGAAATGGGGTTTCACTATGTTGGCCAGGCTGGTCTCGAACTCCTGACCTTGTGATCTGCTCGCCTCAGCCTCCCAAAGTGCTGGGATTACAGGCATGAGCCACCACGCCCGCCCCCCTCTTTCTTTTCTTTTCTTTTCTTTTTTTTTTTTTAAGAGACAAGGGTCTCCTTATGTTGCCCAGGCCGGACTCCTGGGCTCCTGGGCTCAAGCGATCCTCTCACTTCAGACTCCCAAGTACCTGGGAATACAGGCACATACTGCCACACTCAGCTGTGTAGTTCTATTTTATCTCTTCTATTTGCCTGTCCCTTTTTTCCCTCCTACTTTTATGGATTGTTGAGCCCTGCTTTTACAAAGTACCATAATTTCTAGCATATGGTATTTTTATTACTGTTTTCTAGATATTTTGAAATTTTGAATTTGATTTTCTATTTAACATAAGATTTGTTTAAGAAAGAAGCTATTTGTCAGTGATATGCTGAGTTTTTTTCTAATAGGTCTTTTTGTTTCATAGTTTTCAAGTCTTGTGATAAGAAAAGTTTGCTATGTCTACTTTTTGGACTTTTTTTGAGGCTTTCTAGGTTATATGTTGTAAATTTTTGGACAGTTTCAGACACTTGAAAAGAAGGTGCACTTTTTCTTGGAATAGAATAGGATTTTGTATATCTCTGTAAGGTTGGCCTTAGTAATTCTGTTATCTAGGTATTTTGTACTAATACTTATTTTCTGACTTCTTGATATGTCACGGACTAAAAGAAGTCAGTCACAGATTCCTACTAACAGTGAGTTTTTGCCTATTTTTTCTTTTTTTTCTGAGATGGAGTCTTGCTCTGTTGTCCAGGCTGGAGTGCAGCGGCACGATCTTGGCTCACTGCAACATCCACCTCCCGGGTTCAAGTGATTCTCCTGCCTCAGCCTCCCGAGTAGCTGGGATTATAGGTGTGCACCACCACACCCAGCTAATTTCGGTATTTTTAGTAGAGACAGGGTTTCACCATGTTGGCCAGGCTGGTCTCGAACTCCTGACGTGATCTGCCCGCCTCAGCCTCCCAAAGTGCTGGGATTACAGGCGTGAGCCACCGTGCCCAGCCTATTTTTTCTTATATTGATATAGTTTTTGCTTTTTACATTTTGATGTTCTTTTTCTACATGACTTTTAAGGAAAGTTGTATCTTAATTGTGAATTATAATCTTGTTTTAAAAAACAGAGACAGAGTTTTAAAAAACCGAGACTCGCTCAGTCACCCAGACTAGATGCAATGGTGCAATCATAGTTCACTATAACCTTGAACTCTTGGGCTCAAGCTACCTCTCCGCCTCAGCCTCCCAAGTAGCTGGGACTACAGGTGCATGTCATCACACCTGGCTAATATTAAAATAATTGTTTTAGAGGGGTTCTCACTGTTACTCAGTCTGATCTTGAACTCCTGGCCTCAAGTGATTCTCCTGCCTTGGACTCCCAAAGTACTGGGATTATAGGCATAAGCCATAGCACTTCGCCTATAATCTTTAAGTAACAAAAAATGTTGTTGTCTTATTTAATATTTTTCTCTCCCAAATTCAATTCTGTCCGATAGTAAGATCAAGATATCAGAATTCTTTCATTTTGGATTTAGTTAATACACCTTTGCCTACCATTATCTTAATTTTAAATTTTAAAAAAATGTAAAGCTTTATCTTAATTTTCTTTTTTTAATTTAATTTTTAAAATATATTTTAAGGTATACAACATGATGCTGTGAGTAAAATGGTTATTACAGTGAAGCAAATTAACACCTCCATCACCTCACATAGTTACCTGCTTCCCTTCCCACTCCCAACCCCTCATTGCAAGAGCAGTTATAATTTACTCATTTAGCAAAAATCCTGAATACAATACACCATTTTTATTATTTTTTTAATTTATTTTTTTGAGACAAGGTCTCACTCTGTCACCCAGGCCGGAGTGTAGTGGCGCGATCTTGGCTCACTGCAACCTCCACCTCCCAGGCTCAAGAGATCCTCTCACCTGAGCCTTGCGAGTAGCTGGGACTACAGGCACGGGCACCACATTTGGCTAATTTTTGTAGAGACAGGGTTTCACCATGCTGCTCAGGCTGGTCTCGAACTCCTTGGCCTTAAGTGATCTGCCCACCTCGGCCTCCCAAAGTGCTGGGATAACAGGCGTGAGCCGTCATGCCTGGCCTACAATGCCCTGATATTAGCTATAGTTGGCAGGTTGGGCATTAGATCTCCAGACCTGTTCATCCTACATATTTCCTACTTTGTATCCCTTGAGGTACATCTCCCCATTTCTTCCACCCACCCTACCTCTGGTAATCACTATTTTATTCTCTATTTCTGTATATTTGACTTTTTAAAAAATTCTACATATATGTAAAATAATGCAATAGTTTTCATTTTGTATCTGGCAGGTTTTATCTTAATTTTCATTTAATCTGATATATATCCCCAAATAATTCCTTTAGAGGTTGTAACAGCGAGGAAGGAGCCAAGATGGCCGAATAGGAACAGCTCCGGTCTACAGCTCCCAGCGTGAGCAATGCAGAAGATGGGTGATTTCTGCATTTCCGTCTGAGCTTTGAAGAGAGCAGTGGTTCTCCCAGCACGCAGCTGGAGATCTGAGAACGGGCAGACTGCCTCCTCAAGTGGGTCCCTGACCCCTGACCCCCGAGCAGCCTAACTGGGAGGCACTACCCAGCAGGGGCAGACTGAAACCTCACACGGCCGGGTACTCCAACAGACCTGCAGCTGAGGGTCCTGTCTGTTAGAAGGAAAACTAACAAACAGAAAGGACATCCACACAAAAAACCCATCTGTACATCACCATCATCAAAGACCAAAAGTAGATAAAACCACAAAGATGGGGAAAAAACAGAGCAGAAAAACTGGAAAATCTAAAAAGCAGAGCGCCTCTCCTCCTCCAAAGGAATGCAGTTCCTCACCAGCAACGGAACAAACCTGGACAGAGAATGACTTTGACGAGCTGAGAGAAGAAGGCTTCAGACGATCAAATTATTCCGAGCTACGGGAGGACATTCAAACGAAAGGCAAAGAAGTTGAAAACTTCGAAAAAAATTTAGAAGAATGCATAACTAGAATAACCAATACAGAGAAGTGCTTGAAGGAGCTGATGGAGCTGAAAACCAAGGCTCGAGAACTACGTGAAGAATGCAGAAGCCTCAGGAGCCGATGCGATCAACTGGAAGAAAGGGTATCAGCGATGGAAGATGAAATGAATGAAATGAAGCGAGAAGGGAAGTTTAGAGAAAAAAGAATAAAAAGAAACGAGCAAAGCCTCCAAGAAATATGGGACTATGTGAAAAGACCAAATCTACGTCTGATTGGTGTACCTGAAAGTGACGGGGAGAATGGAAACAAGCTGGAAAACACTCTGCAGGATATTATCCAGGAGAACTTCCCCAGTCTAGCAAGGCAGGCCAACATTCAGATTGAGGAAATACAGAGAACGCCACAAAGATACTCCTCGAGAAGAGCAACTCCAAGACACATAATTGTCAGATTCACCAAAGTTGAAATGAAGGAAAAAATGTTAAGGGCAGCCAGAGAGAAAGGTCGGGTTACCCTCAAAGGGAAGCCGATCAGACTAACAGCGGATCTCTCGGCAGAAACTCTACAAGCCAGAAGAGGGTGGGGGCCAATATTCAACATTCTTAAAGAAAAGAATTTTCAACCCAGAATTTCATATCCAGCCAAACTAAGCTTCATAAGTGAAGGAGAAATAAAATCCTTTAGAGACAAGCAAACGCTGAGAGATTTTGTCACCACCAGGCCTGCCCTAAAAGAGCTCCTGAAGGAAGCACTAAATATGGAAAGGAACAACCAGTACCAGCCGCTGCAAAATCATGCCAAAATGTAAAGACCATCGAGACTAGGAAGAAACTGCATCAACTAACGAGCAAAATAACCAGCTAACATCATAATGACAGGATCAAATTCACACATAACAATATTAACTTTAAATGTAAATGGACTAAATGCTCCAATTAAAAGACACAGACTGGCAAATTGGATCAAGAGTCAAGACTCATCAGTATGCTGTATTCAGGAAACCCATCTCACGGGCAGAGACACACATAGGCTCAAAATAAAAGGATGGAGGAAGATCTACCAAGCCAATGGAAAACAAAAAAAAGCAGGGGTTGCAATCCTAGTCTCTGATAAAACAGACTTTAAACCAACAAAGATCAAAAGAGACAAAGAAGGCCATTACATAATGGTAAAGGGATCAATTCAACAAGAAGAGCTAACTATCCTAAATATATATGCACCCAATACAGGAGCACCCAGATTCATAAAGCAAGTCCTGAGTGACCTACAAAGAGACTTAGACTCCCACACATTAATAATGGGAGACTTTAACACCCCACTGTCAACATTAGACAGATCAACAAGACAGAAAGTCAACAAGGATACCCAGGAATTGAACTCAGCTCTGCACCAAGCGTACCTAATAGACATCTACAGAACTCTCCACCCCAAATCAACAGAATATACATTTTTTTCAGCACCACACCACACCTATTCCAAAATTGACCACATACTTGGAAGTAAAGCTCTCCTCAGCAAATGTAAAAGAACAGAAATTATAACAAACTATCTCTCAGACCACAGTGCAATCAAACTAGAACTCAGGATTAAGAATCTCACTCAGAACCACTCAACTACATGGAAACTGAACAACCTGCTCCTGAATGACTACTTGGTACATAACGAAATGAAGGCAGAAATAAAGATGTTCTTTGAAACCAACGAGAACAAAGACACAACATACCAGAATCTCTGGGACACATTCAAAGCAGTGTGTAGAGGGAAATTTATAGCACTAAATGCCCACAAGAGAAAGCAGGAAAGATCCAAAATTGACACCCTAACATCACAATTAAAGGAACTAGAAAAGCAAGAGCAAACACATTCAAAAGCTAGCAGAAGGCAAGAAATAACTAAAATCAGAGCAGAACTGAAGGAAATAGAGACACAAAAAAACCCTTCAAAAAATTAATGAATCCAGGAGCTGGTTTTTTGAAAGGATCAACAAAATTGATAGACCGCTAGCAAGACTAATAAAGAAAAAAAGAGAGAAGAATCAAATAGACGCAATAAAAAATGATAAAGGGGATATCACCACCGATCCCACAGAAATACAAACTAGTATCAGAGAATACTACAAACACCTCTACGCAAATAAACTAGAAAATCTAGAAGAAATGGATAAATTCCTGGACACATACACTCTCCCAAGACTAAACCAGGAAGAAGTTGAATCTCTGAATAGACCAATAACAGGATCTGAAATTGTGGCAATAATCAATAGCTTACCAACCAAAAGAGTCCAGGACCAGATGGATTCACAGCCGAATTCTACCAGAGGTACAAGGAGGAACTGGTACCATTCCTTCTGAAACTATTCCAATCAATAGAAAAAGAGGGAATCCTCCCTAACTCATTTTATGAGGCCAGTATCATCCTGATACCAAAGCCTGGCAGAGACACAACAAAAAAAAGAATTTTAGACCAATATCCCTGATGAACATCGACACAAAAATCCTCAATAAAATACTGGCAAACCGAATCCAGCAGCACATCAAAAAGCTTATCCACCATGATCAGGTGGGCTTCATCCCTGGGATGCAAGGCTGGCTCAACATACGCGAATCAATAAACATAATCCAGCATATAAACAGAACCAAAGACAAAAACCACATGATTATCTCAATAGATGTAGAAAAGGCCTTTGACAAAATTCAACAGCCCTTCATGCTAAAAACTCTCAATAAATTAGGTATTGATGGGACGTATCTCAAAATAATAAGAGCTATTTATGACAAACCCGCAGCCAATATCATACTGAATGGGCAAAAACTGGAAGCATTCCCTTTGAAAACGGGCACAAGACAGGGATGCCCTCTCTCACCACTCCTATTCAACATAGTGTTGGAAGTTCTGGCCAGGGCAATCAGGCAGGAGAAGGAAATAAAGGGTATTCAATTAGGAAAAGAGGAAGTCAGATTGTCTCTGTTTGCAGATGGCATGATTGTATACCTAGAAAACCCCGTTGTCTCAGCCCAAAATCTCCTTAAGCTGCTAAGCAACTTCGGCAAAGTCTCAGGATACAAAATCAATGTGCAAAAATCACAAGCATTCTCATACACCAATAAAAGACAGAGAGCCAAATCATGAGTGAACTCATTCACAATTGTTTCAAAGAGAAAAAAACACCTAGGAATCCAACTTACAAGGGATGTGAAGGACTTCTTCAAGGAGAACTACAAACCACTGCTCAACGAAATAAAAAAGGATACAAACAAATGGAAGAACATTCCATGCTCATGGGTAGGAAGAATCAATATCGTGAAAATGGCCATACTGCCCAAGCTAATTTATAGATTCAATGCCATCCCCATCAAGCTACCAATGACTTTCTTCATAGAACTGGAAAAAACTACTTTAAAGTTCATATGGAACCAAAAAAGAGCCTGCATCGCCAAGTCAATCCTAAGCCAAAAGAACAAAGCTGGAGGCATCACGCTACCTGACTTCAAACTATGCTACAAGGCTACAGTAACCAAAACAGCATTGTACTGGTACCAAAACAGAGATATAGACCAATGGAACAGAATTGAGCCCTCAGAAATAATACCACACATCTACAACCATCTGATCTTTGACAAACCTGACAAAAACAAGAAATGAGGAAAGGATTCCCTATTTAATAAATGGTGCTGGGAAAACTGGCTAGCCATATGTAGAAAGCTGAAACTGGATCCCTTCCTTACACCTTATACAAAAATTAATTCAAGACGGATTAAAGACTTAAATGTTAGACCTGAAACCATAAAAACCCTAGAAGAAAACCTAGGCAATACCATTCAGGACATTGGCATGGGCAAGGACTTCATGACTAAAACACCAAAAGCAATGGCAACAAAAGCCAAAATTGACAAATGGGATCTAATTAAACTGAAGAGCTTCTGCACAGCAAAAGAAACTACCATCAGAGTGAACAGGCAACCTACAGAATGGGAGAAAATTTTTTCAATCTACTCATCTGACAAAGGGCTAATATCCAGAATCTACAAGGAACTCAAACAAATTTACAAGAAAAAACAAACAACCCCATCAACAAATGGGCAAAGATATCAACAGGCACTTCTCAAAAGAAGACATTTATGCAGCCAACAGACACATGAAAACATGCTCATCATCACTGGCCATCAGAGAAAAGGAAATCAAAACCACAATGAGATACCATCTCACACCAGTTAGAATCATGATCATTAAAAAGTCAGGAAACAACAGGTGCTGGAGAGGATGTGGAGAAATAGGAACACTTACACTGTTGGTGGGACTGTAAACTAGTTCAAACATTGTGGAAGACAGTGTGGCGATTCCTCAGGGATCTAGAACTAGGAATACCATATGACCCAGCCATCCCATTACTGGGTATATACCCAAAGGATTATAAGTCATGCTGCTATAAAGACACATGCACACGTATGTTTATTGTGGCGCTATTCACAATAGCAAAGACTTGGAACCGACCCAAATGTCCATCAATGATAGACTGGATCAAGAAAATGTGGCACATATACACCATGGAATACTACGCAGCCATAAAAAAGGATGAGTTCATGTCCTTTGTAGGGACACAGATGAAGCTGGAAACCATTATTCTCAGCAAACTATCCCAAGGACAAAAAACCAAACAACGCATGGTCTCACTCACAGGTGGGAATTGAACAATGAGAACACCTGGACACAGGAAGGGGAATATCACACACCGGGGCCTGTTGTGGGGTGGGGGGAGGGCGGAGGGATAGCACTAGGAGATATACCTCATGTAAATGACGAGTTAATGTTTGCAGCACACCAACATGGCACATGTATACATATGTAACAAACCTGCACATTGTGCACATGTACCCTAGAACTTAAAGTATAATAAAAATATATAGACATTAAAAAAAATAACTTAAAAAAAAGAAATCTGTAACAATAAGATGATCCTGTGGGACTGAATGCTTTTGTCATCCTTAAACTCATAATTGAAACCTAATCTCTAATGTGATGGTGTTTGGAGGTGGAGCCATTAGGAAGTGATCATGCAATGAAGGCAAAACCCTCATTAATGAAATGAATGCCCTTATAAAAGGGACCCCAGAGAGCTCCTTGCCCCTTCCACCATGTGAGGACACCAAGGAAAAGCAACATCCATGAATCAGGAAGCAGCCCTTACCATACATGGACTCTTCCCAGGCCTTGATCTTTGACTTTCCAGCCTCCAGAATTGTGAGAAATAGATTTCTGTTGTTTGCAAGCCACATAGTCTATGGTATTCTTTTATAACTGCCCAGATTGACTAAGACAGATGATGATGAAAATACTACCAAGTATTGGAAATTAACATCAAAATTCTAAATGACAATTTATTCAAAGAGGAAATCTAGAGAAATTAGAAAGTCTTCTGTATTCTGAAGGATAATGAAACATACATATCAAATGTATGGGATGCAGCTGAAGTAGTACTAGAGAAAAAACCAATACCCTTAAATGCCTATATTAAGAAAGAAGGTAGGTCTCAAATTAGTAAATTAGCTTCTGCTATAAGAAACAAAGAAAAACAAATTAAACCAAAGCATGGAGAAGGAAGAAAATAATAATTAAATGGAAAAAATGAAGCAGAAAGACAGAGAAAATTAATGAACCCAAATATTGGTTCTATGGGGAAAAATCAGTACACTTTATAAATTTCTAGCTAGACTGATCAAGACAAAAAGATGCACATTAACAATGTCAAGAAAAAACGAACATCAGTGCACACTCTCTAGATCTCAAAAAGAAATATTGATAATCTCATGTCAATAAGTTTGACAAGCAAATGAAATGAACAATTTCCTTGAGAGAGAAAACTTATGAAAACTGACCTGAGAAGAGATAGAAAATGTGGCCAGTCATATATTGATTGTAGAAATTGAATGTGTAATCAAAATCCTTCTCATATAGGAAACTCCAGGTCCAGAAGGCTTCATTGATGAAATGTATCTAACAAATAATTTGGAAATAACATCAATTTTACACATACCTTTTAGAAATTAAAGGAGGCAACAACTTTCAATTTAATCTATGCAGCCAGCTTTCACAGTCAGGCGTGAGTATCTGGCTTTTCCAGGTGCACAGTGCAAGCTGTTGGTCAATCTACCATTCTGAGATTTGGAGCACCGTGGCCCTCTTCTCACAGCTCCACTGGGCAGTGCCCTAATAGGAACTCTGTGTGGGGGCTCCAGCCCCCTATTTCCCCTCCACACTGCTCTAGCAGAGGTTCTCCGTGAGGGCCCTGCCCCTGCAGCAAACTTTTGCCTGGGCATCTTAGCATTTCCATACATCTTCTGAAATCTAGGTGGAGGTTCCCAAACCTCCATTCTTGACTTCTGTGCACCTGCAGGCTCAAAACCATGTGGAAGCTGTCAAGGCTTAAAGCTTGCACCCTCTGGAGCCATGGGCCAAGCTGTACCAAGCTTGGCCCCTTTTAGCAGCCGTGGGAGCAGTTGGGACCCAGGGCACCAAGTCCCTAAGCTGCACACAGCATGGGAACCCTGGGCCTGGACCAGGAGACCATTTTTTCCTCCTGTGCTTCTGGGTCTGTGATGGGAGGGGCTGCCATGAAGACCTATGGCATGCCCTGGAGACATTTTCCCCATTGTCTTGGGGGATCAACATTTGGCTCTTTGTTACTTACGCAAATTTCTGCAGCCAGCTTGAGTTTCTCCTCAAAAAAATTGGTTTTTCTTTCTATTGCATCGTCAGGCTGTAAATTTTCTGAACTTTTATCCTCTGTTTCCCTTTTAAAATGGAATGCTTTTAACAGCACCCAAGTCACATTTTAAATGCTTTGCTGCTTAGAAATTTTATCTGCCAGATACCCTAAATCATCTCTCTCAAGTTCAGAGTGCCACAGATCTCTAGGGCAGGGGCAAAATGCCACCAGTCTCTTTGCTAAAACGTAACAAGAGTCACCTTTGCTCCAGTTCCCAACAAGTTCCTCATCTCCATCTGAGACCACCTCAGCCTGGACCTTATTGTTCATATCACCATCAGCATTTTTGTCAAAGGCATTCAACAAGTCTTTAGGAGGTTCCAAACTTTCCCACATTTTTCTGTCTTGTTCTGAGCCCTCCAAACTGTTCCAACCTCTGCCTAATACCCAGTTCCAAAGTCAATTCCACATTTTCGGGTGTCTTTTCAGTAGCACCCACTCTACTGGTACTAATTTACTGTATTAGTGCGTTTTCATGCTGCTCATAAAGAAATACCCAAGACTGAGATGAAAAAGAGGTTTAACTGGACTTAGAATTCCACATGGTTGGGGAGGCCTCAGAATCATGGCGGGAGGTGAAAGGCACTTCTTACATGGCGGTAACAAGAGAAAATGAGGAAGATGCAAAAGCAGAAACCCCTGATAAAACCATCAGATCTCATGAGACTTATTCACTACCACGAGAACAGTATGGGGGAAACCAACCCCATGATTCAAATTATCTCCCACTGGGTCCCCTGGGTCCCTCCCACAACACATGGGAATTATGGGAGTACAATTCAAGATAATATTTGGGTGGGGACATAGAGCCAAACCATATCACCAGCATTACCCAAATAAAAATCCCAGACAAGAACATCACAAGAAAAAGAATCAAGAACAAATATTCCTCTTGAACACAGACTCACAATTCAATACAAAACGTTATCCAATTAAGATATACATAAAATGAATAATATGCCATGCCATATTGGTTTTTTTAAAGGGAAAGTAAGGTTGGTTTAACATCTGAAAATTAAACAATACAATTCACCCAATTAATAGAACAAAGAACAAATGTTGCACAATTATTATAGTCAATGCAGAAAAAGCACTTGCAAAATCAAGACCATTTCATGACAAAATAGCTCAGCAAACAAAATCGAAAGGAATATCTTCAATGTGGTTAAGGACACCCACGAAAAGTTTACAGCTACCCTCATATTCAATTATGAAAGGCCAGATGCTTACTTCCTAAGATTAGCAACAAAGCAAAGATGTGGCTCTCCTCATTTTTGTTTAAAACACCTTACGAGCATCCTAACTAGTGCAATATGGCAAGAAAATGAAATAAAAGACCAATAAAAGGGCCAAGTGTGGTGCCTCATGCCTGTAATCTCAGCACTTTGGGAGGCCAAGGTGGGAGGATCACTTTAGTTCAAGAGTTTGAGACTAGCTTGAGCAACATAGTTAGACCCCTGTCTTTACTAAATATAAATAATTTTTAAAAGAAAAAAAACAATGATAGGAAAGGAAGAAATAAAATCTTTCTTTCTCAGCTTAATTACATATGTAGAAAACAATAAGGAATTCTGAAAAAGTCTCTGGAAGTAATAATTAAATTTGCAAAATTGTTCACAAAAGATATGTAATAAGTCTCTTAGACAAACATGACAAGATAGCAACAATACTAGTCATCAAAGAAGTGCAAGTTAAAACCACAATGAGAAACCATCACACATCACCTAGAATAAGTAAAGTTCAAAAGACATATGATAATTCTAAATACTGGTATGAATATGGAAAAAATAAAAATCTCTTATATTGTTGGTAGGAACGCAAAAAAAAGTTGCAGTCAGTTTGTAAAATAATATGGCAATTTCTTAAACAGCTACCCATCCATTTACCATATCACCCAACAATTCCACAAATATTTATTTATCCAAAGGAAATGAAAATTTAAGGCCATGCAAAGACTTGTAGTCAGTTATTTATAGTGGTTTCATTAATTACAGACCCTAACCGGAAATAACCCACGTTTATCAGCTGGAGAATAGAGAAACCAACGAATAAACTGGAATTCCAACAATACTCAGCAGCTACTCAGTGACAAAAATGAATGAAATATTATTACTCTTAACTACATGGAAAAATCTCAAATATTGTTATGACAAGTGAGAGACCAAAGGACTACATAACATATGATTGCATGTCCATGAAATTCTAGAAATTTCATTATTACAGTAACAGAAAGCACAGCAGTGGTTGAGTGAAGAGAAGGGGGTGAGGGTGGGAGGCAAGGATTAAATAGAAAAGGGGCATAAGGAAAGTTTTTAGGGAAAAGAAACTGTCCTCTATCTGGGCAATGTGGTAGTTACATGACTATAAATAATTACCAATATTCATAAAACATTGTAGCTAAAACTGGTGAGTTTTATTATACACAAACGCCCCAATTAGGAAAAAAAAAGGTGGGGGAAGAAGGCAAAAATGAAGACACTTTTACATAATCCAAATCAGAAAATTCATTTCCTAGGGATCTTGTACTACGTATAATTTTGAAGGAAGTTCTTCAGGCTGAAGGGAAATGATACTAGATGGTGACCTAGATATATAGAAAGGGATAATTAACAACAGAAATTATGCACATACACAGATCACATACACACTCATTTTCTTAATGACAATATGAATGCTTAAAACAAAAAGTATTACTGTATTATTGAGTTTATAAAGTATATTGATGTAATATATACAACAAGAATAGCACAATGGTAGGTTACATGAAACTACACTCTTACAAGTGTCCTTTATTTTGCTGGATGCAGCTTAATATTACCTGAACTTCACCATGAAAAGTCAAGGAATCGGGTTTCAATTCTTACAACAATAAAAAATTAGTGTAAAGAAATATACCTAAAAGCCACTAGAATTAAAACCATAAACTAAAAAATGTTTACTTAACACATAAGAAAGTAGGAAAGGAGGAATAGAAACAAAAAGATACGAGACAAATTGAAAACATACAGCAAAATGGTAGACCAAAACCCAACCATTGTAAGTGAAGAAATGACACGACCTGAGTCACATTAGCAGAACTGCTGAGCACTGTGGGGAGAACAGACATGGGCAGGAAGTGAGGGACAGTGTTAGTGCCACAATTCAGGGGTGAGAGGGTGGCAGGGACTAAGGGGAGGGGAGGGTGTGAGGGATGAGAGGGGCAGAGAGAAGGGCTGGAGAGACAGGAAGTGAGGAAAAGGAGCAAGGGAAAGGACTCTAAAGCAGTGGAGGAGCCTAGCAGGGGGTTCTTGACATGCATTCGGTATTTAATACATTTTGTGGGACTGCCAAAAACTAATGGCCTCCTCATGATTAAAAACATAAGAGTAAAAAAATACCAAGTATGCAAATAAAATGTGCACACTGCTTAGATGTGCATAATTCATAAAAACAAGCAGTGCTTAAGCATTGATGATAGGCATTTTGACTTCAGTGCAATTTTGAGGCTCCTTGTTACAATATACAGTAACAAATCCTGCTTCTTTGTATTGAGATGTCCTGGACTCACACAGGGAAACTCGGGCTATGGAATGAAGATAATTTTAAATGCAACAACCCAGAGTCATGGATCCACAGTCTGGGAAAGTAAACTTAGAAGCTTTGTGACTCGAATTGCAATGCTGTTTGGATACACTTATATATGAAGCAGGCAAAATCAGGTCTTTTACAGATTAGAATCCTGATCATTCAGGGGTTAGATTGTGCTAACCACTGTATTAATAAACAAACAAACAAAAAAACCTGGTCACTATGAGAATCTCTATCTTGTGCCTTCAGCCACAACTTCACCAGGTTTAAAGAGAAAACCCCTTTCTCTACACCGCCATTCCCAAGGCGAGCTCACTCTCTGGCATCAAAGTTCCCTGGGGTGAGTTTTCTTCTAGGATAGTCCAAGGGGAGAGGTAAGGAGTCGGAAGTCCAGTTCAGGGACGAGGATTCCAGGATGAGCGTGAATGGGAAGGGGCTGGGCCCAGCCTGGGGGTTCTCTCCCTAGTTTCCACAGACAGATCCTTGACCAGGACTCAGGCAGTCAGTGTGACAAAGAGGCTGGCGTAGGAAAAGAGAGGTCAGGACAAAGTCCCAGGCCCCAGGCGTGGCTCTCTGGGTCTCAGGCCCCAAGAGCGATGACTGCACTGGGGAGTCACAGGGTTGGGGATTGCCCACTCCCCTGAGTTTTGGTTCTCCCAACCTTCTTCCTGGATACTTGTGACATAATCCCACTTCTCACTCCCATTGGGTGCCGGGTTTTTAGAGAAGCCAATCAGCTTCGCCGCGATCCCGGCACTACGATCCCGGCACTACAGTCCCGGCGCAACCACCCGCACTCAGATTCTCCCCAAACGCCAAGGATGGGGGTCATGGCTCCCCGAACCCTCCTCCTGCTGCTCTTGGGGGCCCTGGCCCTGACCGAGACCTGGGCCGGTGAGTGCGGGGTCGGGAGGGAAAGGGCCTCTGCGGGGAGAAGCGAGTGGCCCGCCCGGCCCGGGGAGCCGCGCCGGGAGGAGGGTCGGGCGGGTCTCAGCCTCTCCTCGCCTCCAGGCTCCCACTCCTTGAGGTATTTCAGCACCGCAGTGTCCCAGCCCGGCCGCGGGGAGCCCCGGTTCATCGCCGTGGGCTACGTGGACGACACAGAGTTCGTGCGGTTCGACAGCGACTCCGTGAGTCCGAGGATGGAGCGGCGGGCGCCGTGGGTGGAGCAGGAGGGGCTGGAGTATTGGGACCAGGAGACACGGAACGCCAAGGGCCACGCGCAGATTTACCGAGTGAACCTGCGGACCCTGCTCCGCTATTACAACCAGAGCGAGGCCGGTGAGTGACCCTGGCCCGGGGCGCAGGTCACGATCCCTCCCCATCCCCCACGGACAGCCCAGGTCCCGGGTCTGAGTCTCCGGTCTGAGATCCACCCCGAGGCTGCGGGACCTGCCCAGACCCTCGACCAGGGAAGAAACTCGGGCGCCTTTACCCGGTTTAATTTCAGTTTAGGCCAAAATCCCCGCGGGTTGGTCGGGGCGGGAGCGGGGCTCGGTGTTCGGGGCTGACGGCGGGGGCGAGGCCATGGTTCTCACACCATCCAGAGGAAGCATGGCTGCGACGTGGGCCCGACAGGCGCCTCCTCCGCAGGTATGAACAGTTCGCCTACGATGGCAAGGATTACATCGCCCTGAACGAGGACCTGCACTCCTGGACCGCCGCGAACACAGCGGCTCAGATCTCCCAGCACAAGTGGGAAGCGGACAAATACTCAGAGCAGGTCAGGGCCTACCTGAGGGCAAGTGCATGGAGTGGCTCCGCAGACACCTGGAGAACGGGAAGGAGACGCTGCAGCACGCGGGTACCAGGGGCCACGGGGGCGCCTCCCTCATTTCCTGTAGATTTCCCGGGCTGGCCTCCCACCAGGAGAGTAGGAAAATGGGACCAATGCTAGAATATCGCCCTCCCACTGGTCCTGAATGGGAAGAATCCTGGGTTTCCAGATCCTGTACCAGAGAGTAACTCTGAGAGCCCACCCTGCTCTCTGGGACAATTAAGGGATGAAGTCCCTGAGGAAATGGAGGAGAAGACAGTCCCTGGAATACTGATCCGTGGTCCCCTTTGACCCCTGCAGCAGCCTGGGGCACCAGGAATTTTCCTCTCAGGCCTTGTTCTCTCCCTCACACTCAGTGTGTCCGTGGCTCCGATTCCAGCTCTTCTGAGTGCCTTGGCCTCCACTCAGGTCAGGACCAGAAGTCCCTGCTCCCCCATCAGAGACTCGAACTTTCCAAGGAATAGGAGATTATCCCAGATTCCTGTGTCCAGGCTGGTGTCTGGGTTCTGTGCTCCCTTCCCCATCCCAGGTGTCCTGTCCATTCTCAGGATGGTCACATGTATGCTGCTGGAGTGTCCTATGAGGAATGCAAAGTGCCTGAATTTTCTGACTCTTCCCCTCAGATCCCCCAAAGGCACATGTGACCCAGCACCCCATCTCTGACCATGAGGCCACCCTGAGGTGCTGGGCCCTGGGCCTCTACCCTGCGGAGATCACACTGACCTGGCAGCAGGATGGGGAGGACCAGACCCAGGACACGGAGCTTGTGGAGACCAGGCCTGCAGGGGACGGAACCTTCCAGAAGTGGGTGGCTGTAGTGGTGCCTTCCGGAGAGGAGCAGAGATACATGTGCCATGTGCAGCATGAGGGGCTGCCAGAGCCCCTCACCCTGAGATGGGGTAAGGAGGGGTGTAAGTTGTCTCCTCTCAGGGAAAGCAGGAGACCTTCAGCAGGGCAGGGCTGAGGCCTGGGGGTCAGAACCCCTCACCTCCCTCTCCTTTCCCAGAGCCGTCTTCTCAGCCCACCATCCCCATCGTGGGCATCGTTGCTGGCCTGTTTCTCCTTGGAGCTGTGGTCACTGGAGCTGTGGTTGCTGCTGCGATGTGGAGGAAGAAAAGCTCAGGTAGGGAAGGGGTGAGAGGTGGGGTCTGGGTTTTCTTGTTCCACTGTGGGTTTCAAGCCACAGGTAGAATTGTGACTTGCTTCATCACTGGGAAGCACCGTCGACACACAGGCCGACCTAGCCTGGGGCCCTGTGTGCCAACACTTGCTCTTTTGTGAAGCACATGTGAAAACGAAGGACAAATTTATCACCTTGATGATTGTGGTGATGGGGACCTCCCAGCAGTCACAGGTCACAAGGGAAGATCCCTACTGAGGACAGACCTCAGGAGGGCAGTTGGTCCAGTCACCACACCTGCTTTCCTCATGTTTCCTGATCCTGCCCTGGGTCTGCAGTCACAGTTCTGGAAATTTTCCTGGGGTCCAGGATTTGCTGTTTCCTTAAGGACTTCATGCCCCATGTCCTCCCTGACCTCTCACAGGTTGTTTTTTTCTCACAGATAGAACAAGGAGGAGCTATGCTCGGGCTGCCTGTTAGTATGGGGGATTAGAGGGCTGCTCCCTGAGATCGTTGGGACAGTGTAGACAAGATTCCTCCTTTAGCCACATCTCCTGTGGGCTCTGACCAGTTCCTATTTTTGTTCTACCCCAGGCAGCAATTGTGCTCAGTACTCTGATGCATCTCATGATACTTGTAAAGGTGAGACATGGGGGGGCCTGAAGTGGGTGGGGGTGAGGCAGAGGGGACATGATTCTGTTGAGGGGTTCTCTGGATTTAGACATCTTGACCATGTGGTAGGCTGTTCAGAGTGTCACCAGGTACAGTGACTGCCCTGGATTTGTTTATGATTATTTTCTCCTGTAGCTTGAGACAACTGCCTTGAGTGGGACTGAGAGATACAAAATTTCTTCAGGTCCTTCCTCTGACACACACCATTGTAATTTCAAGAGCTCCTGACTTCTATATCTGCACTTGACACGTGAATATATCTATGTGTCTGTGTTCCAGTTAGCATAATGTGAGGAAATGGGCTACTGGTCCACCACTGCCACCAGGACCACCACCCCACACTAACCTGTCCTCTCTTCCCCGGTCAAGTTTTTTTTCAACAGAGGTGAGGCTGGGACATTTCTATTCATGTCTTAACTTTTAAGTTTCACTGAGCTGCCACTTACTCCACTATTCAAAATAAGAACCTGGATATGAATTTTTCAAATTCTTGCCATGAGGTTGGGTTGATTGTTCAATGAAAGGAGAGCAAGACTCTTAAAACTTGAGAGAGGAAGTAAAACCTGAGAGCCTTCCAGAATCCATTTTTGCTGTGCTGGGCCTGTTGTAGGTGGAGACAGGAGAGAGAGGGCTGTGAGGAGCTGAGTGTGGACAGCCTATGCTCAGTTCATCATGGAATTTGACGTGGTCATTCATTGGGTTGGTCATCTTCACTGCTCCATTGTTTGTGTCCCTTCAGTAGAACCTTGTTTCACCAGGACCTGTGATCACAGGCACACAAACATTGCCTGGGCCTTGTCCTGTCTCTAGGACCGTGGACAGCAAGGGCTTCATGGGCTGGGTCAGTCTATGGTCTGGCCCTAATATTTTGTATCATTATTTTTGGTTTCTTTGTTTCTGTAGAGGACTATGCCTGTTCCTGTTCTGGTGTCTGCGTTCTGATCTCTTTCTCCCCTGGGTGTCCCTCATCTCTGACAGCAGCAGGAGTCATTTTTCCTGTCATTAACCCCACAAGGTGGAAGGCAGCCCCTGCACACAGAAGTCTGTGGTATTAAGAGATGAATTTTCAAGCCCGTGCAGCTTTTACCCTATTTCCAGGGCTCTTTCTTGGATTGTATTTTCTATCTTTTCCCCAACCTTTTTAAAGGAACTAGATTCTGAAATTAGCAGAGAAGAGGGATGCCACAAGTTCTCATCTTAGGTAACTTTCTAGTGGAACTCCTCTTCTGCTCAGCTCTCCTACCCACTCTCCCTTCCCTGAGTTGTAGTAATCCTAGCACTGGCTCTAATGCAAACTCATGGATCTATAAAGCAAAGTCTAACTTAGATTTATATTTGTTTGGAAATTGGGATTCATAGTCAAAGATTGTTCTTTCCTAAGAGGGAAATATAATTGCATGCTGCAGTGTGCAGAGGGTTGGTGTGAAGGAGGGATGCAGGGAGGAAGGGAGGGAGGACACACAAGCAGCACTGCTGGGAAAAGCACAGGCGGCCTGGATGTCAGTGTGAGGGGACCTTGTGCTGTCGTTGCTGCAAAACCGCATTTGGCCTGAGGCTATGTTAATAAAGATACTGCCTTTAGAATAGGAGGTGCTCTACAGTGATGATTCATTCAGCCGACATTTGCTGTCTGCCAGACATATGACAGAATGTTTTTGCATCTGGGGAAAGTCATTGAAGTAAAATCAGAAAAATCTCTAGCCTTGTGGAGCATGTGTTCCAGTGGGAAGAGGCAGACGGTACATACACTCTAATATATGCAGAGTAAATGAGGAAAGTGTTAGAAGGTGATAAGTGCTGTGGAACAGGTGATCAGAGTATGGGTTGTGGGACAGAGAAGGTAGCTATTGTGCCGGGGTTGTCAGCGTGGGCCTTGTTGGGAAGGTGACCTTTGATGAAATATTTGAAGGACATAAAGGAATTTGTCATGAGGGTATCTGGAAGAAGTTTTTTCTAGGGAGTAGGAACCTTCAGTGTCAGTGTACCAGGGCAGGATCATGTCTGTGTGTTCTGGGAAGAACACGGGATCGGGTATGGCTAGAGCAGAGAGTCACTGAGATAAGGTCAGGGGTTTGGTCAGATCATGTGGGCATAGGGCTCAAGTATGTGGGAAGGATTTTGATTTTGAATGAGATAGTTTTAAGCAGAATAAAGACATGCCACAACTTCTCTTTTAAAAGGATCACTGTAGCTGCTCTGCTGAGAACAGAATCCAAAGGCCGGCGATGAGCAAGGCAGGTGGGAAAACTGTAGGAAATGAGTGCAGTATTTCAGGCTGGAGATGTCGGTTACTTCAACTGGGGTGTGAGCAGTGGAAATAGTGGGACGTGATTGGATTCCTACTATTTCCAATCACTTTATACCGCATTTTCTAATGGACTAAATCTGGGGTATGAGAAAGAAGAGTAAAGGATACCAAAAATGTCAGACTGTGACTAAAAAGAGTTGCCATCAGCTGAGAATGAGAAGACTAGCAGGAGCATATGAGAGGAGGGGACGTCGCAGGCAGTCACTATGGGAGACGTGGGATCTGAGATGCCGCTGAGAAATACCAGTGAGGTAGTCGGGTTGGCAGTTGGACAGATGAATCTGGAGACATTTAGGAGAAATAGACTTGGGAGGTGATGTCATATAACAGTTATTTAAAGCCTTGAGTCTGAATGACGTCTCCAAGGGAGTGATTGGCTGTAGAAGAGAACAGGAACAAGGACTGAACACTAGGCCTCTGTTGCTAAAGGATCTGATCAGACAACACACCTAGATCAGACTGCACAGTCCTGACCCCACATCTAGAAGGTACATAGACCAGGGAGTTCTAGACTTTCCTGTGGACAGGAATCACCTGGACATCACCTTAAGTCTAAGCTGATCTGGAATCGAGAATGAGATTTCCTACTTATATAATGTTGCTGTTGGCGCTGATGCTGCTGGTCTTCAGATCCCACTTTTGGTAGCAAGAACACAGACCAGGATTCCTAGGCTATGCATCAGCCTCGCCTGTGAGGCTTGTTAATAAGCAATTCCTGCACTCCATGCGCAACATTCTGACACAGGGGCATCTGTGGAGAGGCCTGAGTATTCTACAACAAGCCCACAGCAAACCTGGTGCTCAGCCAGATTTGATATCACTGAGATCAGTAGTTGGAGAATGCCCAGGATGGGGAGGGGTCTCAGACCCACATTTAAGTGTTGCTTTATTCTGGGTTTTTTATTTATTTATTTATTTATTTTTAAGGAGGATGTGTTTCTTTAATTATAAGACAGGATGCTGAGAGATAAATGTCATTTTCTCTATCATGGGGTATAGCCAGATGGAAGATTGAGAAGTGGCTCACAGCTCAGCAGAATGAAAAAATATCTGAATGCTGCTTTCTGAAACTACTCTCCAGAATGATTTCACACTCACTCCTTGGAGCAAACAATGACTTGCAAATTTTTCTAATTTAAACATAAAGGAGTGTACATATTGGTATTAGTATTCATTTTATTTTGGGGAAGGGCACTGTATTAGTCCATAGTCCGTTTTCACACTGCCGATAAAGACATACCCAACATTGGGAAGAAAAAGAGGTTTAATTGGACTTACAGTTCCATTTGGCTGGGGAGGCCTCAGAATCATGGTGGGAGGCGAAAGGCACTTCTTACATGGTGGTGGCAAGAGAAAATGAGGAAGAAGCAAATGCCAAAACCCCTGATAAACACATTGGATCTCAGGAGACTTATTCATTATCATGAGAATAGCATGGGAAAGACTGGCCCCCATGATTCAATTACCTCCCCCTGGGTCCCTCCCACAACATGTGGGAATTCTGGGAGATACAATTCAAGTTGAGATTTGGGTGGGGACACAGCCAAACCACATTGGACACAGAACCAGGTTTGAAGCTACACAGCCAGGAACATAATCCACAGCCACCCTAATTCAGATCTCTCATAGGAACCACTGTCCCTGCTCCTGAGCACAGATGCTACTGCATATACCTCTGATACCCTGATGGCCGACACTGGGCCCTGTGGCAAAGACTGCTATCACTGCTGCTCCTGAGAACTGCTCCACTACTGCTCCTCAGCCATCTTTACCAAAATGCAGTATTTACTGTCCCAGCCTCTCTGTGTCATCTCATCCTGATTAGAAGCCCACATGTGGTTATCTAAATTGTGCAGCCAAAGCCTCTTGCAGTGTTTAACTGCAATAATGTTGGGGAAAGTGAATTTTTCTCCTTTGTAGAAGGAGGTAGTCCCTGCCTTCTAATAAGACTCTTCAACATAGGAAGAGAATTCAGTTGCTGGAGGTAGAGGGGTGAGGGATGGAAAAAGAATGACAAATTTCAATTCCTAGAATCATGTTCTGAGACTAGAACTTTATCTAGTACATTGCAGGCACCTGGGTTTGGTTGAGTGTATAATAAATGACATAGTTCAACTTATTCCCTTGACAGTTTGTTTTGGGGTCCAGCTTTTGTCTACCCCAGTTTTCACACACAGATACGTGGAGAAGCATTGTGTGATGGTAAAATGTTTACTTGAAAGCCTTTTTCCCTATCTTTGTCTCTTGCTAGGATTAAAAACCCGTATCTGTAAGACATCAGAGGATCCATGTATACACTGACATTTTATATAAATTTTTAATATTTTGTTCTATCTGCACATGCTCCTAGGGAGAGTTATCTATACATTCACCAGTTTTAATGTGACTGCTCACAGAAGCCTAAAAAACCATCCTAATTTAGATGCCATTTTACTCAAACTATTGTATGAACAGCTGATAACCATACTGTTTTTAGAAGACCCAGTGACATGGTATAAATGCTCATCTTTTGCTTGACTGTTACTAGTCTGGGATGAGATAAAGTAGAGGTTTACTTGCATAGTTCACTCACAATTTCTATATGTATAGTATTGTGGGCTGCTAACAAACAGTCCACAGACCAGTGCTAGCCCACAGACTGCACTTTGAGAGTAGCATTGGTCTAGATGTACTTGTATTCCAGCATCTACCTCGGTGTCAGATTAATGGCAGGAATTAATCAGTAGCGAATGGGGATTCCATTTCCGGTAATAGGGTGAACTAGGTTTTAAAGCTGCCTCTTCTACCAAAAACAACTAAAAAAGAGATGAAATGTGAAAATCACCCAAAAGTATAGAAATATAAAAAAGGGAATAATCTTTTTGGTCAAAATATAAATGTGGGCAGGATTTAGAAAAAGGGAAGTTGCTTTTATCTTGAGGGCGTTTGCCAAATCTGGAAAAATCTTAGCTTTGGTTTTCTCAGCTTCATATGGTATAGTGCAAAGGAGGTAATTCTCAGAACTTGTTTGTATAGGGAGTATAAGAGGAGACACTTTTGTGTACCCCATGAAATATGGGAAACAAAAGATGTGTTTCCTCAGAGTAAGAAAAGAAAATCTGTTTCATCCCCCAGCACAAGAGTATTCTAAAGAAATTTGCCTTTGAGTCAGCAAAACCTGTTTTTGAGAATTTACAACCACCAGCCAGCACTCCTGCAGATTTGTTGCCCAAACTAGCTTTACCGTTTTGGGCCAAAATAACCTCAAAGCATGATTTTGATTAATAATTGTCCTGGATTAGCGATGATCCAAAAATTGGAAGAAGGAAACAAAAATCTTTATAGGAATGCATATTTAACCCATATGTCAAAGAATTTGCCCAAATAATTCTACAAGGAAAAAGCTGCTCAGAGCATGAACTGTATAAAGTACAAGTGGAGAAAAGTCAGTCTGATTGAGAACCAGTGGAAACAATAGATAAGAGGCTCATAAAGCTTCAATATTTGAATTATGAAACAAAATAACGTAACTAGTATTACATTTAAAATAATTATGAGCTGGGCACGGTGGCTCATGCCTGTTATCCCAGCACTTTGGGAGGCTGAGGCAGGCGGATCACCTGAGGCTGGGAGTTTGAGACCAGCCTGACCAACATAGAAAAACCCCGTCTCTACTAAAAATAGAAAATTAGCTGGGCGTGGTGGCACATGCCTGTAATCCCCGCTACATGGGAGGCTGAGGCAGGTGAATCACTTGAAACTGGGAAGTGGGCATTGTGGTAAGCCGAGATTGTGCCACTGCACTCCAGCCTGGGCAACAAGATCAAAACTCTGTATCAAAATAATAATAATAATAATAATAATAATAATAATAATAATAATAATGACAAGCTTGAAAATGCCTACAGAATGTATTAACCTAAAAATGACCTGTTTTTCAAAAGAACTAAAGTTAGTTTTTAGGAAGTAAAATTAACTTTGATTTTAAAATTTTTAACTTAGTTGAATTAAAAATTGAAAAGTCATGATCTATTGACTTTTGCTTTGGATTATGATGGAATAACAAGGACCAGATTTACTCTCATGCCTTAAGCACAACAAACTCAAAATAATATATGAAAAAATAGCTATGTACTCAGATACTAGACAGCAGGTATCCCAGAGACTGTGATCTCTGGGAGAAGGGGAATGGAAAAGGTAAGGTCTACAGTTGTCCAGCTTCCTTCCTGGACAGAGTTTCCAAGGCAGAGTGCAGAGAGGCAGAGCCCTAACCAGGAGGTTCACTGAGGTGAGGGGACAGAGTTGTGAACTTGGAGATTCCAGGACATCCAGAATATGCAAAGATGAAGGCACATAGAAAAGACAGCTGATGATAAAAAGCACTGTAAGTCTGCAGGAGGTACCCCTCAAATTTTCAGTTAATCAGCATATTATATAAGGGAACTACCCAAAGACAGGGAAAGAATTATCCGAAAGGACTTCAGAGAATAGTACCCAGTGATATACAGGGCTGGAAATAATGCCTGTTCCCACTAGCCAGACTGGAAAACCTCATAATTTGCTGAGCATTGGATAGAGTATTCTGAAGGGTCTTATGTCAGCAGTGGTAAATAATTAGCCCTGGACTAAACACTTTTTGTTTTTTTGCTAAAAGATATTAAAAGACTTAAAATGATCAAACAGCTCCTGAATAACTTAATTTGTCCCAGTAAAAATAAAAAGCTCAGCCGGGCACGGTGGCTCATGCCTGTAATCCTAGCACTTTGGGAGGCCAAGGTGGGCAGATCACCTGAGGTTGGGAGTTCGAGACCAGCCTGACCAACATGGAGAAATCCCGTCTCTACTAAAAATACAAAATTAGCTGGGCATGGTGGCGCATGCCTATAATCCCAGCTACTCGGGAGGCTGAGACAGGAGAATTGCTTGAACCCAGGAGGCAGAGGTTGCAGTGAGCCAAGTTCTCACCATTGCACTCCAGGCAACAAGAGGGAAACTCTGTCTCAAAATAATAATAATAATAATAAAGCTCATGAATACTTATAGAATGCAAAAATATCTGGCACCTAACCTGGTAAAGTCATGTCTGGCATTAAATAAAAACAATCACCAGGCATATAATAAAAACAAGAAAATACAACTCAGAAGGCAGAGAAAACCATCAGTCTAAAGTTACCTAGAACTGACATAGATGTCAGAATTAGCAGGCAATAACATAAAACGGTTATTGTAAATGTATTCCATATGTTCAAAAAGTTACACAGAGACATGAAAGATACATAAAACATCAAAATCAAACTTCCAAAGATGAAAATGTCAGACATAAAATACACTGGATGTGAGGTGAGATTAATGGTAAACTTTATGCTGTAGATTAAACAGTGACTTTGAAGACATAGAAATAGAAACTTTCTGGGCCAGGTGCGGTGGCTCAAGCCTATAATCCTAGCACTTTGGGAGGCTTAGATATAGAAGGAATGTATCTTACCAGGATAAAGGCTATGACAAACTCACAACTAACATCATACTCAATGGCGAAAGTTGCATACTTTTCCTGTAAGATCAGGAACAAGACAATGATGCCCACTCTGGCCACATCTATTCAACATTGTACTGATAATTCTAGGCAGAGTAATTAGGGAAGAAAAAGAAAAGGGATCTAAACTGGAAAAAAAGAAGTCAAATTGCCTCTGTTTGTAGATCACAAGATCTTATATATGGAAACCCCAAACACTCCACCAAAATACTACTGGCACTGAAAAAAAAAATCAGTGAAGTTGCAGCATACAAAATCAGCATACAAAAATTAGTGGTACTTTTATATACTTACCAAAAACTGTCTGAAAAAGAAATCAAGAAAATAATCTCAGTTATAACAGTATCAAAAAGAATAAATTAGGAATAAATTTGATCAAGGAGCTGAAAGATCTGCACACTGAAAGCCATAACAGTGACAAAAAAAATTGAAGAAGCCACAAATAATTGGAAAGATATCCTTGTTCTTGGATCAGAAGAATCATATTGCGAAAATGTCCATACTACCCAAAGCAATCAACAGATTTAATGTAACCCCTATCAAAATTCCAATGGGATTTTTAACTGAATTAGACAATCTCAAAAGTCGTATGGAACCACAAAAGAACTGCAATAGCTAAAGCAATCTTCAACAAGAACAAAGCTGGAGGCATCACACTTCCTGATTTAACATGATACTACAAAGCTATATTAATGAAAACAGTATGGTACTGGCATAAAAACAGCACATAGAATAATGGAATAGAACAGAAAGCTCAGAAATAAATCCATGCATATACAATTAACTAATCTTTGAAAAGGTGTCAATAATATATAATAGGGAAAGGATACTCTCCTACATATATAGTGATGGAAAAACTGGATATCCACATGGAAAAAAATAAAACTGCATCCCGATCTTACACCATATGCAAAATCAACTCCGAATAGATTAAAGATGTAAATGTAAGACCTGAAACCACAAAACTTGGAGAAGAAAGCAGGTGAAAAGCTCCGAGACATTGGCCTTGGCAATGATTTTTTTGGGGGTATTACCTCAAAAACATATGCCAAAAAAGCAAAATTAAACAAGTGAGACTACATTAAAGTTTTTGCACAGCAACACAACAATAAACAAAATGAAAAGGCAAACCACAGAATGAGAGAAAATATTTGCAAACCTTATATTCACTAATGGGTTAATATGTAAAGTCTATAGACTCCATAGAACTTAATAGCAAAAAACAGATAACCCAGTTCAAATATGGGCAAAAGACCCGAATAGACATTTTTCAAAAAAGACATACAAATGACCAAGAAGTATATGAAAAGGTGCTCAACATCATTAATCATCAGAGAGCTGCAAATCAAAACTGCATTGACATATCACCTTACATCAGTAAGAATAGCCATTAACAAAAAGACAAGAGATAATCAGTGTTGGTAAACTGTAGAGAAAGGGAACCCTTATACATGGTTGGTAGGAATGTGAATTGGTAAAAGCATAATGGAATACAATATAGATGTTCTTCAAAAAATTAAAAACATAACTACCATATGATACAGTAATCCTACTTCTGGGCATATATAAAAAATGAAATCAGTAAAGAAATTTCTGTACCCCCATATTAATTGCAGCACTATTCACAATGGCCAAGATATAGAAACAAAGTAAGTGTTTATTGATTAATGGATGAATAAAGACATTGTGATACACACACATACACACACACACGAATATTATTCAGACATGAAAAGGAAGGAAATACTGCCATTTGTAACAACATGGATAAATCTGAAGGACATTATGCTAAGTGAAATAAGACAAACACAGAAATAAAAATACTGTATGATCTCATTTATATGTGTAATCTATAAAGTGGAATTCAGAGAAACAGAGGTAGAAACAGTCAGTTGAATTAACTTAACTTTGACCTGAGGCTGCCTGTGTACCTAAGTAAGTAGGTAAACAAATCAAAACCTAAGTTAGGAGTATAACTGTTAGCTGGGGTTCACCCAATCACAAGCAGCCAGCTCATCACACCATGCCCAAATAAGGCAAATGCCTAGCTGTAGCCAATCAGGTGATTTTTCTTCTTCTGTGTCTGGCACATAAAGGCTTGCTGTGCACACTCCTGGGTGGAGCTTTCTGACCCTCTCCTGGTTCTGAGTGCTGCCAAATTTGTAAATTATTTTTTGCTTAAATAAACTCTTCTAAATTTAGTTTGTCTAAAGTTGATGGAATTTTTTTTTTTTTTTTTTTTTTTTTTTTTTTTAGGGGTTACTAGGAGTCATGGTTAGGGGAAATGGGGAGATGTTGGTAAAAGTTTACCAACTTGCAGTTATAGGGTGAATAAGTTCTGGAAACCTAATGTACAGTGTGAAAGGAAAAATAATCTCAGGTCCCCAAAATCACTAAGCCAAAGTGATTTGGGCTTACAACAGGATGGCAACTATTGGTATACTTGAAATTTACTAAGAGAATAGATCTTAAGTATTCTCACCACACACAAAAATATTAACTATGTGTCATAGATATGTTAATTAGCTTGATTGTGGTAATCATTTCACAATATATATGCATTTTAAAAATCATGTTGTACAACTTGAATGTATATAATTCTTGTTTGTCAATTATGCTTCAATAAAGCTAGGGAAAAATAAAATACTTAGAAATAAATGTAATAAAAGAAGTACGAAATTTATACTACAAAAAAACCGACAATATTTTTACAGAAATCAAAGAACTAAATAAATAAAAAGATGTTCTATTTTTATGGATCAGAAGACAATATTATTAAGATGGCAGTATATCAAAATTGGTCTACAAATTCAATGCAGTTCTATCAAAATCCCAGCTGACTGCTTTGCAGAAACTGACAAGATGATATTAAAATTTATATGGAAATTCAGTGAACTACAAAAGTTACAAAACTTTTGACAAAGAACAGAGTTTGAGGAACTATACTTGCTCATGGCAAAAGTTACTACAAAGCTGCAATAATCAATACAGAGTGATACTGACATAAGGATAGACATACAGATCAATAGAATAGAGAGGCTAGAAATAAAAGTTTATAATTATGGTCAATTAAATTTCAAAAATACTGCCAAGGCAATTCAGTGGGGGAAAGAAAAATCTTTTCGAGAAATTATACACAACTCAATAGCAATAAAACAAATAACCTAATTCAAAAATGGACAAAGGACCTGAATAGACATCTTTCCAAAGAAGACATACAAATGACCAACAGGTATATGAGATGGTGCTGAACGTAACTAATCAGAAAAATGCAAATCAAAATTGCAATGAAGTGTTACCTCACACCTGTCAGAATAGTTATTATCAAAAAGATAAGAGGTAATAAGTGTTAATGAGGGTGTAGAGGAAAGGGAATCCTTATACATGGTTGGTGGGAATGTAAATTGGTATAAGCATTATGGAAAACAGTATGGTTTTTCCTCAAAAAATTAAAACGATCTTTCCTTAAAAAAATTAAAAACAGAACTACCAGTATATGATCCAGCAGTTTTACTTCTGGGCCTGTATCCAAGGAAAATGAAATCAGTATCTCAAAGAAATATTTGCACCCATATGTTTATCACAGCATTATTTCCTGGAAATAACCTGAATGTCTGTCAACTGATGAATGGATTAAACATATGTTTTACTCTATTTTATGCTGCTATAACACAATATCACAGACTGGGTAATCTATAACAAATAGAAATGTATTTTCTCTCGGTTCAGGAGGCTATGAATCCAAGATCAAGGCACTGGCTAATGGTGAGAGCCATCTTGCTGCATCATCACATGGCTGAAGGTAGAAGGGCAAGTAAAGTACAGAGAACACACTCCTGGAAGCCCTTTTATAAAGGCATTAAAACCACCCCCAAGGGTGGAACCCTCATGGTCCAATCACCTCTCAAAAGTCTCACCTCCTAATAATGTTACAATAGCAATTAAATTTCAATATGCAGCTGGGTGCAGTGGCTCACTCCTGTAATCCCAGCACTTTGGGAGGCTGAGGTGGGAGGACTGCTTGAGTCCAGGAGTTCAAGACCAGCCTGGGCAACATAGTGAGACCCCATCTCTACAAATATATATATACTTCAACCCATGTTGAAATATAAATGGGTTGAAACAACATGGGTTTTGGAGGGGACAAAAATTCAAACCATAGCAATATGGTGTGTATGTATACACACACACACAAAATGGAATAATAGCCACAGAAAAAGGAAGTACTGACATTTGCAACAACATGGATGAACCTGGAGGATATTATATTAAATGAAATAAGCCAGACACAGAAAGACAAATATTATATAACCTCATATTTGCAATCTAAAACAAGTGAAACTCCTAGAAACAGAGGTAGAACGGTGGTTACCAGGGGCTTGAGTGGGAGAAATGGGGAGATGTTGGTCAAAGGGTGCAAATTCTCAGTTATATAATGAACAAGTTCTAGAAATCTAATGTTCAGTATGGGCAGTAATGGATTTGTTAATTTGGTTGCAATAATAATCATACAATGTATATGTGTATTAAATTATCATGATGTATGCCATGCACAACTTTGTCAATTAAATGTTTTTTAAATATGAAATGGCCAATGGTTAAAAAAAATTGTGCTGATGTAACTGTATATCCACCTGCAAAAGAATGAAGTTTGACCCTACCTCATATCATATACATAAATGACTTAACATGGACCAAAGACCTAAATGTTAGTGCTAAAACTATAAAACTTACAAACAAAAATGTATGCAAAAACCTTCATGACCTCGGATTAAGCAGTGTTTTTTAAATATGACACCAAAACACAAGTAACAATAAACCAAACAGATAAATTCTATCTCAACAAAGTTTAAAACTCTGTGTTCCAAAGAATACAATCAAAAAAGTAAAAATACCACCCTCAGGCTAGGAGAAAGTATATATAAATCTTATATGTGAGAAAGAATTAGTATATAGAACACACAAACTCTTACAAGTCAAAAATTAAAAGACAAATAATACAAGTAAAAAATGAACAAAGGGCTGAATAGATACTTCTCCACAGGAGATAGAAAGATGGCTAATAAGAATATGAAAAGATGCTTGGCACTATTAATCATCAGGGAAATGCAAATTAAAAGCACAGTGATATACCCCTGCACGGTCACTGGAATAGCTAGAATAAATAAGACAGATATCAATAAGCAGTGGTGAGGATGTGGAGAAATTGGAATTCTTGCACACTGCTGGTAAGAATGTAAAATGGTGCAGCCTCTTAAAGAATAGCTTGGCAGTTCCTCAAAGTTTGAATGTAGAATGAGTATTTGACCCAGCAATTCCATTCCCAGGTATATACCCAAGAGAAATGAAAACATGTCCATGCAAAAATTTGTACATAATGGTCAAGCAGCATTATTCTCAATGGCTGAAGAGTGGAAACAATACAGATGCCCAGGAACAAATGAATGAATAAGATATGGTCAATCTATGGAACGGAATATTTGGCCATAAAAAGAAATGCAGTACTAATAAATGCTGCAATGTGGATGAACCTTGAAAACATTATGCTATGTGAAAGACGCCAGTCACAAAAGACCATCCATTATATTATTTCATTTATATGAAATGTCTATAAGAAATAAATTTGTAGAGAGAAAGTAGATTAGTGGTTGCCTAGGACTGAGGAAATGTTGGAGGGAAAAATGGGGATGACTGCCTGAGAATAAATATACATGGGTGATGAAAATGTTCTAAAAATAGTTTTGGAGTGATGAACATGTTCTACAATTGATTGTGGTGATGGTTGCACTATAAATATGCTAAAAACCATTGAGTTTAAATGGTTGAATAATATATGAATTTTATCTTAATGAAACTGTTCTAATGAAAAATGATGGCTCACATGAAATAAAATCGATGTGCCAGAGCTGCCATGGCAGATTGTGGAGAAAGAGACCAAAAGGCTCAGAGCAGTGAGCATGCTGGCATAGATAGATACACTCTATAAAACTGGATCATGCACTGGGTGACTGTTTATTTGGAAGGGCCCAAAGGAAACTCTGTTTATCAGGCAGCAAGTCATGGGCAGGTGAACGGGGTATTAACCTAATTTTGTCCTTTGTGGGCTGGAGCTGACTCTATGAGATGATATTGGAGAACTTGGTGCCCTAGCAACAATAGGACAGTAGGATTCCAGAAAGCTAGAGGCCAGCTGGCAGCAAGGCAGAATCAAAATGGACAAAATCCCCAAAATAGTGAGTAATGTTAGAATGGAAGCCAGGAAATCCTGACTGCAAGGGATTTAGGGAAATTATTAAGACTATGGTGTTTCTAGTTGGGCAGCCTATAAGACTGTTGTTTAATATTAGAATCAATAGATGAAAAATAGATGAGCTGAAGTCTGAGATTAATTTCTCCAATAGAAGTTTAAAATCCCTTGCCCAGTTTCCAGACCTGAGCCAGTGCTTAGATCCAGAATCCATTCATTGAAGGAGAGTCACGTCCCCTGATGAAGTATCTGCAACACCATAAGTGTGTACAGTAGACACTTTCTACACCCTTCCCTAAAGGGATCAATGGCCATTTACTCAGGTATCAAGACACTGATAAAGGGGAATGTCCAGATATTTTCAGGTCTATTGGATACAGGGTCCAATTTCACACTGATACCTGGGGAACCAAAGCACCCTCATGGACTTCTATTAGAGGAGAGCCACACAGGGAACTGAAAATAATTTCCTGTCTCAGGTCCACCCGTATCTCCGTGGATTCTCTGTGTCCACACATCTGCTTGGTGGTTATTTTTCTGGTTTCCAAATATGTAATTGATGGATTTATTTTGTACATTAGTTATTTCACTCACACTTTAGTCATTTCACCTGTGGAATAAAGGATTTGTAGTAAGAAAGGCCAAGTGGATGCCCCTAAGAGAGCTTCTAATATCGACCAAGATAGAAATTTTAAAACAATGTAGTATTTGAGGGGCAATGAAATAAACTGTCACTCAAAGACATAAAAGATGCAGGGGTTGTGGTTTCATCATCAACTATTGAATTTACCACTCCAGTTCTAGCAAAAATTGGATGGATGATAACAGATGACAGTGGATTAATGAAAATGTAACCTATAATTAGCCCCAACTTCAGCAGCTGTGCTGAATGTGATATGTTTAAAAAAAAAAGATTTATTGTTTTTGTATATTATATAATGCCATTGATCTGCCTAAATGCATTCTTTTAAATACCTATAAAAAGGAGGGCCAGAAGCGAGTTTTATTCACAGAGGACAAATAATAATACATTTTAAAAAATATTTTATTTTTGATTTTCAATTTTTGTGGGTACATAATAGCTGCATATATTTATGGGGTACATGAGATGTTTTGATACAGGTATGCAATGTGAAATAAGCACATCATGGAGAATGGGGTATCCATTCCCTCAAGCATTTATCCTTTGAGTTACAAACCATTCAATTACACTATTTTTAAATGTGCATTATTGACTATAGTCCCCCTATTGTGCTATCAAATAGTAGGTCTTATTCTTCTAAATTTTTTTTTACCGATTAAACATCCCCACCTTCCCTTCAGCCCCCCACTACCATTCCTAGCCTCTGGTAACCATTCTTCTACTCTTTATGTCCATTAGTTCAATTGTTTTGAATTTAGGTCCCACAAATAAGTGAGAACATGCCATGTTTGCCTTTCTGTGCCTGGCTTATTTCATTTAACATAATGATCTCCACTTCCATCCATGCTGTTGCAAATGACTGGATCTCATTCCTTTTTATGGCTGAATAGTACTTCATTGTGTATACATACCAAATTTTCCTTATCCATTCATCTGCTGTTAGACATTTAGGTTGCTTCCAAATCTTAGCTATTGTAAACAGTGTTGTAAAAAACATAGGAGTGCAGATACCTCTTCCATATACTGATTTTCTTTTTTGAGACAGGGTCACACTTTGTCACCCAGGCTGGAGTGCAGTGGCATGATCTTGGCTCACTGCAACCTCCACCTCCTAGGTTCAAGTGATCCTACCTCAGCCTCCACAGTAGCTAGGACTATAGGTGTGAACCACTACAACTGCCTAATTTTTTTTTTGTATTTTGTAGAAATCAGGTTTTGCCATGTTGCTCGGGCTGGTCTTGAACTTCTGGGCTCAAGTGATCTGCCCTCCTCGGCCTCCCATAGTGCTGGGATTACAGGTGTGAGCCACCATGCAAAACGCTGGTTTTGTCTTTTGTGGGGTATATACCCAGCAGTAGGATTGTTGCATCATATCGCAACTCAATTTTTAGTTTTCTGAGGAACCTCTAAACTGTTATCCATAGTGGTTGTACTAATTTACATTCCCATCAACAGTGTACGAGGGTTCCCTTTTATCCACATCCTCACCAGCATTTGTTATTGCCTGTCTTTTGGATATAAGCCATTTTAACTGGGGTGAGATTATATCTCATTGCAGTTTTGATTTGCATTTCTCTGAGGATCAATAATCATCAGCACCTTTTCATATGCCTGTTTGTCATTTTTATGTCCTTTCTTTTTTTTCTTTTTCTTTTTTTTGAGACAATGTCTCTCACTCTGTCGCCCAGGCTGGAGTGCATTGGTGCAATTATGATTCACTGCAGGCTCAAGTGATCCTCCCATCTCAGCTTCCTAAGTAGCTGGGACTACAGGTGTGCACCACCACTCCCAGCTATTTTTTATTTTTGTATTTTGCAGAATTGGGGTTTGACCATATTGCTCAGTCTGGTCTCAAACTTCTGGGCTCAATTCCATCTGCCTTGGCCTCCTAAAGTGCTAGGATTAGAGGCATAAGCCACTGTACCTGGCTTTGTATGTCTTCTTCCTTTTTCTTTTCTTTTTTTTTTTTTTTTTTTTTTTTTTTTGTGAGACGGAGTCTCACTTTGTTGCCCAGGCTGGAGTGCAGTGGTGTGATCTCGGCTTACTGCAACCTCTGTCTCCCAGGTTTAAGCGATTCTCCTGCCTCAGCCTCCTGAGTAGCTGGGATTACAGGTGTGCGCCACCATGCCTGGCTTATTTTTGTATTTTTAGTAGAGACGGAGTTTCACAATGTTGGTCAGGCTGGTCTCGAACTCCTGACCTCAAGTGATCCACCCGCCTGGGCCTCCCAAAGTGCTGGGATTACAGGCATGAGCCACCACGCATGGCCTGTATGTCTTCTTTTGAGAAATGTCTATTCAAATCTTTTGCCCATTTTTTTACTTAGACTTTTAGAATTTTTTTTTTTTTTTTTTTTACTATAGAGTTGTTTGAGCTTCTTATATACTCTGGTTATTATTTCTTTGTCAGATGGGTAGTTTGCAAATATTTTCTCCCATTCTGTGGGTTGTCTCTTTATTGATTGTATCCTTTGCTTTGTAGAAGCTTTTAAACTTGATGTGATACTATTTGTCCAGTTTTATTTTGGTTGCCTGTGCTTGTGGGGTATTGCTCAAGAAATTTTTGGCCAGACTACTGTCCTGGAGGTTTTCCCCAATGTTTTCTTATAGTAGTTTCATGTTTGAGGTCTTAGATTTAAGTCTTTATTACATTTTGAATTTATTTTTTATTTTTTGAGATGGAGTCTTGCTCTGTCGCCAGGCTGGAGTGCAGTGGCACAATCTCAGCTCACTGCAACCTCCACCTCCTGGGTTCAAGCGATTCTCCTGCCCCAGCCTCCTGAGTAGCTAGGACTGCAGGCACATGCCATCACGCCCAGCTAATTTTTGTATTTTTAGTGGGTGGGGGGGGGTGAGTTTCACCATGTTGGTCAGGATGGTCTCAATCTCTTCACCTCGTGATACGCCTGCCTCAGCCTCCCAAAGTGCTGAGATTACAGGTGTAAGCCACCATGCCTAGCCTTGATTTGACTTTTGTCTACAGTGAGAGGTAGGGGTCTAGTTTCATTCTTCTGCATATGGATATCCAGTTTTCCCAGCACCATTTCATTGAAGAGACTGTCTTTTCTTTTCTCCAGTATAAGTACTTGGCAACTCTGTCAAAAATGAGTTCCCTGTGAGTGTGTGGATTTGTTTCTAGGTTCTCTATTCTGTTCTGTTGGACTATGTGTCTGTTTTTATGTCAGTACCATGCTGTTTTGGTGATTATAGCTCTGTAGCATAATTTGAAGTCAGGTAATGTGATTCCTCCAGTTTTGATCTTTTTGCTTAATATAATTTTGGCTATTCTGGGCATTCTGTGTTTTCATATAAATTTTGGGATTTTTTTTTCTATTTCTCTGAAGACTATTATTGGTATTTTGATAGGGATTGCATTAAATCTGTAGATTGCTTTGGGTAGTATGGACATTTTAACAATATTGATTCTTCCAATCCATAAAGATGGAATTTTTTCCATTTTTTTTGTGTCCTCTTCAATTTCTTTCATCAATGTTTTATAATTCTCCTCATAGATATCTTGCACATTTTTGGTTAATTCCTAGGTATTTAATTTTATGTGTGGCTATTGTAAATGAAATTACCTTCTTAAATTTAAAATTTTTCAAATTGTTCACTGTTGACATATAGAAATGCTACTGGTTTTTATATGTTGATTTTGTGTCCTGCAACTTTACTGAATTTATTGATTCTAATAGTTTTCCTGTGGAGCCTTTAGGTTTTTTCCAAATATAAGTTCATATCATCTGCAAACTAGGGTAATTTAACTTCTCCCTTTCCAGTTTGGATGGCCTTTATATCTTCTCTTGTCTGATCGCTCTAGCTAGAACATCCAGTACTTTGTTGAATAACAGTGGTGACAGTGAACATCCCTGTTGTGTTCCAGATCTTATAGGAAAGTCTTTCACTTTTTCCCCATTCAGTATGATACTAGCTGTGGGTCTGTCATATCTGGCTATTACGTTGAGGTATATTTCTTTTATACAGTTTTTTGAGGGTTTTTATCATGAAGGGATGTTGGATTTTATAAACTACTTTTTCAGCATCAATAGAAATAATCATATGGTTTTAATCATTCTTTTTGATATGATGTATTACATTGATTGATTTGCATGTGTTGAACCATCCTTGCATTCCAGGGATAAATCCCACTTGGTCATGATAAATGATTTTTTTTTTAATGGAGTCTCACTCTGTCACCAAGGCTGGAGTGCAGTGCCACAATCTCAGCTCACTGCAACCTCCACCTCCTGGGTTCAAGTGATTCTCCTGCCTCAGTCTCCTGAGTAGCTGGGATTACAGGCATGCACCACCACACTCGGCTAATTTTGTATTTTCAGTAGAGACGAGGTTTCACCATGTTGGTCAGGCTGGTCTTGAACTCCTGACCTCAGGTGATCTGCCCACCTCGGCCTCCCAAAGTGCTGGGATTAGAGGCTTAAGCCACTGCACCCGACCCTGATGAATGATCTTTTTAATGTATTGTTGAATTTAGTTTGCTAATATTTTGCTGAGGATTCTGGCATCAATATTCATCAGAGAAATTGGCCAGCAGTTTTCTTTTTTTGATGTGTCTTTGTCTGGTTTTGGTATCAGGGTGATACTGGTCTCCTAGAATGACTTTGGAAATATTCTCTCCTCCTCTATTTTTCAATAGCTTGAGTGGGATTGGTATTAGTTCTTCTTTAAATGTTTGGTAGAATTCAACAGTGAAGCCATCGGGTCCTTGGTTTTCTTTAGTGGGAGACTTTTTATTATGGCTTCAACCTTGTTACTTGTTATTAGTCTGTTCAGGTTTTGGATTTCTTCCTGGTCCAGTCTCAGTAGGTTGTATGTGTCTAGGAATTGTCAATTTCTTCTAGATTTTCCAATTTATTGGCATAGAGTTGCTCATAGTAGCCCCTAATGATCCTTTGAATTTCTGCAGTGTCAGTTGTAATGTCTTTTTCATTTCTGATTTGTATCTTGTCTCTTTTTTCTCAGTCTTGCTAAAGGCTTGTCAGTTTTGTTTAACTTTTGAAAAAAAGCAACTTTTTGTTTCATTGTTCTTTTGCATTGATTTTTATTTCAATTTTATTTATTTATGCTCTAATTTTTATTATTTGTTTTCTTCTAATTTTGTGTTTGTTTTGCTCTTGCTTTTCTGGTTAAGGTTCATTGTTAAATTGCTTATTTGAAGTTTTTCCTCTTTTTTCATGTAGGCACTTATAGCTATCAATTTGCCTCTTAGTACTGCTTTTGCCGTATCCCATAGGTTTTGGTATGTTGTGTTTCCTTTATCATTTGTTTCAAGAAATTGTTCAATTTCCTTCTTAATTTCTTCATTGACTCAATGGTCATTCAGGAGCATATTGTTTAATTTTCATGTATTTGTAGTTTCAAAAATTCCTCTTGTTATTAGTTTCTAGTTGTATTCCACTGTGGTCAGAGAAGATGCTTGATGGTATTCAACTTTTTTAATGTTTTAAGACTTGTGACCTAACATATGGTCTATCCTTGAGAATGATACATGTGCTAAAAAAGAATGTGTATTCTGCAGCCATTGGATAAAATGTTCTGCAAGTATGTATTAGATCCATTTGATCTACAGTGCAGATTAAGTCTGATGTTTCTTTTTTATTTTCTGTCTGGAAGATCTGTCCAGTGCTGAAAATGTGGTGTTGAAGTCTCCAGCTATTATTGTATTGGGGTCACTCTCTCTCTTTAGCTCTAATCGTATTTGCTTTATATATCTGGGTGCTGCAGTGTTGAGTGCATATATATTTATATTTGTTATATCCTCTTGCTGAATTGAACCCTGTATTAGTCTATTCTTGCACTGCTATAAAGAAATACCCGAGACTGGGTAATATATAGAGAAAAGAGGTTTAATTGGCTCACAGTTCTGCAGGCTGTACAGGAAGCATGGCTGGGGAGGCCTCAGAACACTTACAATCATGACAAAAGGTGAAGGGGAGGCAAGCCTGTCTTACATGGCTGGAGCAGGAGGAAAGTGGGAGGAGGTGGCACACACTTTTAAACAATCAGATCTCACAATAACTCACTCACTGTCATGAGAACAGCACCCAGGGGGATGGTGTTAAACCATGAGAAACCACCCCCATTATCCAATCCTCTTCCACCAGGCTCAACCTCCAAAATTTAGGATTACAATTGAACATGAGATTTTGGTGGGGATGCAGATCCAAATCATATTATTCCACCTCTGGTGTCTCCCAAATCTCATGTCCTTCTCATACTGCAAAATACAGTTATATCTTCCCAACAGTCCCTCAAAGTCTTAACTCATTCCAGCATTAATTCAAAAGTCCAAAGTCCAGAGTCTCAACCTGAGACAAGGCAAGTCTCTCCCACCTGTGAGCTTACAAAATAAAAAAACAGTTAGTTACTTCCAACATACAGTGGGGGTACAGGAATTGGGTAAACACTCCCATTCCAAAAGTGAGAAATTGGCCAAAAGAAAGGGGCTACTGGACCCATGCAAGTCTGAAACCCAGCAGGTAGTCATTAAATCTTAAAGCTCCAAAATACTCTCCTTTGACTCCATATCTCACATCCAGGGCACACTGGTGCAAGGGGTGGGCTCCCAAGGCCTTGGGCAGCTCAGCCCCTGGGACTTTGCAGGGTAAGCCACTGTCACTGCTTTCACGGGCTGGCATTGACTGCCTGTGGCTTTTCCAGTTGTACAGTGCAAGCTGTCATTGGCAGATCTATCATCCTGGAATCTGGAGGACAGTGGCTGTCTTCTCACAGCTCCACTAGGCAGTACACCAGAGGGGAAGCTGTGTGGGAACTCCAACCCCAAATTTCCCCTCCACACTACCCTAGTAGAGGTTCTCCATGAGGGCTCTGTCCCTGCAGCTGGCTTCTGCCTGGACATCCAGGCTTTCCCACACATACTCTGAAATCTAGTTGGAGGCTCCCAAGCCTCAATTCTTGCACTCTGTGCACCTACAGGCTTAATTTAACACCACACGGGAGCCACTAAGGCTTATAACTTGCATCCTATGGAGCAGCAGCCTGAGCTATACCTGGGGCCCTTTGAGCTGAAGCTGGAGCTGGAGCAGCTGGGATTTGGAGAGCAGTTTCCTGAGGTTGTGCAGGGCAGCAGGACCCTGAGCCTGGCCCAGGAAACCATCCTTCCCTCCTAGGCCTTTGGGCCTGTGATGGGAGAGGCTGCCCCCAAGGTATCTGAAATGCCTTCAAGGTGTTTTTCCCACTATCTTGGCTATCAACATTTTGCTCCTTGTTACTTGCAATTTTCTGCAGCTAGCTTGAATTCCTCTCCAGAAAATGGTTTTTTTCTTTTCTACAACATGGCCAGGCTGCAAATTCTCCAAACTTTTACACTCTGCTTCCTTTTTAAATATAAGTTCCAGTTTCTTGTCATGTCTTTGCTCACAAATATGAGCACAGACTACCAGAAGCAGCCAGGCCACGTCTTGAACGCTTTGCTGCTTAGAAATTTCTTCTGCCAGATACCCTAAATCTTCGCTCTCAAGTTCAAAGTTCCACAGATTCCTAGGGCAGGGGCACAATGTCTCCAACCACAATGTCCTAACAAAAGTGACCTTCACTCCAGGTCCCAATAAGTCCCTCATCTCCATCTGAGACCTCCTCAGCCTGGACTTCATTGTCCATATCACCATCAGTATTTTGGTCAAAACAATTTAACAAATCTCTAAGAAATTCCAAACTTCCCCTCATCTTCCTATCTTCGGAGCCCTCCACACTCTTCCAACCTCTGTCTATTTCCCAGTTCCACTGCTGTTTCCACATTTTCAGGTATCTTTCTAGCAATGCCTCACTCCTCTTTACCAATTTTCTGTATTATTCTGTTCTCACACTGCTATAAAGAAATACCCAAGACTTGTTAATTTATGAAGAAAAGAGGTTGAATTGGCTCATAGTTCCACAGGCTGTTCAGGAAGCATAGCGGCATCTGATTCTGGGAAGGCCTGAGGGAGCTTTTACTCATGGAATAATGCAAAGTGGGAGCAAGCATCTACATAGCAGGAGTAGACCAAGGCAAGCGGGTGGTGTGGAGAGGTGCTACACACTTTTAAGCAACCAGATTTCAGAAGAACTCACTATCATGAGAACAGCACTAAGAAGATGGTGCTGAATTAGTCATGAAAGATCCACCCCCATGATCTAATCACGTCCCACCAGGCCCCACCTCCAACATTGAGGATTACAATAGAACACGAAATTTGGGTGGGGCACAAATGGAAACCATATTAACCCCTTTATCATTGTATAGTGACTTTATTTGTCTCATAGTTTTTGTATCAAAATCAATACTCCTTCTCTTTTTCCTGGTTTCCATTGGCATGGAATAACTCTTTCCAACTCTTTACTTTCAGCCTATGTGTGTCTTTATAGTTTAAGTGTGTTTCTTGTAGGCAACAGATCAATGGGTCTTGTTTTCTCCATTCATTCAGCCAGTCTATGTCTTTTGATTGGAGAGTTTAGTCCATATTTCCATTCAATGTATTATCGATAAGTAAAGACTTACTCCTGCCTTGTTATTTATTTGTTTTCTGGTTGTTTTGTGGTCTTCTTCTTTCTTTTCTTCCTGTCTTCCTTTAGGGAAGGTAGTTTGCTCTGGTGATATGATTTAGGTTTTTGCTTTTTATTTTTTATGTATCCAGTGTATGTTTTTAGGTTTGAGGTTACCATAAGGATTACAAATACTATTTTGTAACCCATTATTTTAACCTGGTAACACTGTTTGCATTAACAAACAAAAAACTAATAAAAACTCTACATCTTAACTTCATCCCCCCACTTTTTAACTTTTTGTTGTTTCTAATTTTATCTTATTTTTCTGACTGGTCTTGAAAAGTTGTAGTTACTATTTTTGATTGGTTTATCATTTATTCTTTCTACTTACACACCACAGTTACAATGTTATCACACTTTGGGTTTTTCTGTGTACTTACTCTTAACAGTGAGTTTTTTACCTTTAGATGATTCTTTGTTGCTCATTAATGTCTGTTTCTTTCTGACCAAAGTACTCCCTTAAGCGTTTCTTATGGGACCAGTCTAGTGTTGATGAAATCCCTCAGCTTTTGTTTGTCTGGGGAAGTCTTTGTTTATTCTTCATGTTTGAAGGATATTTTTGCTGGATATACTATTCTAGGGTAAAAGGTTTTTTCCCTTCAGCACTTTAACATATGTCATGTCACTCTCTCCTGGCTTGTAAGGTTTCCACTGAAAAATATACTGCCAGATGTATTGGAGCTCCATTGTATGTTATCTGTTTCTTTTCTCTTGCTGCTTTTAGGATCCTTTCTTTACCCTTGTCCTGTGGGAGTTTGATTATTAAATGCCTTGAGGTAATCTTTGGGTTAAATTGGCCTGGTGTTCTATAACCTTCTTGTACTTGGATATAAATATCTTTCTGTAGGTTTAGGAAGTTCTATGTTATTATCCCTTTCAACAAACTTTCTATTCCTATCTCTTTCTCTATCTCTTCTTTAAGGCCAATAACTCCTAGATTTGCCCTTAAGAAGTTATTTTCTAGATCCTGTGGGCATGCATCATTGTTTTTTATTTTTTGTCTCCTCTGAATGTGTATTTTTCTTTCTTTCTTTTTTTTTTTTTTTTTTGAGATGGAGTCTTGCTCCTTCACCAGGCTAGAGTGCAATGGTGTGATCTCGGCTCACTGCAACCTCTGCCTCCTGGGTTCAAGCAATTCTCCTGCCTTGGCCTCCCAAGTAGCTGGGATTACAGGCATGAGCCACCACACCTGGCTAATTTTGTATTTTTAGTAGAGATGGGGTCTCTCCATGTTGGTCAGGCTGGTCTCAAACTGCCGACCTCAGGTGATCCGCCTACCTCAGCCTCCCAAAGTGCTGGGATTACAGTCGTGAGGTGAGCCACTGTGCCCAGCTTTGTTACTGTTAATAGTGCTGCAATGAACATACACTTGCATGTGTCTTTATGGTGGAATGATTTATATTCCTTTAGGTAAATATCCAGTAATGGGATTGGTGAGTCAAATGGTAGTTGTTTTTAGCTCTCTGAGGAATCACCACACTGCTGTCCACAGTGATTGAACTAATTTACACTCCTAACAAGTGTATAAGTTCCTTTTCTCCATAACCTCACCAACATCTATTATTTTTTTACTTTTTTGTAGCCATCCTGACTGGCAGATGATATCTCATCATGGTTTTGATTTTGCATTTCTCTAATGATCAGTGATAATTGAGGTTTTCTTTAACACGCTAGTTGGCTGTATGTATGTCTTTTTTGAAAAGTGTCTGTTCATGTCCTTTGCCCATTTTTTAATGGAGTGGGTTTTTTTTTTCCTGTAACTGTGTTTAAATTCCTTATAGATGCTAGATATTAGCCCCTTGTCAGATGCATAGTTTGCAAAAATTTTCTGTCATTTGGTAGATTGTCTGCCCTGTTGTTTATTTTGCTATGAAAAAGCTCTTAAATCCAATTTGTCCATTTTTGCTTTTGTTACAATTGCTTTTGGTGTCTTCATCATGAAATATTTGCCAGTTCCTATGTCCAGAATGGTATTGCCTAAGTTATCTTCAGGATTTTTATAATTTTGGGTTTTAACTCTTTAAACCATCTTAATTTTTGTACATAGTAAAAGGGGTCCAGTTACGATCTTCTGCATATGGCCAGCCAGTTATCCCAGCACCATTTATTGAATAGGGAGACCTTTCCCCATTGCTTGTTTTTGTCAACTTTGTTGAAGATCAGATGGCTGTAGGTTTGTGGCCTTATTTTTGGGCTCTCTATTCTGTCCCACTGGTCTGTGTGTCTGCTTTTGTACCAGTACCATGCTGTTTTGGTCATGGTAGCCCTGTAGTTTGAAGTTAGGTAATGTGATGCCTCCACCTTTGTTCTTTTTGTTTAGGATTGCCTTGACTACTCAGGCTTTTTGGTTCCATATGAATTTTAAGTTTTTTCTAGTTCTGTGAAAAATGTAATTGATAGTTTGATAGGAATAGCATTGAATCTATAAATTGCTTTGGGTAGTATGGCCACTTTAATGATATTGATTCTTCCTAGCCATGAGCATGGAAAGTTTTTCCATTTGTTTGTGTCATCTCTGATTTCTTTGAGCAGCGTTTGTGATTCTCATTGTAGAGATCCTTTACTTCCTTGGTTAGCTGCATTCCTGGGTATTTTATTCTTTTTTGTGGCAATTATGAATGGGATTGTGCTCCTGATTTGGCTCTTGGCTTGGCGACTGTGTATAGGAATGTTAGTGATTTTTGTACACTGATTTTGTCTCCTGAAACTTTGCTGAAATTATCAGATGAAGGACCTTTTGGGCTGAGGCTATGGGGTTTTCTAGATATAGAATCATACTGTCTGCAAACAAGGATAGTTTGACTTCCTCTCTTCCTATTTGGATGCCCTTTATTATTTCTGTTGCCTGACTGCTGTGATCAGGACTTTCAACACTATATTGAATAGGAGTGGTGAGAAAGGGCTTCCTTATCCTGTGCCACTTTTCAAGGGGAATGCCTGCAGCTTTTGCCCATTCAGTATGATGTTGGCTGTGGGTTTGTTATAGTTGGCTCTTATTATTCTGAGTTATGTTCCTTCAACACAAGATGGGAAGCTCCCCAAATCCACATCTCTTGCTTGTGGGGGAGCCATCCTCAGCACATCGGCCCTACCCAACCCACAGTAGATACCAACATCCCTATGATGGATGAGCTATGGTGGAGTCCCCCCAACCCCAGAGTGAGAATTGGCCCCCGATGGGGACTTAGGGAGGGCTGAGTTGGCGAGCTGTGGGAGGTCATCATCAGTGGGGCTCAAGCTCTCCCCTCCAAGCTCCAAGGATCTCTGCAGCCACAGGACGCATTCCTTCTCCACTTAGATCTTGTCTGTGAAGTATCCAATTGCCTTCCATTTCTACTTGGTGTAGAATGTAGGGGGCAATGAATGAAACTGCCGCATATTGCAGAGGGTCCATGTCCAAGCACAGGCAGTTGTAACGGTAGTAGCCACACCACCAGTACCTGTGGTTCCTGCTAGCCCCTCCACTGCCCAGGCCAGACAGTGTCAGTCTGGCAGATGTACCCCCAAGGACTCTCCCTCATGGTGTCTGCTCCTCTGCCCCACCCTTCTGATCTCACAGCTTCTCCTTAGGTGACATTCACACTTTAGACAAAGTTGTTTGGTCCCCTGATTATGATCTCCTTTACTTGCTGTCAGCTCTGCCTGGGAAGAGGTCTATGCTCAGTTCCAGGATACATGGAAAAGGCAGTGGATGGGCAGGTACAGTCTTGGGCTTTACCATGAACTGTGTTGTTTAGTCAAGTTGTTTAACCTCCACTCTGTTCATCTTGTATATATGGGTGGGGGGTGAAGACTATGAGCCCACAGGTCTGCTTCTGTGCTCACTGTAACAGATTCCTAAGTGCAAGTCCCTGAAACAGGATCACAGTACACAACATTAACATAAGAGGGTACATTATGCACGGTACAGCTTTCCTTGAGGTTCTAGAGAATGCAAACCTTAACATTAACAAGTACCAAACCTCTGCTGAAAAATCCTCTAATGAATTTCAAGGTTAAATATAAATAAACTGTGGGATTGTTCTGCCTAGAGTAGCCACACCCTCCTCGGGGGTCCCACAGTCCACAGGCTCAAACTCCTCATCCAACAGTTACATGCTCCACCAACTTTCAGACTGTCTCTCCCAGTAGGCAGTGAGCCCCTAGAAGGCAGGGACTATGTAACGGTGACCTGGCAACTTTGTTGAACAGCTGCTCCTATCAGGATCAGTTCGTAAAAAGCCAAGCACTGCTCAGCCTTTTATTATGCCTCTTACTGATTTATGCCTTCATTTGGCATTCAAGAACTTGCTCCAATAGTGCCAAACAGTTGGGAGATATTTACTACAAATTATTAAAACTGCAGTCTATCCTCTGAACCAACTGTGCTCAATCCCACCACACATCTTGCTGCTCCCTAACTTCTAGCTGCTTGGAAAGTCTCATTTTCTTCATCTACTCAAATCATACACATCCCTCGGGTTCCATGCAAAGTTCCATCTCATTCATGAAACTCCCTGACCACTGGGATATCTGGCCCATGAACTTGAGCAAACTATTTCTTCTGCATCTCATTTGGCATTTGAGGAGGGACTGTTCTCTGACGTCTCCTGGTATGCCTCACAGAGTCAGTAAAGTGTTTCCAGACCTATAGGTACCACCCCATATTGTTAGCTCTTTGAGGATACACACTAGGTTATACTTTTCTGGTTCTCCACCCTAAGCACCCAAAAGGCAGATGGTAGGTACATCTCAGCTCCAAAGAGACTGCTGAAGACTGAATGAATTAATGACACACAGAGAAACTGACCCTGGTGACCAGCCTGGGCCAGTTCACTCACGTGACTGTGGGGGCTGGCAAGTACATAATTTTCAGGTTAGACTGGCAGGCTGGAGACCCAGGGAAGAGCTGACACTGCAGCCTGAGGCCACAGGTAGCAGTGTTGCTGGGTTGCTGCATTCTTTACTGTGAGATTTAGAAAAACTGTCATTATCATTATCCTAATATTGTCAAAACTTGTAGGCAGCCTATTTGCTGTTTTTGGTTCTTATTGTTAGTGTGTTGTTATTCCTGTGGAAATCATAATTGTGCAGCGTTTTGATATCTATGAATTCAAAAACTTAAACAGAATATTAAGAACAAACTAATAATAAAGTGACAAACTTTGGATACCTTTTTAACATTGTTTCTAAATATTGTAAACATGAATCTTCTGGACCTCAGAGGGAACAAGGAAGCAATGATATTAATAATGAATCATAATCTGGAACACCTGATATTGTACACAAACTATAACAACTGGAAATGCCTTTGCAACTGCATAAGAGTTAGTTCAAAGAAACAATAATTTGCATTTCTAAAATTTAAAAAATCCCCAATAACTTTTGACAAAACTCACAGATGGCTTATTATTGCTAGCAATGTAAATATTGGATGCAAATCATGCTCAAAAGCTGTGTGAATAGCCAAAAGTGCTAAGCACATTCTGTCAGTGCTCATAATTCAAGGAAAACATTAGCAAAATTCAAAGAAAAAAACTTGAAAAATATTAAGAACAGCTTTGTACAATAAAGTATTTGAAAAAAGCAACAAACAGTGGAAAAATGCCATCAGATGTTAGTATACAGTTTACCCAAATGTGTAATTAAATAGAGCATTTTACATCATTAAGTAGAGGCTTTTAAACAATTATACATAGTGCATATCATTGCAGTATAGATTAATGGTTCTGCTGGTTGCAAACCATATTCTACATAAGACAACTTTTGGAAAATTTATTAATCCAAGCAATAAATCATTATCAGTGAAGTGTCAACCATTTCACAAAATGTATTTAAGTTTTAGTTCCTTAAATACTAAATGTAAGACTTACAGGAAAATGGGTTTTTGTTGATCTGAGGAACTTATACCAACCTTACTCATCAGTGCCCAAGAAAAATAGCTTTAATGTGAGACAGTTGTATGATGGTACAGATAGTGCCAGTATATGCAACGAAGAAAGTTCAGGTTTCACCAAAATTTTGCAAAATTTCGGGGTTTAAAAATCTGTTTATCGCAGAAGTCACATTGACTGTCTCACATTTACTCTTCCTCGTGTCCTGATCCTGCTGACTTGTCCACATGGGCAACTACGAAGCTGGCACAACTATACTTCTTTGTTCACTTTGGTCACCACCATTTGTTCTGCTGTTGGGCTGCCCATGTGTAGGCAGGTTTCACGAAAATATCAGGTTCCCTAAGCAACATGAACTGGGAGGCTCAGAGAGGGATTTCCCTAGTCACTGACTTACTGAGGGATTGACTCAAGATTCCCAGGCACTAGACAGAAGCAGTCGGGAAAGGAATCATTTCCTGATTGCCTGTGGGGGAAAAAGAAACTTTTTTGGATAGAACAGTCTGGATGGACTCTAACACAGTAAAAAGTGAAGGCAGTGCATTCTTCAGAAGGGCGGCAGATGGGGCACCACGCATCCCCACAGAGGGGCTGTCCTGCGGTCCTTGCAGGAGTTGCCAGGCTCCCAAAATCTCCTCCTGCTGCTATCCCCACCCTGCCTGAAAAGAGGTGAGGAGGATGATGGGGAGGGAGTCAAACAGACTTGGGATAGGAGGAGTGAGTGCGCTGGTAAAACCAATTACTTAGCTAAACCTTTGGCTAAAACTCTAGGAAGGGAGGCACAAAATGGGAAAGTGTGGGTTTTTTTTTTTTGCTTCTCTAGGTGAAGGTTTAAATTAACTTCAGCATGGGTAAAACTATTCTTTCCTTCTTTTTTCTCTCCCAGAGTTCTCACCACCTCCTCCCAGGCTAAATCCTTCATGTTGCAGGAGACAGAGAATCCCAGGTGAGACCCGGACTTTTTCTCCTCCCTCCCTTCCTTTTTTCACCGTGTTCAGGATAAATTATCTTGGTTTTGTTTCTGGAGGGAAAAGGGCAGAGAGGCCCTGACTTGAATCTCAATCACATTTCTGCACACAGTACCTGAGGAGACAGAATAGCAGAGGGGTGGGAACAATTAACATTGCTTTATGGGCTTTAGAATGGAGAAAAAATAATTCCCACTCTTTTTTCTTTTACCCAAATCCAACTTCAGTTTTCTCTCCAACTCTCTAAAACCACCACCAATACTATTATCACATCATGTGTAGCTACTTGGGGGGTGGTGAAAGGCTGAGTACGCATCATGTTCAGGTAGTAGGGTGTTAAACGAAATAGTTCCTCACAGCAATGCCCAAAGTCATCCTTGGTCACAATAAAGGAGAATAAAGGGAAAAAAGTATGATTATTGTATTAGATTGTGGGGTTGCAGGTGAGTTTTTTTTTTCCATTTTAAAAATTATTTTGTGGTTATAATGATGATGTCAATTTTTAAAAAAATAAAAGAATGGAAAAAGTTGACTTGGGATTTCATAATGCAAAGAAAAAAGCAAAACAAAAAAGAACAACAAAAAGCAAACAAAACAGATTTACATGTAATACCTAATTTAATCCCTTCATAACTCTGTGAAGTGGGTCAGTATTGACGGGTCAGCTTAACTAACAGATATTAGGAATGAGATCCAAAACAACCAGCCATGGTCGCACAGCTTGTGGAACCCAGGTTCTTTGACACTCAGCCCAGTGTTCCACCTGCAATGGCAACCTAAGTGAGGAGGGGGCCTCAGAGATGAGGTGGTCGACCCTTACAATGTTGATATTCTCCATGCTTTCTCAGAGCAAGTGGCTGAATCTCTTTCGTGACAGAGAACTCACCACCTACCAAGGCAGCCCATTTTATTAAGTCTAACTTTTAAAAAAGATACTTATGATGAGCACAATTCTGTCTCTCTCATACTCTATGGAAACGACCAATTTCTGACCTCTATGTCACAAAGAGTAAGTTTAGTTCTTCACATAATAGCCCTCCAAATATTTGAAATCTCTAGTCATAGCCAGATATATTGCATCAAAATAAATGGCTATTTTCTGCAGGAGGGTTGGTCCAAATGTCCTAGCCTACCATTACCTGAAGCAAGAAGTCCTCCCTATTTTTTGAAGAACTATATTTATTTGCTCAAATCATATTTATTAGGGGCCTGCTATCTGCCAGGCAGTGGGGATGCAGCGATACACAGGTCAAATAGGCATTTGGAGTGTGGAAGTGGGTGCCCACCCTAGTCGGGGAGCATCTCAGGATGTCCTCCTCAAGGAGATGACATGTCAACTGAGCCCAGAGGACAACAGGAGTTGACAGGGAAGAGTATTTCCTAGAGCGAGAAACTGGAGGCAGCTGTAGTGAGGTGCTGATGGGTTCTGGCCACCACCTGGACCACCTAGATTTGATGTTTCTCCACCCCCACTTAGTTGTGTGACCCTGGACAAGTTCCTCACCCACTACGTGCTTTAGAACCCTCACTGTGAAATGGGAGATGTGATAGGAATGTTGTGAGGATTGTTTGAGTGAATACATGCAAAGGACTTAGGACAAGCCTGGCACATAGTTAATGCTCAATCAATGTTTTCTCTCGCAACTGGAGGGAAACAAGGTAGTGGGCAGGAAGGGGGAGTGCGCAGACAGTTCCTGCTAAGCCTTGTAAGTTACCATGGCCCAGCACTGTAACCAGAGAAGTGAGGATGAGACTTCCACTTTGAGAAAGGCCTCTCTGGCCGCAGCATGTAAAGGAATGGGAGGGGATTAGAATGTGTGTGCACGGACTAGGTGGGAGCTAACTGCAGGGCCAGCATCTGTGGCACAGATTATCTCTCTTCATCCTGAACCCCTCCCTCTTCCCGTCTCGAATCCTTTTCCCACTCCTGACCACATCCTCCACCTGTCAGAAAGTCACAGTTAAGGAAGAGATTTCCGAGCACACCTTGGACAGAAGTCATGATGATGGGGCCCATGACTGGCAACCTGCTGGGAGAGGTGGCCTGCAGTGTGTCTGGAGTACATGGGGGACCCCGGGAGCATCTTCTGTGTCTGTGGCCCCTGGCAGGCCTGCATCACTTGGTGCTATGCCACTATCAGATCCACCACAGGAGCCATGTGCTATTCATTCCACAAGGAGCCCTTTCAACAGGGAGACATCAGGCCCAACTGGATTCTAGCCACCTTGGTCTCCAGTCTCCTACTCTCAAGCCCATGAGTGACAATTCAGCACAGGAAATTTGGTTCTGTGAGCAGCATCTATTGGCAGGATGACCAGCAATTCTTGTGTGTGGTTTGCAAAGATCTTAACGGAGAACAAATGTTACTTAGTGCTGCAGAAGGAGAACAATGCTAGGTTCCACAAGGTAGTCTGTCCTTTTGCTGTCTTGTCTACACCAGAGAACCTTTGGTTGACTTGCTTTAATATTGGCTTCAGTCCTATTACAAAACAACAACAAATTATTGTATTCTAAACACAGTTCTAAATGCAACAATAGTTTATCTTTTAATCCTGGATTATACAGTTTACAATTACTTGCAAATGCATAGTACCTCACTCCAAAAAACCTCAGGCATCCAGGCATCACAATTTCTCTATCTGCATGACACAGAAACTTCCATGTCACTAGAGGATTTCACAATCCATATATGAATCCCCTGAAGACTTCTTGGTGTGAAGGAAACATCACTGGACACAACACTGAAAATGGCAATAGTCCAGGCATGGTGGTTCATGCCTGTAATCCCAGCACTTTGGGAGGCTTACGCGGGTAGATCACCTGAGGTCAGGAGTTTGAGACTAGCCTGGCCAACACAGTGAAACCCCATTTCTACTAAAAATACAAAAATTAGCCAGGTGTGGTGGTGCATGCCTGTAGTCCCAGCTACCAGCGAGGCTGAGGCAGGAGAATCACTTGAATCCCGTAGGCTGAGGTTCTGGTGAGCTGAGATCACGCCACTGCACTCCAGCCTGGGCAACAGAACGAGACTCCGTCTCAAAAAAAAAAAAAAAGGCAACAAAAGCCCTGGATAGATAGGGTTTTTTTAGGTGAGCTATAACATCTGGGCAAATAAAAACACTATGTTATTCCTAGAAAAATTATAGAAATCTAACTTAACCTTGTCAACATGGGGATTCATTATCTTATTTAGCAAACTAAAGGAACAATAATGTAACTGCACCTCAGGTACAACTGGAACCAGGGATTTGAATGCAACTAAGACTTCCCATCTTTTATTTTCTCTTCTCTAGATTAGCTCAATTTTTTGCAACACATTTCCTGTATGAACTATAACTATAGCCATTTCTAGATTAATACCTCTTGTCAGCAAAGCAAGACAGAGGTATTCTCTGGTCATGAAGAAAATTCCAGAAAAGAGCTCTGAATCAAAGGCCAAAATCCTGGCATATCTGGTGCTGTGCAGAGCTGAGAGACTGGCTGAAGAGTGTGCCAGCAGTAAGCTATCCTAGGCATAGGGCCTGACTAGAAATCAAAGACCCTAATGTAGCAGTATTGCATCATCTATAGCCTAGATTATGCTGCAATGATATACAACTCCCGTATCTCACTGGTATAAACCAAAAAGATTTCTTTTACATGCTACCTGTTCATCAGGAGTTGCTGAGGGGGTCACTTGGAGATCCAGGCTCGCCAAGCAGCCACTGTCTTCAGCACCAGCTAATGCCCTGCTAGTGGGCAAAGAGGGAGCTCTGGAAGAACATAAACCAGCAGTTAAATTCCCAGTCCAGAAGAAATACATATCACCCCTACTAACACCTCATTACAGGGCACAGATGATGACAATAATGACCTCTCAGGCTTAAGGACCCTTCAACTCTGAGAGAGGGTATCTAGTGGTCACCTAGCTACTATCCTGTCTTTCCCTCAGGCAGAAGTGGGTGTGGTTTCCAACACCCCCAGCTGTGTCCCGGTCCGTGACAACAAAATCTTTGTAATCTAAAGTTTGAAGCATTTCAGAGGTCAGAAGGGTGTTTGCTGTTACGACTCTTGCTCTCACTTCTACCTGACAAGAGAGAAGAATTTGTATAGACTGTTAGACATGTTACTATTTTTTGAAAGCACTAGGTATTTGGGACAAGGTCAACATGTTTCCCTATCAGAAATCACTCATAGATATGTTCTTTGAGGTCAGGAATTCTATGAAATAAAAATAAAGAAAATTATTGAGCCTCTCTTGGATGCCAGCACCATGCTCAGTGCTTTCATTTTTTTCAGTATACTCACATTACTGATTATCCTTCATTTTACTTATGATCAAAGCAAGAGTTGAAGGAATGTCCTTGGTTCAAGGCTACACCCTAGGAGACACAGTCAGAATTTAAATCCAGCTTTCTTTCATTTGAAAGACTGTGCTCTGTGCTGGACCACACTGTACAGTTTTTAAAGTGATCTAACAACGACAGCATCCATCAGTGAACTCTGAGTCTACCAAACAGAAATTGCTCTTAATGGGTTCATCTAATGGCAGGGCCGGCTCAAGGCAAAATTTTTTGCCCCCATCCCTCTTTTTCATTCGACACGATTTTGCTGTATCATCCAGGCTGGACTGCAGTGGCGTGGTCACAGCTCACTGCAGCCTCAAACTCCTGGCTCAAATGATCCTCCCTCCTTATCTTCCTGAGTAGCTGGGACTATGGGCGCATGCCACCATACCTGCTAATGTTTAAAATTTTTGTAAAGATGGGGTCTCACTATGTTCCCTAAGATGGTCTCAAATTCCTGGCCTCAAGCAATCCTCCTGCCGCAAATCTCCTGAAGTGCTGGGATTATAGGTAGAAGCCACAATGCCCAGTCCCCTTCTCCCTGATTAAAAATATATTTTTTTATTTTTTTTCACTATTCAACTTCCATTTTAGGTTCAAGGGGTACATGTGTAGGTTCGTTATATGGGTAAATTACAATGTTGTGGGGGTTGTGTATACAGATAATTTTGTCGCCCAGGTAATCAGCATAATACCCAAAAGGTAGTTTTTAAGTCTTCACCCTCCTTTCACCCTCCACCCTCAAGTAGGTCCTGGTGTCTGTTGCTCCCTTGTGTCCATGTGTACTCGATGTTTAGCTCCCATTTAAAAGTGACAACATACAGTATTTGGTTTTCTGTTCCTGCATTAATTGTCTTAAGGAATGGCCTCCAGCTCCATCCATGCTGCTGCAAAGGACATTATGTCATTCTTCGTGGTTGTGTAGTATTCTATTCCACGGTGTATATGTACATTTTCTTTTTTTTTTTTTTTTTTTTTTTTTTTTTTTTTGAGACAGAGTCTCGCCTTGTCACCTAGGCTGGAGTGCAATGGCGCGATCTCGGCTCACTGCAACCTCTGCTTCCCAGGTTCAAACGATTCTCCTGCCTTGAGTAGCTGGGATTACAGGCACCTGCCACCATGTCCAGCTAATTTTTGTATTTTTAGTAGAGACAAGGTTTCACCATGTTGGCCAGGCTGGTCTCAAACTCCTGACCTCGCCGAACTCCACCCGAATCGGTCTCCCAAAGTGCTAGGATTACAGGCGTGAGCCACCGAACCTGGGCATCTAGGTTGATTCCGTATCTTTGCCATTGCGAATAGTGCCGCAGTGAACATACATGTGCGTGTGTCTTTAGGTAGAACTATTTATATTCCTTTGGGGATATACCCAGTAAAGGGATTGCTGGGTTAAACGGTAGTTTTAAGTTCTCTGAGAAATTTCCAGACTGCTTTCCACAATGGCTGAACTAATTTACATTCCCATTTGCAGTGTATAAGCATTCTCTTTTTTCTGCAACCTCATCAGCATCAGTTAGTTTTTGACTTTTTTAATAATAGCCTTTCTGACTGGTGTAAGATGGTATCTCATTGTGGTTTTGATTTGCATTCCCCTAATTAGGGATATTAAGCATTTTTTTTCTTATGTTTCTTTTGAAAAGTGTTCATGTCCTTTGCCCATTTTTTAATGGGGTTCTTTTTTGCTTACTAAGTTCCTTATAGATTCTGGTTATTAAACCTTTGTCAGATGCACAGTTTGCAGATGTTTTCTCCCATTCTGTAGGCTGTTTACTCTGTTGACAGTTCCATTTTCTGTGCAGGAGTTCTTTAGTTTAATTAAGGCTTATTTGGCAATTTTTGGTTTTGTTGCAGTTGCTTTTGGAGTCTTCATCATGAAGTCTTTGCCAGGGCTGATGCTCAAAATGGTATTTCCTAGGTTTTCTTCTAGTATTTTCATAGTTTTAGGTTTTACATTTAAGTCTTTAATCCACTTTGAGTTGATTTTTATATATGGCGAAAGATAGGGGTTCAGTGTCATTCTTCTGCCTATGGCTATCCAGTTATCCCAGCACCATTTATTGAATAGGGAGTTCTTTCCCCATTGCTTGTTATTGTCAATTTTGTCAAAGATCAGATGGTTTTAGGTATGTGGCTTTATTTCTGAGTTCTCTAATCTGCTCCATTAGTCTATGTGTCTGTTTTTGTACCAGTGCCATGCTGTCTTAGTTACTGTAACCTCATAATTTGAAGACAGGTAGTGTGATGCCTCCAGCTTTGTTCTTTTTGCTTAGGATTGCTTTGGCTATTTGGGCTCCTTCTTGGTTCCATATGAATTTTTGAATTTTTTTTCCTAACTCTGTGAAAAATGTCATTGGTAGTTTGACACTGAATCTGTAAATTGCTTTGACTAGTATGGCAGTTTTAACAACAATATTAATTCTTCCTATCCAGGAGCATGGAATGTTTTCCCATTGGTGTAATCTGATTTCTTTGGGCAGTGTCTTGTAAAATTCTCATTGCAGAGATTGTTTACCTCTTTGGCTAGCTGTATTCCTAGGTATTTTATTCTTCTTGAGGCTACTGTGAATGAAACTGCATTCTTCACTTGGTTCTCGGTTTAGATGTTATTGGTGTATAGAAATGCTACTGATTTTTGTAAACTTATTTTGTATCCTGAAACTCTGCTGAAGTTCTTTTTCAGATCTAGAAGCCCTCAGGAAGAGACCATGGAGTTTTCTAGGTATAGAATCATTATCTATGAAGAGAGATAATTTGACTTCCTCTCTTCCTATTTGGATGCCTTTTCTTTCTTTCTCTCACTTGACTGCTCCAAATAGAACTTCCAGTACTATGTTGAATAGGAGTAGTGAGAGTGGGCATCCTTGTCTTGTTCCAGTTCCTAAAGAGAATACTTCTAGCTTTTGCCAATTCAGTATTATGTTGGCTTTGGGTTTGTCAGAGATAGCTTTTATTATTTTGAGGACTATAACTTCAAACCTAGTTTGTTGAGGGTTTTTAACATGAATGAATGTTTAATTTTACCAAAAGCCTTTTCTGCATCTATTAAGGTATCATGTGGTTTTTGTTTTTAGTTCTCTTTATGTGATGAATCACATTTATTGATTTGGGTAAGTTGAGCCAACTCTGCACTCCAGGGATAAAGCCTACTTGATCACAATGGGTTAGCTTTTTGGTGTGTTGCTGGATTTCATTTGGTAGTATTTTGTGGAGGATTTTTGCATATATGTTCATCAGGGATATTGGCCTGAAGTTCTTTTTTTCTGTTGTGTCTCTGCCAGGTTCTGGTATCAGAATGATGCTGGTCTCACAGACTGAGTTAGGGAGGTGTCCCTCTTTCTCAATTTTTTGGAATAGTTTCGGTAGGAATGATACCAGTTCTTCTTTATATGTCTGGTAGAATTTGGCTGTGAATCCATCTGGTCCAGGACTTTTTCTGGTTAGTAGGCTTTTTATTACTGATTCAATTTTGGAACTTGTTATTGGTCTGTTTGGGGTTTCAATTTCTGGTTCAATCTTGGGAGGTTGTATGTTCCCAGGAATTTATCCATTCTTCTAGGTTTTCTAGTTTGTGTGCAGAGGTGTTCATAATAGTCTCCAAGCGGTTTTTGTATTTTTGTGTGGTCAGTGACAACGTCCCCTTTGTCATTCCTGATTGTGTTTATTTAGATTATCTCCCCCCTCCTTTTTTTATTAGTCTAGTTAGTGCCTATCAACCTTATTTATTCTTTCAAAGAACCAACTTTTGCTTTCTTTGATTTTTTGTACGGTTTTTCTCATCTCCATTTTGTTCAGTTCAGCTCTGATTTTGGGTATTCTCTTCTGCTAGCTTTGGGGTTGGTTTGCTCTTGTTTATTTAGTTCCTCTAGATGTGATGTTAGGTTGAGATCTATCTTTTTGATGTGGGCATTTAGCACTATAGTTTTCCCTTAACACTGCTTTAGCTGTGTCCCAGATTCTGGTATGTTTTTATCTTTGTTTTCATTAGTTGTAAACAATTTCTTGATTTCTGCCTTAATTTCTCTTTGTTTACCCAAGTCATTCAGGAGTAGATTAATTTCCACTTAATTATATGGTTTTGAGAGATCTTCTTGGTATTTATTTTTATGGCACTGTGGTCCAAGAGTGTGGTTGGTATTTCAGGGTTTTTTTGTTTTTTTGAGATGAGTCTCACTCTGTCAACCAGACTGGAGTGCAATGGCGTGATCTCAGCTCACTGCAACCTCCTCCTCCCAGGTTCAAGCAATTCTCGTGACTCAACCTCCGAAGTAGCTGGGATTACAGGCGCATGCCACCATGCACGGCTAATTTTTATATTTTTTAGAAGAGATGGGTTTTTGCCATGTTGGCCAGGCTGGTCTCAAACTCTTGACCTCAAGTGATTTGCCCACCTCAGCCTTCCAAAGTGTTGGGATTACAGGTGTGAGCCACTACACCTGGCCGGTATTTCAGGTTTCTTGAATTTGTTGAGAATTGCTTTCTGGCCAATAAAGCAATTGTGGTCGATTTTAAGAGTATGTACCATGTGCAGCTGAAAAGAATGTATATTCTGTTTTTGTTGGACAGAGAGTGCTGTTTTTTGTTTTCCATTTGCTTGATAGATCTTTCTCCATCCCTTACTTTGAGGCTATTGGTGTCCCTGCATATGAGATGGGTCTCTTGAAGACATACAGTTGGGTCTTGCTTCTCTGTCCAACTTGCCACTCTCTGCCTATTAATTGAGGCATTTAGCTCATTTACATTCAAGGTTAATATTGATATGTGCAGATTTGATCCTATCATCATGTTGTTATTTGGCTGTTATGTAGACTTCATTGTTTACTTGCTTTATAGTGTCAATGGTCTATGTACTCGAGTATATTTTTGTGATGGCCAGTATTGGTCTGTACATCTCAGGGTGGCTTAAAGCACTAGGAGAAAGCATGCAAAACAGCCCAAGGTGAAGCTCACTTGGCAGCTGAGAGTGAGTTCACACCATGTACTCTAAAATGAGGAGGTGCTCTTTTCTTCTCACTCTAATTAAAGAAGACTGAGAAGCCCTTCAGCACTTCACTGTGCCCCCTGCTGCCCTGCACCTCCCGGCTACTTTGTGGTAGATTCCTGGCACTTGAACTCTCTACAGGCCCAGGAGAGAACAGCTTTCTTGAGGTCCTAAGGATACCTGAGAATCATTCTCAGAGTTAATGGAATCTTCTATATTTTCTGTGGATTTTGATTATCTACTTTTTTTCTAACTTCTGTGAGATTAGAGAATTGAAAGCCTGTCATATCACTGGAACTCAGTTAAAATGTGGTGTCTTCTCCAATATTGTCCAACTAGAAGATGTGGGAATCCCAACTGATATAAGAACTAAGAAATATGACTACAAACTAAAGGGAAAATAAGAGAAGAACTTAAAGAATATTTGGGAGTTTTAGGGAGGTCATAACTGTAATGAGCTAATGTCATCCATATGTCCAAGGGAAAGTGAATCTGAATTTACAGGGCAACTTCCGTGGGCCAGGTTCCTTCACACATAATTTCAAGTCATGCTAAAATGAATGCATCCAAGGAAAATTTTATCATACATAACTTATGATAAGGAAACTTATGCTTAGGAAGATTAATTAGGAGGTTAAGGTCACCAAGCCTCTAGACTGTTTCGCCAGGACCCAACCCAGGTCTGGCTTCTGTTTGGTTTTGGAGTATGTGTTATCCCCACTCCATCATGCTGCCTCTCCAACCTGCAGCCCAGTGCCCAGGGCACAGGGGTCAGGCCAAGATCAGAAGGGACACTAACACCAACAGGCCTGGCGAGGTGGGAAGTACAGGGAAGGGGTGACTCCAGCTTACTCTTCTCTCCCTCCCAGAGGGACCATCAGGGCCATTGGCACTGTTGGGTGATAGAAGTTGTAAATACGGGGTAAGGTACATGGATGACACCATCTCCATATGTGTATGTGATAGAGTGGCAGGCCAGAAGTTAATAGCCACATCCAGGGAGCCAAGGATATAGTTCCCAGTAACGGCGCTTGCGTTCTGCTCTCAGGGCTGATGAAAGAGGATGGAAGTTGTACTCTGTTCCTCTACTTCAATAGAAAGTAAGCTAAAAGGAGAAATTGGGAGACAGAGGTTTACAAAAGGAAATTTATAATGGGGTCATATCAAGATAATTCAAGAGGGAAAATAAGACAAGGTGGCTCCTTCCCTGAATTGGTGACACAACACTAATCACTGTCCCCACAGAGTGGCTGGGCCTGACCCCAACTACAGGAGCTCAGCTGTCTCTACCCTCTGAGGGTAGACAGGAAGCAGTGGTCATGCTACTGCAGCCTAATGACTTGAGATTAGAATTGGCCATTGCCCCACTGCAGGGTGTGTGCCCAGCACACTTTGACAGCTTCCCTCTCTGTTCAGTCTTGAGAAAAAAATAACACTAAATAAGGAAGGTGAAGCTACAGAAAGTCCTGACTATCAAAAAATGTTAACATTCAGGGCGAGGAAAGACTTTAGAAATCATTCCAAATTTCATGAGGGTAAATCAATTGTAAGGGCCATTAAGGTTGGCAAGTGGCAGAATATGGATGCAAACCTAGGGCCCTTCACTCCTCCTCCAGTGCACTTTCCACCATGCCAGGAGGAAGGGCGAAGAGTAAAGGTGCCAGGGGAAGGGCTGAGGCTTGTCTCCTTCCACTTCTTTACCTCACAGAAAATGAAGGATACAAATGGAGCCGAAAATTTAGGCCTCTGGAAGCTACAGGTCTGTTTCAGATGGATCTATTCTTTTTCCTGGGTTCAGTGAAGTTATTTGGCCATAAAGCCCTAAGCCATGTATGATCATAACATTTTAAGAAATAGAAGCCAGGTATTAGAAGGTTCCGTTTTCTCTATAAATAGTTCAAAGTATCTCAATGAAGTTTAGGTATCCAAAAAAAAAAATACCCCAACTTTAGGAGCATTAAGTATTATGAGTAATAAAATAAATACTTATAGCAATGGGGGTTTCAGGACAATTTACCTCTTGAACATAAGTAGATATGCTCAAGAAAGCTATCCCAAGGACAGGGTTGCATGCACGAAGAGACGAGACCAAGTTAAGTTCCACAGTCAAAACAGACATCCCTATTTCCTTCCTAGTAGCATCTGTACAGCATAAATAGGTATTTGTGAATGAAGTCATGAAAAGATCCTCAAAGGTCTGTGTTAGAGCAACTGTGGTTAAAATACGAGAGTAGGAAAAGTGAGATTCTCCAGTTAAGTTACTAATAATTCAGACTTAAGACTTTTTAGAAAGATGATCATCTTTTATTTCTTTCAGGAGCCATGGCTATCAACCTGGAGAGAGGCCAAAAGACACCTAGGCTTTTTGTAAACCAAAGATTGAGGTATCCACATCAGTCAGCAGTGGCTTCTGCAGCAGCAGCCACAGAAAGTGAGTAATGGAAACAAAAGGATAGAGATATACAGGAAGTCCTCTTTCCTCACCTGGAGAAGAAAGAAGACAGCAAAAAAAATTAGGTCAACCCCACAATCAAGGTAGAGCTGCTCTAAAATCTGAGGTAGCCAATGACCAACACAAACCACCTCACCTTTCTGAGACTCGGCTCTCCTGTAAAGGAGAAACCACACTGACCCTGGATCAAAATCCCCAGACAGTAGACGTGACCTTGGATTTCAAGAAGGAGCAAATTACCTCTGCTAATGCAGATAAAGACGCCACCATTTTTGGTTTTCAGGATTTCACAGGGAAAATAGTCCCATTATTTGGCCTCTATTAGCCAGAGGCCCAGATGACCCTGTGTCCCTGAGATAGGACATGGCTTTCCCATGGCCTCTTATGAGAACCTGCCCACCAATAAGTGTTTTTGTTGTTGTTGTTGTTGTTTGTTTTTTAGACAGTTTCACTCTTGTTGCCCAGGCTGGAGTGCAATGATGCGATCTCAGCTTACTGCAACCTCCACCTCCTGGGTTCAAGTGTTTCTCCTGTCTTAGCCTCCTGAGTAGCTGGAATTATAGGCAACCCCACCACGCCCAGCTAATTTTGTATTTTTAGTAGAGATGGGGTTTCACCATGTTGGCCAGGCTGGTCTTGAACTCCTGACCTCAGGTGATCTGCCCACCTTTGCCTCCCAAAGTGCTGGGATTTCAGGCGTGAGCCACTGTGCCCGGCCACAATAAGTTTTTAATTACCAGAGTCAGTGGTTCCTGTCATTGATTGAGCTTACTGACTGGACAATGAGAGGGTCATATGTGGCTGTCTCCAGCCATTACATTAAGGTGACACTTGAGCATGACACGAGGTCTGCATTCTCTACAATCAACTGGATCTGTCCCACTGCTTCCCACCAGGAGCAGAAGCATGCTTGTGCCAGTTCCTAAACATCATCATTTCATTTTCAGCCCACAGCCCTCCCCTGCTCAGATTTCCCACCATCTAAGGCAGCAATCCTCAAATGCTAGTGTGCACAAGGATCTAAGGCACTTGCCGAAAATGTAGATTCCTGCACCAACCCCAGAGAACCAGAAGCAATCCCTCTAGGGTAGAGCTTGAGAATTTGCTTTGAAAAAAGATCTTACATGTTTTTGGATAACACTTAAAGATGGTCCTAGAACAGTGCTTCTGGAAATTTTAATACGTAAGCAAATTAAGAGCAGCTTGTTAAAATGCAGACGTTTAAAAACTTGGTGCAGGCCTGAAATTCTGCACTCATATGTTCTCCCAGAGAAGCTAAAGCTGCTGGTCCTTTTGGCCACACTTTGAGTCACCAGAACCCAAAGGATTTCCGGCCTGTATCTGGGCCCAAGAGAGCAAAAGTGTCACAAACACACACAGTTTTAACCTTCCCTGATTCTCTGTGGAGTAGAATCTTCTCCCTTACTTCCAGTCAGACAGGTCCCCATGGATAAGGGGGTACTGCTCTGCCTTGTGTGCCCTCAGTTTCCCTTTATGGAACTCTGTTCTGATCTCAAGCTTCCACTAGACCTGCTATTAGAAGTGCTGAACACTGATTTTCTGTGAGTATAAAGTAGTTAAAAGAAAAAAGAAATATATGTAAGGCTGTAGAGTTTCCATCTGTAGATATCAAGAAATGAGTATGAACTGTTAGGCATTCCCCAAGATTGTTGTTCAAAGATCCTCCCAAGTTTGAGACCTCAAATTCTTTCAGGTGATATTCATATCATTTACTCTTTTTTTTTTTAAACTTAGAAAGTGAGTTGCAGCAAATTTTCTCCTGAAAGAATTGCAAAGATGAACCGTGGCCTCTTTCTATATTCATAATTTTTGTCTTAGGGTTAAAAAGACTCCCCCAAGGACAGAAAATTGTACCTAATGATACAGCCTAGAGCGCATGTTGTTCCTTTTGTCTACAGTACCTTCTACCTCTGGCTCAAATGCACTCTGGTCACTGATGCACCTCCAGTTCTCACAGCTTAGTAAATTATGGTGTAGTGATCACGTCTATGTCCCTACTTCCCCAACCAAATTTTCTGAGCTATGCCAGGGTGAGGATGTGGCCCTTTTCATCTTGTAATTCCCAAAAGTCTGTGGTGGAGTGCAGAGATGACCACTAAATGAAAGAATCACTCGTACTGGTTGAAACAATACCAATAAATACCTTAGGTTCTGTGGTGAACACAGATCAGTAAATAAATGTTGGGCAATCTTCCAGTCTCTCAGTGTCCCACGGTATATCTGTTCCCCCATAGGGAGCACAGCTAGAGCTCCTTTACCTACGCTGCGGGGACACTGATTTGCATGGGGAGGCCTGGTGCAAGGCCTCTGCTGGGTATGAGCAGCAGTACAAGCCTTTGAAGGCTGTGTGCTGTTCAGAACTTGGAGCTGGTTGGGGGCCTCCGATGCCCTGTGCTGACAAGCTGGCCTGGGGCTTCTCCCCACTAGAGTCTTCTCTATATCTCAAGGTATGCACATCTCTTCCTGGGCACACAGGCAATGGGCTAGACAAGCATCTCTCTCCTCTAAGGCTTGTCACCAAGCATTCCTTCCTTCCAGGGGGTGGGGTTTGGAAATTCCCACTTAATATAGCCCACCTTCTGTCATTTGACATTTTCTAACACTGGAGTGGTGGTTCCCAATCTCTTCACCATCAAGGAGGCTTAATTTCTTCCCTCTCTATTTTAATACGGTTTTAACTACCAAACAGGATCCTCTAAGTGATCATTTGTTTTCTTATACTGTTCATCAGAGAGATGTTTAAGATCAACATGAAGATGACAAAGTTACATCATTTGCTATTCAATATTGGAAAATACATCTCACCCCATATTGAGATCCTAGTCTGGGCTAGCTGAGTTACGGGGGCTGCTAAAACTCTAGTAATAGCAACAGCTGTCTGCCTTCCATTCTCCTGCTATGGCACACACTTCTTTCCTTCAGAATCACACCCCCGAGATATATGATTCATAACCTTATGGCTAGAAAAAAGAGGACATGATCATTCTACAGGTCCCTTGCTCCCTTGAATTACCTCTCCTGGGCCCATTAAGAACAGGCACATGAAGAAAGAAACCCAGGGTTGTGCCACAATCGCACAAAAATCTGTCCACAGATAACACCTCAAGGAGGTAGGGCCTGCCCACCTGAATCACTGTTGTCTACATAATGCAACTTAACCATCCTGTTCTGCGTTTAGCTATTCAAGACTTTTGTAACCAGTCCCTGGGGTATGGGTTGTTTTCCCAATTGTACCCTGACTGAATCACTGGGTATCATGTCAGAGGAGGGGGACCTATTTAACCTCTTTTCCCTGGTGTCCTGGAGCCCAGGGGCTCCTACGTGGCAATGGGTGCCAGATACCCTTCCTCAGCTAGGATATAGGGGTCCAGATTTCCATAATATCTATAGATTGATTTACTTAAAACTTATTTGTTGTCAAAATACAAATACCCTGGGCTTAGGAAGAAATTAATACTTATCAAGACTATGTCAAATAAAAACAACTACCACTAACTGAAACCACTTAGTTATCAGATATATTATACATATCACTCCATGTAATCCTCCCAACAAAATGATGTCATCTAAGAGATGAGAAACTGGGACCCAGACCAGTGAAGCCCCATGGCATAAGTCACACAGGCAAGAAATGGTAAAGCAAAAATTCACACCTACGTCTTCCTGGGCTTTGCCATAACGCACACTGGCTTCTTCACTGTGGCTATTGCCTGACAGAATGAGACTCAAGTAATTACAAGGATTCATCAGAAGGGAAAAGCTGACATGACCAGAACTAGAACACAGCCCAGGGAATGCAAGTCTGGGTAGATCATGGTACTCGAAGCCCAAGGATCATTTGAAAGAGGTTTAAAAAAATAAAAAAAGGAGTAAAATGCACAAGTGAAATGGAGGTGAAACTTAACTATAGCTTAATTTTTACTTCAAAGACTGCTCAGCTCATTTTGGGAATGTGAGGGGAATTAAGAAGATTCTGGATAGGTTTGTAGGAGAGGCAAGGTGTGTAGGGTATATGTGGGGACAAAGGGAGCAATTGTATCCTAGACTGTATCCAATAATTTTCTGGGACAAAAGAGAGCAAATGTAGACGTGGGGAAGTAGTAGCTTGAGTGGTATCAGGTGCCAGAAAGAAGACCAAGGGAAAAACCTCTGATGACCATGGGGATAGTGTAAATTGAGTAGCAAGAGGAAGGAGGACTGCAGAAGTTCAAGAATGATGAGAACTGAGGAAACGAAGATAAACACAGAGATAAACACAGACAACTTCACTGCAGCGAAAGAGAAGATGGTGTTACACAGGTAAGCAGGATCAAGAAATGGCTTTTTTGTTGTTGCTGTTGTTTGTTTTTTTTTTTTTTTTTTGATTCGGAGTCTCGCTCTGTAGCCAGGCTGGAGTGCAGTGGCGTGATCTCGGTTCACTGCAACCCCCGACTCCCTGGTTCAAGTCTCCTGCCTCAGCCTCCCGAGTAGCTGGGATTACATGCACGCGCCACCATGCCTGGCTAATTTTTGTATTTTTAGTAGAGATGGGGTTTTGCCACCTTGGCTAGGATGGTCTCGATCTCCTGACCTCGTGATCTGCCCGCCTCAGCCTCCCAAAGTGCTGGGATTACAGGCATGAGCTACCGCACCTGGCCTGGCTTTTTTTTTTTTTTTTTTAATGGAGTGTAGCTCTATTGCTCAGGCTGGAGTACAGCGATGCGATCTCGGCTCACTGCAATCTCTGCCTCCCAGGTTCAAGCAATTCTCCTGCCTCAGCCTCCTGAGTAGCTGGGACTACAGGCATACACCACCGCACCAGCTAATTTTTGTATATTTAGTAGAGATGGGGGTTTCGCCATGTTGGCCAGGATGGTATCGAACTCCTGACCTCAGGTGATCCACCCGCCTTGGCTTCCCAAAGTGCTGGGATTACAGACATAAGCCATCGTGCCAGGCCAAGAAATGGCTTTTAAAAATGCTGATTTGAAAGCAAAAGAGAAGGAAGTAGAGGAGAGATTTATGATTTTAAGAAAAAGGAGGAATATGAAGGATCAACTTTGCTCTTTTCACCAGCCAAAGGGCATATTCTAGAAAGATGGTTTTAAACCTTCTCTTCCTGCATTTGTAAGTGTGCAAAGATGCCATGCCTTTATTTCTCTAGAACTGGTTTTTCTTCCTCACAAGTCTCTCATCCATAACCTTAGTCCAGCCCAATGGACAAAACCATGAGGAACCTCAAACACCCTTCCAAAAAGATTTAGATTTTACTCAAGAGGTGAAGGAGAATCATTAAAGATGACTGAGTAGGGGAATACTATAGTCAGAGTTTTTTGTTAGAAATATCACTGAGGCCATACAGGGGAAAGACTGGGAGTGTGGCAAGAGAGTGAGACCAAATGCTCAGATAAAGGTAGGGAGGCAATTGTTATAGTCCAGAACTGAAATAGGACAGTGGAAGTGGAAATGGAGGGAGGGGACAACAAAGACATGTTTAGAGATATCAGAAATTGACCATTAAAATAGGCATACAGGAAGGGAAAATGTATCTCATTAATTAAGAAAGCAATGGCATACTGGATACCAACAGCAAATAGCAAAGAAATGGTTGTGTGGGTGTGTGTGTTTTTTTTTAAGGGAAAAAAATGAGGATAAAGGGAAGAGAAAGTGATGTTACTAACCCTCCATGTAATGATAATCTCCAAATAGCTCTTCCCAGCAGTTCCATACTTAAGGGTCAGGATCTCCATTCAGGGATCTTTCTGTGGTGCTCTAAAGGGGCAGACTGAGGACTTTAAGGGCTATCACTTTCAGGTGGCTTTCTAAGCAGCAGAATTCGTGGGATGAGGAGGACATGCTTGTTCTTTACAGATTCACTGAAGTGAATCTGGGGGCTGATCGATGATAACACTGTGTTGATCCCAGAGATGACAAAGGGGCTGAGTGTGAGATAATGGAGTTCCTGAAACCCCTACGATGAATATGTCCACCCTTCCTTTTCATCAGCTGCTAGTCCCTATCTCATCCTTCTCCTGTCCCAACCCCATTATTCCTAAATCTGAGCTCAGGCTTGCCAGCACCTCTAGGAGTAAATCACAAGACTGAGACCAGAGCAACAAGAAAAGCAGAGACAAATGACTCAACAAGACAGCCACAGGAGGCAGGGCAAGGTGGCTCACGCTTGTAATCCCAGCACTTTGGAAGGCCGAGGCAGGCAGATCACGAGGTCGAGATTGAGACCATCCTGGCCAACGTGGTGAAACCCTGTCTCTACTAAAAATACAAAAATTAGCTGGGCATGGTGGCATGTGCCTGTAGTCCCAGCTACTGGGAGGCTGAGGCAGAAGAATCACTTGAACCTATGATGCGGAGGTTGCAGTGAGCCGAGATCATGCCACTGCACTCCAGCCTGGCGATAGAGCAAGACAATGTCAAAAAAAAAAAAAAAAAAAAAAAAAGACAGCCAAAGGAAAGGGACTAGAAGAGAGAGGAATGCAAAAGAATAGAAAATCTGGGCCAGGTGTAGTGGCTCATGCCTGTAATCCTAGCACTTTGGAAGGCCGAGGCAGGCAGATTGCCTGAACTCAGGAGTTCGAGACCAGCCCAGGCAACATGGCAAAACCCCATACAAATACAAATACAAAACGTTAGCTGGGCATGTTGGTGCATGCCTATAGTCCTAGCTACTTGGGAGGCTGAGGCATTAGAATTACTTGAACGCGGGAGGCGGCAGAGATTGCAGTGAGCTGAGAATTCACCACTGCACCACTGCATTCGAGTCTGGGCAACAGAACAAGGCTCTGTCTCAAAAAAAAAAAAAAAAAAAAAAAAAAAAGAACAGAAAATCAAACTCTAACACCATCACCTGGGTAGTTCCCTCCATTCTCCTATGACTTCCAATAAGTCATTAGCAGATCACCTATCATCTCTTTAATTTCTTCAAAAACAAATAAAATCTCAAACTTGCATTTGGGAAACTGAGAAACTTTCAGGAAACACAGAAACACATCTTCAGGACCTTGGACAGCAGAAAAAGGACCACCCCGCACACACCCCCACCCCACCCCGGCCTCCCCACAACACATGACACCCACGCCAGCAAGACTGCTGAGGAAATGTGACACCTCAACATGCTGATGAGGGAAAGGATAAATAAAGGGCTATATAGTCATCAATGGAGAGTGTTCAGGGAAGGTATGAAGACTCAGGCTACAATAGTCAAGAGGAGCCCTGGGCCCTACAGAATGCCTAGTCCAACTTCCTAATACTCTGAGCCAGAGAAGGACATTCTCTACACCTACATTACAACTTCCCTCTTCAGACATTGATTTTTAAAAGAATATATAGAATAGAATATTGATATTGAGACTTTTTCCAATTCCTTGGGGAAAAATGCATAAAAATATAACTTGCAGTTCACGGATCTAGAAATAGCCTTACAAATGATAAAGAAAATTTCACAAAGGTAAAATATCTCATCAAGGTAGAGTAACACAAGAGCTGTTGACCCAGTATTAGTCCTTGGACATCCTGACTTCTGTGCAGTGTTTTTCTCTTTGTAGTTGGTAAGTGGCTAAAGATCTGGATTCTTCTTCTAGCTCTGCCATACACCAGATGTGTGACCTTTGGCAAATTACTCAATCATGCTGAGCCTTGGGTTCCTTCTTTGAACTGAGCCCCCACCCCCACCCCACACGTCAGGCACTATTAGGGAATGAAAAACAAAACCAATCTCCATGCTAAAGTAGCTCTCCAGTGTAGCACAGTTCAGATATGAAAATATCAATAATCCAACAATACTAGTTAAACATATAAAAGTAGTACAGAGAAAAACATTAATAACCTGACATTTAGAGCAAGATTAGGAGGGCTTCACAATATAAGCAAAGGGAAATCCAGGAAGAAGAAACAGTAAAAGCATCAAGCGGTGCAACAAGACATTAGATTTAGGAAACCATCAATAATTTAGTTTTGATGGATGGCAATGGTGGTGGGGAGAGACATGGGGTAATGAAACCTATCATATACTGATGTTGTGGAAGTCCAATGAGTCACTATAGATAATCATTAGCTACTATTATGCCAACAGCTATCCCTATGAGAAAAAAATTCCTTAATTTAACATTTATAGAAAACCTCTGTTTGCTCCCTATACTAGGGGCAGCTCCTTTTGGTCCCTTCCTAAAGAAATAGAGCCAGTTTGAGAAACAGGAAAATCAAGTTCCATACTTTCCTAGCCTATGAAATACCAGTCAAGAGGTAAAAGTGCTTCCTCTGTCAATATCCTGATTCTTCCACTGAAATGTCACTTAGCAGAGCACATCTTTTACTTGTGCGATTTGAAAACAAGGCTTTGCCTAAAGACCAGGGTATGCAAGGGATCACCTCTGGGACGATCTCATGGCACTGAGCACTCAAGCAAGGTGGTAACATAAGAGTCAGACTTGATAAAAGTCCATTTCCCAGGACCACTTGACAATAAGGGCACAGAAAAGTGCTCTGAGGAATAATCTTCATGCTATTACCATTTTCAACCTCTTGTACTTAATACTAATTTTCTTAGCTTCCTATAATTAGATATGTACATATGAGCTAGTAGCAGCCACAGTCCTACAATCTGACTAGTTCATGCCCAACTGCATGCCTGCATCAGGGACATCTGGCTATTGTAGTGTCATGGAAACTCTCCTCTCTGGTGAAGAGTATCTAGAGACACCCATGAGTTTTATTATCTATACCCTGTACTGGTTTGAACAGTGTCCCCCAAACTCATGTCCACCCAGAACCTCAGAATGTAATCTTATTTGGAAATAGGGTCTTTGAAAATATAATCAAGTTAAGATGAGGTCATACTGAATTAAGGGTGGACCCTTAATTCAATGACTAGTTTCCTTGTAAGAGGGACACTTGGATGCAAAGAGACCCACCCATAGAGAATGTGATGTGATGATGGAGGGAGAGATTGTAGTGACAAGCCTACAAGCCAAAGAATGCCAAAGATTGCCGGCAAATGCCAAAAGCTAGGAGAGAGGCATGAAATAGATGCTCCCTTAGACCCTCCAGGAGGAACCAACCTGGCTGACACTTGGATTTCAGACTTCTGGCCTCCAGAATTTTGACCAAATAAATTTCTGTTGTTTTAAACCACCCAGTTTTTGGTAGCTTGTTAAAGCAGCCCTAGGAAATAAATGCATACCACCACCACTCCATCTATTTTCCTTCTATGTGCCCAACATTTATCTTCTCAGAGGATGATTATAAACCCTAGTTATTGTATCAACACACGGGAAGGGACACTGAGCAGAACAGCAGGAGAATGAACAATTAGTATCAGATTAGCAACTTCACAGGTAAGGTAAAGGGCATGGGAATTTACTTCTCAAGGCTCTATAATATGAGACTCTTTAAAAACCCTGTGGTGTTTTTATATACATCTACAAGTTCTGTGATATGCTTCCTTTGAAAAAGGCAGAGCCTAATTCCCCTCCCTTTGAGTGTGGTCAGTGCTCGATGACTTGCTTTTAACAAACAGAAGTGACAGATGTGACTTCTGAAATTAGGCCATTAAAAACAATGTAGCTTTCTCCCTGCTCTCGCTCTCAAATCACTTGCTCTGGGGGATGCTAGCAGCCATGCCATGAAGACACTCTAAAAGGAGACTTATGTGACAGGAAACACACCTTCTGCCTCAGGCACACCCAGCACACCCTGCCAGGCACATGAGTGAGCTACCTTGGAAGAGGATCCTCCAGCCCTGCTCACACTTTCAGAACTGCAGCCCCAGCTGATATCGACTGGAACCACATTAGACTCTGAGCCAGAGCCACTCAGCTATGCCATTTCCAGATTCCTAACCACGCAAACTGTGAGACAATACAAGTTTATTGTTTTCAACCATTAATCTTTGGAGAAAAACAGGGCAATAGATAATTAACATAAGAACCTTTAACATAGTCTTCAAGTCCTAGTAAGTACTCTTCCTGCCTACAAGACACCCGCTATGTGATTTCTTCCTGCCTCTAACATACCTCTGAAACAAGTGCAATTCCAAATCCCTTAACCCAAGCTAGAGCATAGAATTCACAGGACCGCTGCCTTTGTCCTCCTCCAGCTCAGAGACTGATGTCTATATCATGAATGCGCTAAGAAAGGGAGAATCACGAGTGGAATCCAGTATCAGTAGCTGGGAGCAAAAGACACTTGCGGTAAGGGTCCTCGGGTTTTTCACTGCAAGACTTTTACCTGTCAAAAAAATTAAAATGGAAAAGAAAATTTAATCATTTGAAACAAACATTCATTGAGTACCTTCAATGGTAAGCATAGTACCAGACAGCAGGCATAAAAATGGTCCCTGCTTAGAAATTCACAGGAATGACAAATAGGTTTTGTAACAGAAGCTACTGCTGTACCATTTATATTCCCTTAGACCAAGATCTGGCTACAGAATTTGTGAATCCCTGTGCAAAACAAAAACGTGGGGTCCCTTGTTCAAGAATTTCAAGAGGACAGCAGCAGACCAGTAAACCAACTCCATAGGTATATGTCCATGAAGCTAGCCCTGCCTCAGGCATTCACCTCTGTGTGAAGGCTACTAACTGCTCTTTCAGTAAGCTTTTTTCTGGCTGATTTGGATGCTTAATTTGCACCAAGGGAAAGCTTAATATCCCTGAAAGCAGCACTCAACCAACGGCAAAATGGCAGTTGGTAGATAAATGCTCCAGCTTCTTCCCCCCTTGGGTGGTATAACTGAGAACTATTCTAGTGTTGAGTTTTCCAGTGGGATTGAGATGCAAGTGTCCACAGTGTAATTGGGAGATTCCTTAAGATTACCTCTAAAATAAACTACTTATACTCACATTCTTATCTCACAGTCTGCTTCTTGGTAAACCCAAACCATGACATCTTTCATCTTTCAAGCCAACTCTAACTTGGAATACAGTAAAATGAAAAAAATCTAAAGCTGCATCTCATTCAACAGGAATGAATGTAATATAGTAACGCTGGCCCTCACCATGGCAAGGAAAGTGGTGGCTCTTTAAATCTGAATGGTGAAAGACCTTGTGTTTGGACTTTGAGACAAAAAGCTGTTAATGAAGGCTGTTAAGCAGCAGTTACAGGGTCTTATTTTAGAGCTACTTCTTTCCGTAATGTACAAGTGGATCAAAGTGTGGCAAGGCTGAAGGTAGGAAAACCAATTAGGAAATGAGAAACTCGCAACTGGTAAATAGGACAGGATATCTACCTGGATGACTACCCACATCATTGACCAAAATGGAGAAAGCACACTAAGTTGTCAAGAATAAATCAATCTGTGTCACATAAGTGGCCACAAGTACTGGGATCACCTACCCATTGAGCCCCTGAATTTAACTAGCAAGGAGTGGGAAATGAAGAAGGCCAAGGGGCCGATGATGAGCACTGGGAACTGATGGCTCTTTTTGATACTAAGACCAAATTAGGAACACGAAGCACTAACAATGCTGCCGCATCCACCACTGATTTTCACCACGGAGTGCTTAGCAAAATCAAAACAAGAACTTGTATCCTAAAGATGATATCACATGGGCCTACTGAACACTAATCTTACGACTTTTTAGGAATTTAGAGATGATCACTCCATGAGACACTGAAATGGTGTCTAGCTTGGCAAGGTAGAAGTCTGTTTCTCTGACATGTGATGGCCTTGTTGTAGGTAGTCTTGGACTAAAATGCTGTCAGCAACATAGACTTCCTCAGTGTTCCTGCTCTGGAACTCCCAAGGCAGTGGTTCCCAAAGTCTGCTGCACACTGGAATCACTTGATTTTTTTAAACAATGATGTCTGGCTTCCACCCTGAGACATTCTCATTTGATTGGTACACATGGTGTGACCTGGGAACCGGGATTTTTAAAAGTTCCCCAGCTAATTCTAATGTGCAGCAAAGTTTGGAGGTGACTACCCTAAGGAACTGGGCCCACCACAGGGTCTGACAGGGCTTACCGCCATACCTGTACTGCACTCCAAACAGTGGGACAAAGCAAGGGGCATGAACCAGAAGCTGCACACACCATCTCTGCTCACCCTTACTGGCCAGTCACATGGCCATACCTGGTTGCATAAGATGCTGAAAAATGTAACTTGTATTCAGCCAGCCATGTGCCCAGCTAAAATTTTTTATTCAGGAAGAAGAGGAAGACAGGTACTGGAAGATAACCAGCAATCTCTCCCACCCCCACGCTTGTCTTTTTCAAACAGAAGCAGCCCAATCTGGCAAAAGTACCGATCCTTAGATCTGGAGACAAAACTCAACAACGGGCTTCTCTGACTTTTGTCAGACATCTTGCACATCACATGTAGATAGAGCCAGAGACTGTAACGCATCATTGTCAGCGGGAAGAAGATACAAGCTTGGAGATATGCATCAGAATGACTACCCATGCAAATTCTTGAATTTTCACCTGAGGGAGGTGTTGGAGGAATAAATTGTTCTACGGGACAAAATCAGGTGCAATATCAAAATTCCATGTACCCACTCTAGTTGACTGAATACAGTGAAGCATTTCCAGTACAACAATATAGGAAAACTTCAAATAAAGGGGTATTCTCTAAATTCCACTAAATACATCATCTTTGGCCTGAAACTATCTTGTTAAGCTACTTGTTGAGACTCTTCACTCTAGATATGCTTGGTGCTGCCTTTGCATTCAAGTCCTGTTTTCCAGACGAAATACAGACATAATCCAATTGTAATTTCATCACCATGCATCTTGGATGCTGCAGTTAGCCTAAATGAAATAAAATATACTAATCATGAGTGACAGTGATTTTTTTAATCGTAAAACGTATTATCAAGCTATTTATAAGTAAATTTCACATTACAAATAAGGCATTAACTAAACCACTGCTTTACAGAAAATCACTTAATGACACTCTAGTATTATATACTGTTTACAGATTAAAAACTTAAGTTTAAAAAGGTAATTTGTTTGAAGTCACATAGCTAGTAAACTACTAGTTATAACTTAATTAAGAGTACATTGAATTAAGTTATAACTAGTAAAGGACTAAACTTCTAGACTTGAACTTCTGATGGTCTGACTTCAAAAATATCTTATTTTTAAAATCATAGCACGGAGCACCTTGTATATCATGATATAGCTATATTACTTTGCAGGGTTTTTATGTCTAAGTTATTTTCTCCTCCTGTTCCACTTCCACCCTCCCATTCACTCTCTTCTCTCCTAGTAGACAAAGTCCTTACCTGTCTGCCAGTCCCCAACCCCATGCATGCAATTACCTCATGGAAGGACGGAAGGGGGGCAGGGAAGAGGGGACCTCCTAGCCCACCACCTTCCAACACACCTCTGCAGAGCCCAGGCCCTTTCAGGCACCCCAGTCACAGCCACACCAAGCTTCTAGCTACTGCTCAGCACACACTTACCACCTGGTTTCCCTGTGCTTCTCATTTGTAATTTTGGATTTTAGTCTAGTTCAGACATTCCTTCAATTCACATTAAGCATCCATTTCCTCTCTGATATTCTTGTCTCTGGTCCCTTTTTTGTCTTATCCATTTGGACATCTATTCCTAAGCAAAACATTCTAAATTCTATTTTCATTATCTTACTCCTTAGCCCAGATCACCAGAAGCTCCCTACTATCAACACAAATTGGAAAATCTCTGGTGTGATTATGAGGAGACCATTCAGTATTTTCTTTGACACTATTAAACAACATTGAGTTTGCCTAATGTCAGTACTAAAGGCCAGGTTGTAAAATAGTAAAACCTGCAGTGGTCTCTAAGGCAACTAGCTGTTTATTATAGTAGTTGGGGAAAGGAAGATATAAAAAATCTTCTAAGGAACTTTATTATAGATCTGTTTACTTAGGTAAAGCATATACAGGAAGATGCGGGAATCATAATAAATGCTTATGAAGCAAAACTAAATGCACCTGTACTGCTACATCCAGATTCACATACAAACGACAAAGAGCTTATATCCAGACTGCATGTGTCTGTTTTTGCACTGCTATAAAGAAATACCTGAGACTGGGTAGTTCAGTTTATAAAGAAAAGAGGTTTAATTGGCTCACGGTTCTGCAGCCCGTACAGGAAGCACAGTGGCTTCTGCTTCTGAGGAGGCCTCAGGAAATTTACAATCATGGCCGAAGGTGAACAGAAAGCAGGCACATCTTAAATGACAGGAGTAGGAGCAAGAGAGAGAGTGGGGAGGTGCTATACATTTAAACAACCAGATCTCACAAGAACTCACTACCATAAGAACAGCATCCAGGGGGAAATCCACCCCCAGGACTCAATCACCTCCCACCAGGCCCCACTTCCAACATTGGGGATTTTCATTCGACATGAGATTTGGGAAGGGACACAAATCCATATCACAGACTGTATAAAGAACCCCTCCAGTCCAGGCGTAGTGGCTCATGCCTGTAATCCCAGGGCTCTGGGAGGCCAAGGTGGGAAGAGTGCTTGAGGCCAGGAGTTTGAGACCGGCCTGGGCAACACAGTAAGACTCTGTCTCTACAACAGAAAAAAAAAAAAAAAAAAAGGAATTCCTCCAGGTACGGGGGATGCTGAATATAGAGTCAAGGGTGATTATTCCCCAGCTTTGAGATTTAATGTCTGCCCTCTTAGGCTTTGGACTTGCTTGGGGCTTATTAACCCTTTCTTTTGGCCTACTTTTCCCTTTTCAAATGGGAATGTCTATCCTATGCCCGTCCTGCCGTTGTACCTTAGAAGTAGATAACTTGTTTTGATTTCACAGATGGAATTTTGGACTTCTGAGTTGATGCTGAAACAAGTTAGGACCTTGGGGATATGGGGATTAAGTATAGTTGTATGTGAGAAGAACATGGGTTTGGGGGACCACAGGCAGAATGCAATGGTTTGAATGTTTGTCCCCTCCAAAACTCATGTTGAAACTTAACCTTCAATGTGGCAGTATTGACAGGTGGGGCCTTTAAGAGATGTTCATGGATTAATGGGTTATCATGGGAGTTAGACTAGTGGCTTTATAAGAGGAAAAGAGGCTTCAGCTAGCATGCTCTGCTCCTTTGCCATGTGATGCCCCATACCACCTCAGGATTCTGCAGAGTTCCCATGAGTAAGGAGGCTCTGACCAGATGCATCCCCTTGACCTTGGACTTCCCAGCCTCTGGAACTGTCAGAAATGAATGTTATTTTTTTTCTAAAAAATAAACAAAAAACTCCTTCATAAGAAAAAGATTGATGACTCAATGGAAAAATGTGAGCAGAACAGATGTTTCAGAATAGAGAATACCAAATGGCCTATAAACATAGGACAATATATACTATCTGATTTGTAATCATGGAAAATACTCAGTAAAAATGGCCAAAATTCAAAAGTCTGAAAATACCAAGTACTGAGAGAATGTGAAGCAATAGGGACTCTGCACTGCTTGGTGGAGCTGCTGTGAGCTGATACTAGGGAGAATGAATGGATCTGGGAACAGAGATTAACATGTAAATAGTTCTCTTTGACACTGAAAGGGTCTGTTCAGGTGCGAGTACACTCTGGGTCTAACAAGGGAGGGCAAGAAAAAACAACAGTTCTCTTTGGTGGGTGTAGATCTTAGGCAGATAAAGAAACTTCAACTTATTTGAGAGAGGAGGTAGGGGATGGGGAGGTCACAGAGAACTCTGGGTTTCTTCAGTTTACTATGCCACAGCACCATATTTTCGGGTATGAGTTCTGAGCCCCACAATGGCCATAAGCACTTAACCACAGACCTAGTGACTATGTATAAAATATACACTAGATTCCAAAGACTTAGTATACAAAAGAACATAAAATATCTTATTTGTAATTGTTTAAAACTGATTACATGTTAAAATGATAATATTTTAAATATAATGGGTTAGGTTGGTAAAATAAAATATATTATTAAAGTTAATTTTAACTGTTTCTCTTTACCTTTTTTAATGCAGCTATAATTAGAAAACCACAAATCATATAAGCGGCTTGCATTATATTTCCTTTTTTGAGACAGAGTCTTGATGTCACCCAGTTTGGAGTACAGTCGCGCGATCTGGGCTTACTGCAACCTCTGCCTCCCGGGTTCAAGCGATTCTCCTGCCTCAGCCTCCCAAGTAGCTGGAATGAATTACAGGCATGAGCCACCAGGCCTGGCTAATTTTTTTGTATTTTTAGTAGAGATGAGGTTTTGCCATGTTGGCTAGGCTGGTCTCAAACCCCTGACCTCAAGTGATTAACCTGCCTTGGCCTCCCAAAGTACTGGCATTACAGACGTGAGCCACCGCACCTGGCTCGCTTCCATTATATTTCTATTGGACAGCACTGCTCTGGAGAAAAATTAAGATTCTCCTTTTACAGGATATTTTTAAAAAATATTTAAATGTAAGGAATAAAAAATATTGTAAGAAACCGAAGAAAGCAAATTAGAATCTGGAGGTCAGGATGGATTTCTTAATGAGGACAGGTAGGGGTGTGTGTGTGTGTGTGCGTTTGCATGCATGGACACACGGATAGGGCAAGCACACATACATGTGTGCATATGTATGAGACTGATAAACAATCCAATAGGAAAAATGGGCAAAGGATAGAATTGAAAATGCACAGAAAATCTGAATGGCAAACAGTAACATAATCAAAATTACTAAAGGAAGAGAAAATTAAAAGTAACTAAGACTTCTCTTTATTGGCTGGGAAAAAAATAAAAACATAAATAATATGTATCTTTGCTGGGCAAGTGGGAAGGGAGCAGGATCATACATTGTTGTAAGGAAATGTAAAGGTTAACAGCCTACTGAGAAAGCAATATGGCAACATCCATCAAATTAGAAACATGCCATATCCTTCGACCCAGAAACCTTTCTCACAAAAATCTACCAGCACATGACATGTGTTCAGAAAGTTATTATTGTAATACTGTGTAGCAGAAAAAAAGAGGAAACTAAGTATCAATAGGAAATGAAGTAAATGCCTATCTACTGACAAAAGGTTAAAAACATTACCTGCAAAACAAGACCTGTTATGGAATTATTAAGGATTATAAATAAAAATATCAGCAAATTTTTAAAAATATGAAAATATCAGGAATGGCACCACTGTAGGAAAACAGACTACAGTAGTTCCCTCTTATTCTTGGGAGATATGTTCCAAGATCCCCGGTGGATGTCTGAAACCACTGATAGTACTGAACCCGATTGCTGTTAATAGGAAGTTTTTTTTGGTGATGTTTCCCACCCACAATTTTAATGACTTTTCTATCTTAACCAAGTGCTTAACATGCACTGTGGCTGCAACTTTTCCATTTTGAAGTGTGACAGTAAAACTAGCAAAAATTTCTTTTTCCTCCTTTATAATTTCAGGGATAGAAGATTTGTTCTGACCATGGATCTTAGCAAACTCAGCATTTAAAAAATTTCCTTAAGTCAAGAACTTTTACCTTTTCACTTAAAAGAAGCACTTTATGGCTTCTCTTTTGTATATCCAAGTTGCCATCATTAGTACTCCTGCACTTTGGGGCCACTGTCATGTAAAATAAGGGTTCCATGAATATAAGCACTGTGATACTTAGGCAGTAAAATTGATAAGAAGGCTATTAAGTGACTAATAGGCAGGCTGCATATACACTGTGGATACTGGGCAAAGGGATGATGCAAATCCTGGGGAGGGATGGAGTGGTATGGCATGAGATTTCATCATGTTCATCAGAATGGTGCAGCGCCCAATTTAAAACAGGAATTGTTTAGGTGCCAATTTAAAACTTAGGAATTATTTCTGATATTTTCCACTTAAAATATTCAGACTGTGGTTGCCAAGAGTAATGAAACCTTGAGAAATGAAACCGAGGATAAGGGGAGGACTACTGTATTTCATGATATGCTGGTGTGGATAAAAATAGGTGCAACCTTACTGAAGTTGACCATGAGGTTGATCACCTGTTGACCACTGAATAGGCCCCACAGACAAAAGCTCCTGATCTGAGGAATTTCGAAGGGAACAAAGACCACCTGGTGACCACCAAACGGGCCAGACAGAGGCGAAACTCCTTTTCTGGGAATTCAGAAGTAATTAAACTTTCCTAGTATCTAAAGTCTGGTTCCAGGCCTCTTTCAACTTTTACAAGTAACTAAAATTTATATACATCTCTGAAATGCCATGCCGAAACTCTTTTTACTATCCTAAGCTCCTGCCTTAAGGTCCATAAATACCTCTAAAGAAAAATCCATGGCAGCACACTTAGTCCTCTTGCTGAGGCGCCCCACTGCACTCTTCTGCAGTGTTCTGTTACCGCCTAAGGGGTTCACCTTGCCCATGCCTAGACAGAGTCAATTCATCGAGACAGGGGAATTGTGATAGAGAAAGAGTACTTCACGCAGAACCAGCTGTGTGGGAGATCAGTCTCCCCGAGCACGGGGGAGCAGAGTTTTAAAAGATAACTTCGTGGGTGGGGGGAAGCCAGTGAGCCAGAAGTGCTGATTGGTCAGGGATGAAACTGTAGGGAATCAAAACCGTCTTCCTGCACTGAGTCAGTTCCTGGGTGGGGGCCACATAATCAGATGAGCCACTTTGGGCAGCCAAAGTGAGTGGATCACCGGAGGTCGGGAATTGGAAACCAGCCTGGCCAACATTGTGAAACCCTGTCTCTACTAAAAAACAAAAAAAAAAAAACAAACAGAAAAAGCCAGGCGTGATGGCAGGTGCCTGTAATCCCAGCTACTCGAGAGGCTGAGACAGGAGAATCACTTGAATCCGGGAGGCGGAGGTTGCAGTGAGCCGAGATCGTGCCATTTGCACTCCAGCCTGGGCGACAAGAGCAAGACTCCGTCTCCAAAAAAAAAAAAAAAAAAAAAAAGAGCCAGTTTATTGATGTGGGTAGTGCCAGCTGACCCATCAAGTACGGGGTCTGCAAAATACCTCAAGCACTGATCACAGGAGCAGTTTAGGGAGGGTCAGAATCTTGCAGCCTCCAGCTGCATGACTACTAAACCAAAAATTCTAATCCTGTGGCTAATGTTAGTCTAGTCCTCAGACAAGAAGGAAGTCTGCTTTGGGAAAGGGCTGTTACCCTCTTTGTTTATAAACTAAGTTTCTCCCAAAGTTAGTTCAGCCTACGCCCAGGAATGAACAAGAACAGCTTGGAGCTTAGAAGCAAGATGGAGTCGGTTACGTTAGATTTCTTTCACTGTCTCAGTCATCATTTTGCAAAGGCTGTTTCAGTTCTTCCTTTCTAATAAACTTTCCTTTTTTCAAACCTATACTGTTTGTAGGTATGGTAAATTCATTTTACCAACCTGCGAGTTGACCACTTCCCGGTGCCAGGGCTCTGACACCTTGCCAGGCACTTACGGAAAGATAATTGTAAAAATCTAATAGAATTTTAAATTTCCATGCCTTCGAACCCAGCAGCCAAACTTCCAGAAATTTATCCTACTAATATAATGGCACGACGATCTAAAGAGATATGTACAAGGATGTTCTCGACAGCCTTTATTTAATAAGATGTGGAAAGAACCTTAAATGTCTACTCAAAATTGTTGAATAAATCACATGTCTACAAAATGAATAATGCAGACTTTAAAAAGAGTGAGGTAGCTCTATGTCACCAAACTGGAACAATAAAAGCCACTATAAAGTATAAAAAGCAAGCTGAAGACTGTCTCTATGTTTGAAATTTTTCATAATAAAAAATGAAAAAAATGGAGGGGGATTAGATATATTGCCTTTTCATGAGTAAGAATCTCACAAGTCTTGGACAATTAAACCCCGCCTTCATCCCTCCCATCTCATCATATCTGACCTCAACCAGTTTCCTACCTACACTGCTTATATGCCCATTTGCTCTATATGACTCAGTCATTTCAAGATTGCTTCTGTTTTCCCTTATTGATATAAAAATATTAAAAATGTATATTTAAAATTTGTTTAATTACATCCCATTATTACAGTTCATTTTTGCATATTCCTGTGTTGAAAATCCTTTGGTATAAATCAACATCAAAACTCGGTGTTATTCCACTTTTCTTGAACTGTAATCCTTTTTAAACAAGGAATATACCTTTTCTTGTTTAGAGAATATACGTACATTCATAAATCTTGGCAACTTTCAAAGGCCATAACAAATTTGTGTTAAGAATTCAGATCCCCTTTATTATTGTGGTAAACAGACAGATGAAATTAAGAGATTATAGCTTGTTTTCACTCTCTCCCAATTACTATCGCTTGAAAAATACCGGATATTTCATTATTATCCTGTCCGGAGTCGGCAAACTACGGTCTACTATCTGTCTTCGTATACGTCAAAAGCTAAGAATGGTTTTTACATTTTTAAATGACTGGGGAGGGAGGGCCAGAATCCAAGGGGAGTATTTAATGACACTTGAAAATGTTATTAAATTCAAATTTTAGCATCCATAATAAAGTTTCATTGACACACAGCCATGCTCATTTAGCTTTTGTTTGTTTTTGGAGACAGAGTCTCGCTCTGTCGCCCAGGCTGGAGTGCAGTGGCGAGATCTCGGCTCACTGCAACCTCTGCCTCCTGCTTTCAAGCCATTCTCCTGCCTCCGCCTTCCAGGTAGCTGGGATTACAGGTGCGCGCCACACGCGCCACACGCCCGGCTAATTTTTGTCTCTACTAAAAAGTAGAGACAGGGTTTCGCTATGTTGGCCAGGCTGGTCTCAAACTCCTGACCTCAGGTGATCCACCCGCCTCGGCCTCCCAAAGTGATAGGATTACAGGCGTGAGCCACCGCGCCCAGCCTTCATTTAGTACTGTCTAATGATGTTTTCATACTGCAAGGAGAAAGCTGAGTATGGACCACAAGGCCAAAAAGATGTCCTCTCTGGCTCTCTACAGCAAAGATTTGCCAAGCCCTGTTATATGTCATACTACTTGCGCTTCATAATTTTATAGTTTTACCTAGACAGTCTCCCTTTTTTCCTTCCATATTCAGCATAAAATCCCCTTAATATCAGTCTCTAGGCAAGCACATTCTTCACAGTCCTTAGAACTGGACCTCCTCTTGTTAATTTCCTTAGTCTAATCACATTCCTCCTGGTTATCTACAAACAGAAAGCCAGAAAGGAGGGCTATCAACATCTTAAGCGCCACAAATTAACAAATCAAAACCAAATCTCTCTCTCCCTCCGAAGCCACGGCTAAGGAGGCTCACTGCCCAGTTAGTGGCTTTCAAACTACCCTTACAAGTGAGACATCTTGTGAATTAGAACAAGTGCTGCTGCTAAAATCCCTAACGGCTACATAGCAATGTGAAAAAAGGTATCAAATGTAATTTTCTCAAATTTAATCTTCTTCAATTCTTGGCACAAAAAAAGGAACAGTAAAGGTAGACAACTGTAATTAGCATGTGTGATCCCAAATCTTTATACCTTAGATACTGGATTATATTTTCAGCAAGTAAATAGTTTCTGGCTCCCAAGATGAGAGGTTAAATAATGCAGGGTGTTTGTAAACAGCAGCACAATTTACACCGGAAATTAGGGCCCTTTCTCACCGAGGAGAGTACAGCAAAATCTGCTCATCTCTTTCAATGAATATTCTCCATGACTAGTGCTGGCGGCGGGGAGGCGGAGCAAGCTATCTTTTCTACCAGCCGTGTCACACCCCTCCTAGCACTAACCCCTCCTCCTCAGCCTTTTCACACCTCTACCCACTACTAGCCCCTCCCCAGCCCCATCACCTCTTCCCGGGCCCCTCACACCTCTCCCAGCATACTCTTCCCCAGCCTCATCACCTCACCCACTTCCTCCAAAATCACTGACCTGCTAAGCTTCCAGCAGCAGGCGGGCAAAGCAGGGAGGCTGTAATGCAAAAGTCCGCAGTCCCTACACAAACACTATCTGCTCCTGCGGAGAAACTCAAGTCACAGCCCCAGAAGTGGAAAGAACAGGCCTTGGCTCTCACCCAGTTAACAAGCGTTTATCCAGCGCACGTGTTGCGGTCGGACCCCATGCGAAGGAGCTAAGGACACAAAGGTGAGCAGCAGAGACGCGGTTCCAGCTCTCCCCCGGCTCCCACTCCAGCGGGATAGGTAGATAATTTCGGTAAATTTCGCCAAGCAGGGGCAGGACAAAGAGTATTTGAAGTCTACCGCGGGGAGAACTTACCTAATCCTTGAATGTTAAAAGGCTAAAAACTCCACTAGTCGGAAGTGACGTGCCAGCTTAGCCCCGCAGGTCCGCCACGTAATTGGCCGCCGCCACAGCTAGCCACCCTCTCCCCAGACTGGCCCGAAGAGAGGAAAAGTGTGGAAGTCCACAAGCCGCCCCCGCCCCGCCCTCTTCGTCGACTTTCAGCTGCACCGGGAGGCGGCGGCGCCTGGCCAGAGCCGGGGCCTGGAGCCTGGACTAGACAGCCTCGCCGGCCGGGGCGCCAGTCCAGCGCCCTGCGGGCAATGGGCTTCAGCGCTCGAGCACGCGCATGCGCGGGCCTGTATCTCCAGAGGATTCCTCGGGTCACCTGGACGCCAGCATCTCAGCCACCTGCCCCTCTGGGTCCCTTCTTGCCCTTGATTCCCCCTGCTGCTTCTCATCGCCAGCCCTCCTCCTCCTTCTTCCGCAGGCACCGCTAGACCCGGCCGCGGCCGCCCGCCGACACCCCAGCTTCCACTGACACGAGCCTCGGCGCGGCTTCCGCTTCCGGCGAGTATTGTGTGTCGCGCCGCGGGGCGGGGGCGAGGGGAGGAGGAAGGAGGGAGGCAGCGCTCCGGCGGCTCCGCGCCCCGCACTCCCGGACCCGAAGCCGGGAAGGTAGGTGCTGTCCCGCCGCCGCGCCCGAGCCTGGGGCCTGCGCTCGCCGGCCGGCTCCGCAAGCCGCGTCCCAGCGCCCCGCGACTGCGTCACCGGCCCCCCGCACGTAACCACAGCTGCCTCCGCCCGCCTCGGGCCCGGGCGGACGTTTTGCCGCCCCGGCGACGTCAGCGCGTCCGGCGTTGCTTGGCTACCCCGCCGTTCCCCCGTCCCGCTGCTGCTCACCTCCCCGGGTGAAACTCTGACGCAGTCACCGCGGGTCTCGGCAGCGTCATAGCGGCGGGCATCCCATCTGCACGTCACACCTCTTTCTCACCTGGACACGCATCCCTTCCTACCCTGCCAGCCACGACGTTTCCTCTTTCCCCTCTCCAATGCCCCAGCCCCAGATCTGGCGGAAGAAGATGGAGAACGGGGGTGGGACAGAGTTGTGGACAACCTCTCAGGAGAGGGTCGCAAGGTGGGACCCTGAACAGTGGTAGAAACAAAATGAGATTGTCCCTGAAGTTTGCCCTTCAGCTGAGACACAAGGAGTAGAGGAAGAGGAAGGACTAACGCAGAGGCACTCAAGGTCTCACTATGACTGTAGTTGAGAGTCCTCTCCCTTCTTCCCTAACCCTTTCCCCATTTCTCTCACCACTTCTTTGCCAGTCTAGATCCGTCCTGGTGCCTTACTGTGCATACAGTTCTACTCGTCTCAGGTGAGGAGGCCACTTAATTTGTAAAAGACTGAGGAAGGGGTAGGATCACCACAAGTCAAAGTTGGATTCCCACAGATAGAAATCATCTGACTGAACTTCTCTCCTATTGCTGACAGAAGAAATTCAAATCCAAAGAAGTTATCAGTTCCTACTCCAAATCAAACACATTTGTGTGTGCCAACAATATATACAGGAACAATTGTTGTTAACCTACCTCATTACATGGCCACTTATCTCTCAGCACATAGATCTACCAAATTTCCTTCCTTCCAGTAGGTCCCTGGAGAAGGATGGGGGTCGGGAGGAGAAAAGGTTATGGGGATAGTTAAATCAACTTACCCATGGCTAAAAGTATGGATGTTTTAAGGATGGAGTAGGGGGCCAGCCTTGTGTTTTATAAATCTCTCCTATGCATTTCCAATTCTTCTGAGGCTGCGCTTGAGGGAGATCTCATTGCCTCTTTTGTGTCTCTTAATTCGCAACCACTCCAGGACCTATAAGTTGGAGACACACTATGCCCAGGGTGTTAGTTATCAATAGCTATATTGAAAGATTCCAGTCACTACAAATAGACTCGTTGCTCTCTTTTCAAGAAGTCGTTGGCCTGAGCTCAGCAATATTTAATATGGTTGCCATAATTTATCAGTTTTCAGCAGTTCTGAGTGTCCAGATGAACACAAGAGAAATGGAATGTTGCGTGAAATGTCATTCCAAGAAGAGAGCAGATTTCCTTTAGGCTAGTCTGATGGATAAAAGGAAGAATAATTTCAGATTTTCCTGAAAAGAGGAGGTTGCCTTTGCCTCATTCATTCCATTTGTTAGCCTTTAGAGCAGTGGTATCTAACCCTTTCAATATGAGGACTCTCTTTGCTTATCTGTGGTGGCTGATAAAAATTATGCATGGACCTTCTGTGGTGGTGATAGAACAAAAGTTATGCATGGACTTTTTTTTTTTTAAGCTTATCAGCTGTCATTAGTGTCAATGTATTTTATGTCTGGCCCAAGACACTTCTTCCAGTGGGCCCAGGGAAGCCAAAAGGTTGGATATTGTGATTTAGAAGAATGAGAGAACAGTGTCAGAGAATCAAGCTTAGACTCCAGTGGATTAATCATAAAGCTCTTATAACATTAAACTTTAAAATATGGTTAATTTAAGAAATGTTAATATTTTTATGACTTTTTTACTTCTCAGATTCCTTTCTTGTCTGTTAGAAACGTATGTCAAACGAGGATACAGTGTCTGGAACTATTGGTTCTAAGATATAAGTGGAATGAGCCTGGATCAGGAGAAGTATGCTGAGCTAGAGTTGAAGGAAGCTTCTCTTTCTAACAAGAGAAAGCAGAGGTAAGAGACAAGATAGATCAATTGGGGGTTGTGTGTCAGTTTACTAACAAGAAAAAAAAGGTTGATGGCTGGGAGTCACAAGTTTTGAAAATGGAGAAACAAAGAGGTTGAATTGATTGGAAGAGAAGATGGAGAATAACAAGAAGGGGCAAATCTGGAGTTAGGACTTAACATAGGGATAAATGTCGGGTCAGGGATGCAAAAAAAAAAAAAAGAAAAAACCTCCAATTAATATTTTTATTTTCTCTGTCCTCTTCCCCACTCCCAAGTTAAATTATGGCAGAGACAAGTCTGTTAGAGGCTGGGGCCTCTGCAGCCTCTACAGCTGCGGCTTTGGAGAACTTACAGGTGGAGGCGAGCTGCTCTGTGTGCCTGGAGTATCTGAAGGAACCTGTCATCATTGAGTGTGGGCACAACTTCTGCAAAGCTTGCATCACCCGCTGGTGGGAGGACCTAGAGAGGGACTTCCCTTGTCCTGTCTGTCGAAAGACATCCCGCTACCGCAGTCTCCGACCTAATCGGCAACTAGGCAGTATGGTGGAAATTGCCAAGCAGCTCCAGGCCGTCAAGCGGAAGATCCGGGATGAGAGCCTCTGCCCCCAACACCATGAGGCCCTCAGCCTTTTCTGTTATGAGGACCAGGAGGCTGTATGCTTGATATGTGCAATTTCCCACACCCACCGGGCCCACACCGTTGTGCCACTGGACGATGCTACACAGGAGTACAAGGTGGGGAAGCAGACACACGATGTCAGTGTGGGTAAAAAGGGAGAAGCGGCAGAGGATGAGATACTCCCTAGGTAGAGATCGTAAGCTCCTACTACTCACTTTGTATTCTCAGAGCTGCATATGCAGGGGCACACAGTATGTGTGATCAGTTGTCCTCTAGCCTGAAAAAGAGCAATGGTGAGAAGTGCCCTAAAATTTCTCTCTGACTTTTGCAATACATGTGAGTCTTATGGGTGAATATTGGTATGTGTGGTCATATTTTTCATAAATGAATGAAACCACATGGAAAAGATTAAACTTAGGAAGAACTGAAAAGTAGTCTGGTTTCTTCATTCTGCCTGCCTGCTCAGAATGCTCCTTGTTTTCACACTGGTTATTGGGCATAGGTAATATCGCTTGAGACTGATACCTACCGGACTAAGCTGAACCATTCAATTGTTTGCAGCTTCTCTAGGTAATGGGTAACATGGCATATCATTTAACTTACTGCTGAGACAAAGGAAAATGTTTGAATAAAGGGAACAGAGATATGAATGTGTTAGCATTTTATCATATACTTTGCTTAGTTATGTTACTCTTGAAAACAAGATTTCAGGTAACTTACAGTATAATAACCATGTTTTTATTGTAGGTGGACAGAGGTGGATGGGAGGACAGGTTTAAAGAGAGATATTAGGGTACAGAAGGTTGCTTGGATGGTAATAGGCAGTTGCCTCAGTAAGAAAATGGAAAGAGTTGAGAAAGGACACAGAGTTGATGACAGCTATCTCAGATTCAGTAAAAGGACAGTTGGGTGAGCAGAGAAGGTGATGTGGACAGGCTAGTGGCAGGAGGAGGGACTGTAGAAAGTTGACATCCCAAATGACAGGCAAGGAAGGAAGTCAGATCAAGAGGCAGTAAGATGGCTAGGAAGCAAATAAATGGTTTAAAACAAATGGTTTAATCTCTGAATGGTAGGTATACCAGTCAACCCCAAATGTCACCTCTCCCACTTCCTCCCTACCCCTCAGGAAAAACTGCAGAAGTGTCTGGAGCCCCTGGAACAGAAGCTGCAGGAGATCACTCGCTGCAAGTCCTCTGAGGAGAAGAAGCCTGGTGAGCTCAAGGTAAAGGCAGGCAATCCCATGTAGGCTGCTCTGAAGGGTATTTGCCTATGAGGGAATTAACTGTACACTATTTAATCCACCAGTTCCGGTTCATTAGAAAAATGCAGTTCTCGCCGGACATGGTGGCTCACACCTGTAATCCCAGCAATTCTGGAGGCCAAGGTGGGCAGATTGCTTGAGCTCAGGAGTTTGAGACCACCCTGGGCAACATGGTGAAACCCTGTCTTTACTAAAAACAAAAAATTAGCCGGGCATGGTGGCACATGCCTGTAGTCCCAGCGACTTGGGCGGCTGAGGCAGGAGAATTGCTTGAACCTGGGAGGCGGAGGTTGCAGTGAGCCAAGATCACACCATTGTACTCCAGCCTGGGCAACAGAGCAAGGCTCTGTCTCAAACAAACAAAAAAAACAAACAAAAAAAAAAAGAACAATGTAGTTCTCTCAAAAATGATGGCATTTTATTAGGCTTGATTGTCATTAAACATTGTACTTAAATTACTTGTCATGAATTAAGTATTAAGAGGGATTTAAGAGATGAAGAACAGACAGAATATCTTACATCTGGTGAGCTGAGAGAGTTCGTGCCTCTTGGTCTCCTTTTTTTGTTAAAGCAGCAAAGGAGGCTTTCTGCTGAGAAGGCAGGGATGGGAGTTTCTTAGAGGACTTGAAGAGAGGAGAATATGGAAGATTCACTGGGGAGAAAGGGAAAAGGAGCTGACCAAGAGTCTCAGAAGAACTATCTAATGACATTAGGACCACATTCTTAAAACTCAAGTAAGCTTACATATGCTAGAATGTTCTCCCCCTCCCCATCCTCCACCATAGGATCTTATTCATCTCTCAGGCGGGATGAAAGCCACTTCCTATGCAGCCTTTCCTGACCCTTCAGAAATTAACATTCTTAATTTTCATACAATTTTGCACCTCTTTTATAGCATTGCCTTATTTGTAGCATGGTATTTTGGTGTCTGTCTGTCTTCCATTGAACAGTGAACAATTATCATTTGTAGCAAAAATAACTAGAATTGAGTCCTATGCATTAATTCATTAGGTATCCGTAACATTCCAGATTTATAGGGTTGTTAGGGTCTTAGAGTTCAGGCCAAATTGGGATAAGTGAGACATAGAAAAGCTACGAGAAAGAGACAGAAGGAAATCCTGAGGCCATCTTTAGTAAGATGTAGGGGTAAACCTAGATATTCTTTAAGGTAGGTATTATTACCTTCAGCTTACACAGAAGGAAATGGACCTTGGGTAAGTGACTAGTCCAAGATCATAAAGCCAGTAAGTGGCAAAACCAGGAATACTAGTTCTTCGTGAATCAGTAAATATTTGTTAAGCTCCTGGTTTAGGCCAAACCCGGTATTTGACACTGGGGAACAATGATGAGCAAAAACACAGTTCCTGCCCTCCTTGAGCTTAAAGTTAAGTGGAGAAAATAAGTAATGGCACAAAATGCACAGCTGCAAGTTCATAAGAAGACAACATAGAAATTTGGCCTCATTAAAGGTTTCCCGAAGAAGTAATGAGTTTTTAAGAGTTGACATGTAGAGATCACCAGAAGCTAAATCCAAGTTTTGATTCATAGAAACATGAATTTTTAAATGAATGATAACATTTCATCAGAAAGCAAGTATTATTACCTTAGTGCCTTATACATTTTAGCAAAGTAAGCATTTGAAATTTTAAAATTTGAACCAATTTTGGTTAGAAATGTGAACTTTTAAAGTTTTTTGTTCTTTTAGAGGCCTTCCAAGAAACCTAAAAATATGAAAATGGTGCTTATTGCTAGTCATTAACTTTCTTCTTCATGTTGATCACCTTCTTGAAGGTAAAGGATGGAGAGAGAAATATACCTTTTTAAAACCTTCTAAATGCTTGAACAGAACTGTCCTGTTTTTTAAACTGTAAATTGTCATTTCAGTGGTCTCCAAAACTACCACCAACATTCCTCTTGTGACCATTTGAATTCTCCCTCCTTCTCCCTCATCAGACTCAATGCCCCTTTAAAAAATAATTTGTAATTATGCTGAACTGAAAATTACAGGTAATATAACCTATGTGCATAATGTTAAATTTTAAAGAGTCTATCATGTCCAAATATAATATAATGAAACATAATTGATGATAAAATGTGGTATGTAATATTTGGGCATGACTACCCTGAACGACTTTACAGTGTAGCTGGTTATATGCTTGCCCCTATATGTGTCATTATCAGCAACGCCATAAATACAAATTCAGACTGAGATGGATGTGTGCCAATATGATTGAAATACCATAAGTAGCTTAGCTCTTGGTGATATGATTTTTCATAGTAATAACTTTTGGTAAAGTTCTAAGTATAACAATATAATCTTGGGTTTTATTCAGCTATTGCTGAAAAATTCACGTATAGTAAAACCATGTAAGAATTACTCTGTGTTTATACTATATAAAATGGCATTCAAGCCCAGGCCTATGTTTTTGTTTTTGTGGTTTTTTTTTTTTTTTTTTTTTTGAGACGGCGTCTCGCTCTGTCATCCAGGCTGGAGTGCAGTGGTGCCATCTCGGCTCACTGCAAGCTCTGCCTCCCGGGTTCATGCCATTCTCCTGCCTCAGCCTCCCAAGTACCTGGGACTACAGGCGCCCACCACCACACCCAGCTGATTTTTTTTTTCTATTTTTAGTAGAGACAGGGTTTCACCGTGTTATCCAGGATGGTCTCGATCTCCTGACCTTGTGATCTGCCCACCTCGGCCTCCCAAAGTGCTGGGATTACAGGCGTGAGCCACCGTGCCTGGCCGCCCAGGCCTGTGTTTTTGAATATCCAGCAGAACATTAGAAAATGTTGCAGGTCAGTTCACTATGCCGGATTGTCTCACACATTGGAGGAGTGCTTGCGTCATTGTCAGGAACTTCCCCAACCATGGAAAACAAGAAGATGTGCCTATTTCCAAAATATCCTCAGAGTGTGTTAACAGCTTCATCAAGAACCACTGCCCTAAAATATAGAGTGAAAAAAAGAGAAAAGATTACCGGTTTATAAGAGGAAGGGCCTTTTTGCTTCCTATTTATCACAGTCATGAATGTTAAACTTACACCCATACCTAAACAAACACACATGCATGCACACACATGTGCAAACACACACACACAAAGGCTGTGTTTTATTGAGGGCAAATGTGAGAATATATTTTGTTCAGATGTACACTGAGAAGGCAGTGGTGGAAAGTGAAGCAGCAAGTGGCCCTAAACTAGAAGAGCTAGTCAGCCTCTGCCAGGAACTAGCTTGAATCCACAAATGCCACGCTTGTCAGGCCCATCCTGGCTTTGCATCCCCACTCTCTCTCCACCCTCAAGCCTGCCTTTCATTCCCTATCCACTTCCTTCTAGAGTCCCAGTCTCTGCTTCTCACTTTGCTTCATCATCAGTCACATGATGCTTGGGGAATTCTTTAGGGAGATCACTATTTGTTGTAGTGGAGATGCAGAAGAGAGGATGTGCTGATAATTCTCAGAAAGTGTTATGGCTGGTGTTTGAGTCCTATATTATCAAATTTCAGGAATGTTAGAGGCTTAAGTCTGTGTGCTGGCTTAAAGAAAGCATGTTTCAAATTTCAAGAAACTAAATTACTAACAAACTTCTGTAACCTGTTCCTGGGGTAGGAATTGCCAGTTCTCTGAAGTGACTTGAAACAATTTAACAAGTTCAGCCCTGAAATCTACATATGTATATTTTATAATAACCCATATAACTCTTACTGATTCTTACACTTTCCCAGTTCTCTGGTTTTTATCTGGTGCATGTGTTGCAATATGCAAAGGATGACAATCTTATTTTTAACTTTTTATTATTTGTACTTTCCTTTTTGTTTCGTTGTTTTTTGTTTGCTTGTTTTGAGACAGAATCTCACTCACCCAGGCTGGAGGGCAGTAGTGATCACAGCACACTAACTCAAACTCCAGTGTTCAGGCCATCCATCCTCTTGATTCTTTTTGAGTAGCTAGGACTGCAGATGTGCATTGCCATGCCCGACTAATTTTTTTTTCTTTTTAGTTGAAACAAGGTCTCACTATGTTTCCTAGGTTGGTCTTGGCCTCAAGTGATCCTCTCACCTGGGCCTCCTAAGCACTAAGTTTACAGGCATGAGCCACCATGCTGAGCCTATACTTTCCTTTTCTCGACAGATTGAATTAACTAGAACTTTACAGTTGATAATAACACAGATATCTCTGATATCTGTAATAGTTAATGTCATCATATTATTGAGTTCTTTATCTTAAATTAAAACAAATATATATATCCGCAGTGGTCTTCACTACCAAGTCATCAGTAGGGGGGTGATAGTGATGGAGCCATTCTTTACAGAAGGAAATTCCAATGGAATAAAAAATGAGTGTTCTGTTAAACCATTTTCTCTCATTTTCTTTCTTTCTTTTCTTTCTGTCTTTGTCTTTCTGTCTTTCTTTCCTGTCTGTCTGTCTTTCATCTCGATCTGTTGCCCAAGCTGGAGTGCAATGGTGCAACAATTTCAGCTTACTCCAACCTCTGCCTTCTTTGCTCAAGCCATCATCCCACCTCAGCCTCTCCAGTAGCTGGGACTACAGGCATGCACCACCAGACTCAGCTAATTTTTTGTATTTTTTGTAGAGTTGGGGTTTCACCATGTTACCTAGGCTGGTCTCAAACTTCTCATCCCAAGCAATCCACCTCCCTCGGCCTCCCAAAGTCCTGGGATTACAGTCATGTGTCACCACACCCAGCCTTTGTTAAACCATTTTCAATGAAACTGGAAGTCTGTGTTAATTCATACATATGGTGGGTGAGAGAAAGGCTTCCTTATACCACACTGACCCTGCTGATACAACATCTTCCCTCTCTTCTCAGAGACTAGTGGAAAGTCGCCGACAGCAGATCTTGAGGGAGTTTGAAGAGCTTCATAGGCGGCTGGATGAAGAGCAGCAGGTGTTGCTTTCACGACTGGAAGAAGAGGAACAGGACATTCTGCAGCGACTCCGAGAAAATGCTGCTCACCTTGGGGACAAGCGCCGGGACCTGGCCCACTTGGCTGCCGAGGTGGAGGGCAAGTGCTTACAGTCAGGCTTCGAGATGCTTAAGGTTCGACCTTTGCCCCTGCATAGCCCCTCAGGCTGAGTGCAGCGTAGCTTTGCGTAGCCTGGGATTTGTCAGCCTGGGATACTCATTCTTCTGCTCTCCTTCTCTAAATCCAGTTCTTTCTGCCAGGTGTACTCAAAGGGTCTTTGCTACGGAAAAGTGATTTCTCCCATCCCCTTCTAACCATTTTTGTGTTCTTATCTCTGGTCAGCAATTATGTGCTTAATCTGTTCCAAAGAAAAGATTCATTCTTTTGAAAGGAGGGAAGTCTAGCCTGAGTTAGTGAAAAACTATGCATTAAAAATTTTGTAAATGCAGTTACCATTACTTTTAAGTCCTGAAATTTGATTTATGTACTGCTGAAAAAGGACAGAAACATAGTTTAAAGGATACAGGCATACCTCAGAGATATTGTGGGTTCAGTTCCATACCACTTCAATAAAGCGAGTATCTTGATAAAGCAAGTCACATTAATTGTTGGGTTTCCTAGTGGAATCATATTTTTGCTGGTGGAGGGTCTTGTGTTAGTATTGACTGATCGAGGTGGTGGTTGCTGAAGATTGGGGTGACTGTGGTAATTTCTTAAAATAAGACAACGACGAAGTTTACTTTCAACTCTTCCTTTTATGAAAGATATCTCTGAGCATGTGATGCTGTTTAATAGCATTTTACTCACCAGTAGAACTTCTTTGAAAATCTTTGAAAACCCACATTTGCAGTTACTTACAACATGGGAGTCTTGAACCCCTAAAAGTCATCCATAAGGGTTGGAATAGACTTCTTCTAAATGCCTGTTAATATTGATATTTTGGCTTCCTTTCACAAATCACAAATGTTCTTAATGGCATCTAGAATGGTGAATCCTTACCAGAAAGCCTTCAATTTACTTTGCCTAGATCTATCAGAAAAATCACTATTTATAGCAGCTTTATGAAATACATTTATTAAGACTTGAAAGTCCAAATTACTTCTTGATCCATGGGCTGCCGATTGGATGTTGTGTTAGCGGACGTGAAAACAACATGAATCTCATTTTACATCTCTATCAGAACTTTTGGGTGATCAAGTGCATTGTCAGTGAGCAGTAATATTTTGAAAGGAATCTTTTTTTCTGAGCAGTAGGTCTCAACTTAAAATTTTCAGTAAAGGGTTGGGCACGGTGGCTTACACCTGTAATCCTATCACTTTGGGAGGCCAAGGCAGGTGGATCACCTGAGGTCAGGAGTTTGAGACCAGCCTGGCCAACATGGTGAAGCCCAATCTCTACTAAAAATACAAAAAAATTAGCTGGGCATGGTGGTGGGCGCCTGTAATCCCAGCTACTCGGGAGGCTGAGGGAGGAGAATCGCTTGAACCCGAGAGGCAGAGGTTGCAGTGAGCCAAGATCATGCAGTTGCACTCCTGCCTGGGTGACAAGAGTGAAACTCCATCCCCCCAAAAAAAACTTCAGTAAAGGCTAGGCACGTTGGCTCACATCTGTAATCCCAGCACTCTGAGAGATCAAGCCAGGAGGACTGCTTAAGGCCAGGAATTCAAGACCAGTCTGGGCAATATAGCAGGACCCCATCTCTACAAAAGGTAATTTTTTTTAATTAAAAACATTCAGTATACCATGCTGTATACAGGTGTACTGTCATGTAGGCTTTGTTATTCCATTTCTAGAGCACAAGGAAAGTAGATTTAGCATAATTCTTAAGAGCCCTAGGATTTTTGAAATGGTAAGTGAGCACTGGTTTCAACTTAAAGTCACCAGCTGCCCTTGCTTCTAATAAGAAAGTCATCCTGTCCTTTGAAGCTTTAAAGCCAGGCATTGACTTCTCTCGAACTGTGAAAGCCCTGGATAGCACCTTCTTCAATAGAAGGCTGTTTGTTGACATTGAAAATGTGTTGTTTAGTGTAGCCACCTTCATCAGTAATCTTGGCAAGATCTTCTGGATAACTTGCTGCAACTTCTGCATCAGCACTTGCTGCTTCTCCTTGCACATTTTTGTTACAGAGATGGCTTCTTTTCTTAAAACAACCTACCTAACTTTAAACTTTTCTTCTGCAGCTTCCTTACCTCTCTCAGCTTTCATAGAACTGAAGGAGTTAACAGCCTTGCTCTGGATTGGGCTTTGGCTTAAGGGAATCATGTGATCTTATATCCAGATCACTAAAATTTTCTCCATCTCAGCAATAAAGCTGTTTCACTTTCTTATCATTCATGTGTTCACTGGAGTAGCACTTTTAATTTTCTTCAATAACTTTTCCTTAGCATTCACAGCCTGGCTTGGTGTTTGGCACAAGAGGCCTAGCTTTCAGCCCATCTTGGCTTTCAATGTGCCTTTCTCACTAAGCTTAAACATTTTTAGGTTTTGATTTAAAGTGAGAGACATGTGATTCTTCTTTCACATGAACACTTAGAGGCCATTGCAGGATTATTAATTGATATAATTTTAATATCGTTGTGTCTCGGAATAGGGAGGCCAGAGGAGATGGAGAAAGATGAGGGAATAGCTGGTAGTGGATCAGTTAGAACACATAAAATATATTTATCGATTAAGTTGTTCGTCTTATATGGATGCAGTTCACAGTGCCCCCATAACGATTACAATAGTAACATCAAAGATCACTGATCACAGATCATACTAGATATAATAATGAAAAAGTGTGAAATATTGTGAGAATTACCAAAATGTGACACAGAGACATGAAGTGAACACATGCTGTTGGAAAACATGGTGCCAGTAGACTTGCTCAACACAGGTTGCCACAAACCATCTATCTGAAAAACATACAATGTCAACAAAACACAATAAAGCGAGGTGCAATAAAATGAGGTATGCCTGAAATTGTTTAAATAATATATTGCTTTTGATATGTATATATTAATAATACCTCTAAAGTGTTTGAAATATTTTGTTCTCTTACGTAAATGAATGGTGTTAGCAAAACTAGGGAACATATTTTTTATCTTAGAGATTAGATTACCAGCATTTGAAGCAGTGAGGCTTCATTGTACATTTATTTTTATGTTACGTATTGCTTGGTATTTGTTCCTATGGCCTTTCATGTATGTGTGTTCTGCCTTCCATATTAAACTGGGAAATCCTTGTGGGACAGAGATTTGTCTTCTTTGTCTTCTGGACCCCAAGTATTCACAAATCAGTATTAGCACACAGTTATTAATGTGTTTATTCTTCCTTTTTTTTTTTTCTGAGAGAGTCTTGCTCTGTCGCCCAGGCTGGAGTGCAGTGCATGATCTCGGCTCACTGCAACCTTTGCCTCCTGTGTTCAAGCGATTCTCCTGCCTCAGCCTCCTGAGTAGCTGGGGTTACAGGCGCACACCACCACACCTGGCTAATTTTTGTATTTTTAGTAAAGACAGGGTTTCACCATGTTGGCTAGGCTGGTCTTGAACTCCTGACCTCAAGTGATCCACCCGTCTTGGCCTCCCAAAGCGCTCAGATTACAGGCGTGAGCTACTGTGCCCAGCCAGTTATTGATGTTTATTAACTAATGCAAGACAGGGGATACCAAACCGTAACAGGAATGTGTGATTTGTTCCTATGCCACCAGTCTGGAACTCTCTGTACTTATCCTCAAGGAGAGTGAGATATGTGGTTGGTACTTGGGGGACAGAGTAAAGAATTGATACAATCCCTGTCCCTTATAGGGAGCTCCCAGCATCCTTGAGGAGCAAAGACAAGCATAAAAGAAATCATTGGGAAGTGATATAAATGACCAAGCTTCATGATGACCAGAAGTTGAAAGTAGGGATTAGGTTGGGAGAAGTGCATTCAGGTCCCGCTGGAGCTCTTCTTGCACTGTGTGACCCTCAGTTTATCCTATCCCTATTTTATAGCTGTGGAACTTTGGGGAGGAGGGGGAACCTTTTGCCTTCAGGACCACTGAATACCAGGACCAATATTGCTTTCTTTTCTCCTTCCTTCTAGGATGTCAAAAGTACCCTGGAAAAGTAAGTGATTGTTGTATCTCTCTGAGTGAGTTAGGTCTTGGCTTAGAGAGGAGGGGTACAGTCAGGAGTTTGGGTTGGGGGTGAGGTTGGGAAAGTCATGTAGTGTGTCTGGGCAGGGTATGGGAGAATGTTCATTGTGCCCATGAAGCCAGTTAGAGAACAAATTATTGGGAATAATAATCCCTTTTCCCCTTTGAACATCAGGACTTCTTGAGAAGGAGAATGATAAGGTAGAATCAGATTCTACTTGTGCCAGTGGGTGGAATTGTGTCCAAACAAGATGGCAGGAGGAAGGGGTTGGGAGAGCAGGGAGGGCAATCATCCATTTGCATGAAATACAGGAATATTCCTAGAAAGTTCGGAGGCTCACTCTCAACGATCTGTCCACGGGATCATAAGGCTCTCCTTGGATTAGTAAAAGAAATCAACAGGTGAGCTTTTCAGGGAGGAGGAAGAAAGTGGGAAGATGGAGAATTTTAATTTCTCCCTAAAAATGTTAACATCTGAATAGTCACTTGGCTGGAGCTTCTCCCTAACCCTGCCCTTTCTTCCCCTATCTCCCTATCCCTCCTAGATGTGAAAAGGTGAAGACCATGGAGGTGACTTCAGTATCCATAGAGCTGGAAAAGAACTTCAGCAATTTTCCCCGACAGTACTTTGCCCTAAGGAAAATCCTTAAACAGCTAATTGGTGAGTTGTTCCCAAAAGGAAACTAGAAGAAACCACTAGAGAGAAGAAAGTTTTTAGGTCCTACCTTATATGGGTTTCAGTTATCCTATGTCTCACTTTTCTTACTCCCACACACACCTACCCCTTTATCTGGCTTTTAGTCTCACCCTGAGTCACAGAACTTGGAGTGAGAGGAAGCCTTAAGCGTTATCTACTCTTAGGTCCATTCTTTTCTAAATAGAGACCCAGAAAGGTTAAATAATTTGCCAAAGTCATCGGGTAGAGTGGTTATATAATTTACCATGTAAACTTGCATAACCTTCAAAGGCCGGGTGCGGTGGCTCACATCTGTAATCCTAGCACTTTGGGAGGCCAAGGCTGGTGGATCACTTGAGGTCAGGAGTTCGACATCAGCCTGGCCAACACGGTGAAACCCCATCTCTACTAAAAATATAAAAATTAGCCAGATGTGGTGTTGGGCGCCTGTAATCCCAGCTCCTCTGGAGGCTGAGGCAGGAGAACTGCTTGAACCTGGGAAGCGGAGGTTGCAGTGAGCTGAGATCACACCACTGCACTCCAGCCTGAGGGACAGAGTGAGATTCCATCTCAAAAAAAAAAAAAAAGAAAGAAACTGAAAGGGAGTGTCATTATATTAATGTGAATATGCAGGGAAAATAGTCATAAACCAGGCCAGTTCCTGGAAAACACACATGGTCACCCTATCCCTAGACCATATGCTGTCTTGCTCGGCATCCTTCTTAACACTTTCCGTTTTTTTCTGCCCCTCAGACTACACCTTGTACTTCTCTACATAGTGAGATAAATGATAATGTCAGAGGGAGATGAAGAGAGGACCAGGCGGGAACCTAGATTACCAGCCACTGCAGACTCAAGAGATTATTATCTGTTTACTTTAGGGTCAGGGTGAGAAGTGAGCCATTGCTTTCTCCCCTTCCTTAGGTGACACCATGGATTGAGAAAGTTAACCAAACCAGGTTGTTCTGGGGACCTTTAAGGGACCAGGCTCTGTAAAGGCAGGCTGGAAGAGTGAGGCAGGGGCATTTAGCTATTCCCATCCTCATCTAGCTCCCCACTCTGGCTTCTCCCGCCAGCGGATGTGACCCTGGACCCTGAGACAGCTCATCCTAACCTAGTCCTGTCAGAGGATCGTAAGAGCGTCAAGTTCGTGGAGACAAGACTCCGGGATCTCCCTGACACACCAAGGCGTTTCACCTTCTACCCTTGCGTCCTGGCTACTGAGGGTTTCACCTCAGGTCGACACTACTGGGAGGTGGAGGTGGGCGACAAGACCCACTGGGCAGTGGGTGTATGCCGGGACTCCGTGAGCCGAAAGGGCGAGTTGACTCCACTCCCTGAGACTGGCTACTGGCGGGTGCGGCTATGGAATGGGGACAAATATGCAGCCACCACCACACCTTTTACCCCTTTGCACATCAAGGTGAAACCCAAGCGGGTAGGCATATTCCTAGACTATGAGGCCGGCACACTGTCTTTCTACAATGTCACAGACCGCTCTCATATCTACACCTTCACTGATACTTTTACTGAGAAACTTTGGCCCCTCTTCTACCCAGGCATCCGGGCTGGACGGAAGAATGCTGCACCACTTACCATCAGGCCCCCAACAGATTGGGAGTGACAGGTTGGGATGTGGGAATGACTGGGGTGAGGCAGGGTCAAGTGCTACGGGCCTCCTTCCCGTGTCCTGCTGGAACGTCTTCGTGTCCACCTGGGTCCAGTCCTGAATCATCTTGGAGAAACACCTTGGTTTCTAGGATGGTTTTGTGTGGAGGGGGAGGTAGGACTGGGCTGGATGAGAGAGCACAGCTGTGACTTCCTCCTAACTGTCAGGGTGGGGAGCTGGTTCCCAGAGGATTGTCTACCCTGAAGTCCATCAGGTTTTCTGTTGCACAAGGACGGGTCAGGAAGGAAGGAGAGGCTTTTCCAGAAACAAAAAATCTGTGAGGGTCTGACTTGCTCAAACCAGAGGAGGAAACAGAAACCCCTGCACATCTTTTTAGGGGGTTCTTTGACCCAGGATAGTCTTGCTTCTTGAGGTAGATCACAGGGGTCTGTGTACCTCTGAATTCATGAGAGATGAATGACAGATGCTCTCATGGGTCTAGATATTGAGGAGTTTTTCTGAGGGCAGAGATTGGACATCAACAAGGCTAGAAGGGTCAGGGAAGTGGGCTAAAGGAACAGATTCCTAGAGATTAATGAAGAGGAGGGAGGTTTCTTTGGTCTTCTATTCCAAGGGTAAGGTTGCGATTATGGGTAAGATTGGCCAGAGGTAGGAATGTGGGGAGAAGGAGAGGCTGAAAAGAAAGCAGAGGAGAACCCAGGTCCCTGCCTCAGCCTTCAGCAGAGTTGGCTTATTGCCTGCCTCTATACCAATAAGTCAGTCACCTTGCTCCTCTCCAGAGGCAAAGTGGAAGAGATCCTGCAAGACACATCTATCCTTTCACAGTGTTCCCAAGGGAACTTGGAAAGGAGAGTCAGGTATTAGAGGAAAGAGAAGGGTATTTGTATACAAAGCCCTGGCCTTAAAGAATGTTACTTAGTAGCTACTCCCAAATTGTCAGCCTTCTTACCTGGCCAAGGTGTCCAAGCCAGAAAGGAAAAAAGGTTATGGAGTCTTTCTCACCCTAAGGACAGGGTGGAAGAGGGTGGTATATAGGGAAGGGCCAGATAGGCAACTTCATTTGGCTTGTGTGCATCTGGCCTGGAACTGGTGTTAAGCCAGGCTTTTGCTTGTTTGTTGCCATCCCTCACCCTTTGCCATTTCCCTTTTCAGAGAATGTAAATGATTTTCATGTTAGGCCAAAATAAACAACTTATAGGGTACATATGTTGTCATAAAAGGTAAAAGTGATGCATGCCAAACCAAACTAAACCAATTTGGATTATCTGCTATTCGGGTAATCTTCACAGAAATGACTGAGAGAAGAATCTGCAGTTTACTGAGGGCATTTCAGTTCCTCCTACCACCTCAACAGGACTTTGTCCAGACTCTCCTCCTCTTACCTTTGTGCCTTGACTGTGGTTCTTTGTGGCAAGATACTTTGGTTGGTTAAAATAATATGGAACAAAGGATCCACTGAAGTGATCTCTGTGTTGTGTGGTAATTTGGTGACAGCCTTGTACTGATGTGTAAGAATCACTGGGTGTTAGACATGCATGTTCCTGGGTCTCACCCTTAGTGGTTAGTCAAGGTCTGGGGTGGGCCGGACATCTACATTTTATTTATGAGACAGAGTCTCGTTCTGTCGCCCAGGCTGGAGTACAGTGGTGATCTCAGCTCACTGCAACCTCCGCCTCCCAGGTTCAAGCAATTCTCCTGCCTCAGCCTCCAGAGTAGCTGGGATTACTATGGACTATAGCCATGCACCACCACACCCGGCTAATTTTAGTGGAGACAGGGTTTTGCCATGTTGGACAGGCTGGTCTCGAACTCCTGAACTCAAGTAATCTACCTGCCTCAGCCACTCAAAGTGCTAGGATTACAGGTGTGAGCCACCGTGCCCAGCCTACATCTACATTTTAAACACACCACTCTCATTTGAGTCCGAAAACCCTTGTGAAACTAGTTCCAGAGGAGGTTTCAGCCATGTCCTTCCTCCCAGCTGGAGCCCTGCTTGTCTGTCCCCGCCTGGCACTGGGTCTGAAATTGGAGAGAAGTCATCCTCTCCTGACTTATGCTGCCCTCCCCATCTCAGGGTTCATTGATCTTCTACCCCTCCAATTCATGTCCCTCTGCTTCTGACTTCAGTAACTGATAGTCACTATGAGTCACAGGACACCAGACAGAAGAACTGGAAGATAGAAGAGGTCAGAGGGAGGGGTGTGAGGTGAATGTCAGTGTGGGGAGTGGGGTGAAGTTTCAGGGGCAGGGGATGCTGTTGACAGATTTCTGTGCTGTACCTAAGCCTAGGAGTTAGAAACCATTCACTCAGAAAGTGAGGATCACCTACTGTGTGTCCAGCACTGCATAACAGGAAGTGTGTTTCTTTGGTAGGTGGAATAGTAGGAGTAAACTGTGCTTTCTGAGGACCGGGAGTCCTTTTCCCTCCCTCCAGCACCCTCATGATCCTTCCCACTTTCACCCCCACTGGCACCAGTGCTTTTTTTTAATGTATTACCTCTGTGCCTTCCGTCTGTAGATCTTACAGGCATCTGCCTCGGACCTCAGGAGAGTAGGGCAGAAGCTCTAGCTGGGTATAAATTGCACATAACCATCTCCCCAACGTAGCTACATAAAGAGACCAGCCTTCTGTCCTGAAAATGGCCGATTTAAGATCCTCACCTGCTCCACTAGGTCTCTAGGTGATATAATTGGTCATGAGCTTGAGGAAGACAAAAGCACTGAAAATTCATAAAGGGACCCTGGGCATGGATTGCTGGGGTTGTGTTTAGAAACCGATGAGTTTGTGAGGCCTCCGGGAGGCTCCCGAGGGCGCGGGGACTACGTTTCCCAGGAGGCCTCGCGCGGACGCCCGGGCGGGGCTGTGCGAGGGGTGGGGCTGCGGGAGGCCCTGGAGCGCGGCGGTGATGGCGGGGCCGGTGAAGGACCGCGAGGCCTTCCAGAGGCTCAACTTCCTGTACCAGGTGAGTCTGCGACAAGGGCCCCACGGGGACGGTGCTCGGCGTCCCAGAGTGACTGCTCCCCTCCCGCAGGCCGCCCATTGTGTCCTTGCCCAGGACCCCGAGAACCAGGCGCTGGCGAGGTTTTACTGCTACACTGAGAGGACCATTGCGAAGCGGCTCGTCTTGCGGCGGTGAGACAGCCACGGGGCGGGCGGCGGGCGGGACGCGGGAGGAACGCGAGAGGGAGCGCGGGCGCCAGACCACTATCCTCCTCCGCCCCCAGGGATCCCTCGGTGAAGAGGACTCTCTGTCGAGGCTGCTCTTCCCTCCTCGTCCCGGGCCTCACCTGCACCCAGCGCCAGAGACGTGAGTGCTCCAACGGAGGTGGAAGACTGCGGAGCATTGGGGGCGCGGAGGGGGGCGGGGTGGGGGGCGGGCACTGGAGGCCAACAGCGCCTTTCTCACTGTAGATGGATGTTGGGTGTGGGATTCGCAGGAGTCTTCCTTCTTCGGGTTTGGATTAAGTTCCTAACGCCACTTGCACAAACTAGGGTTTGGGCTCGGCTGTTTTTTTTTTTTTTCTTCCAGTGTGGGCAATAAATAATAACTTTTAAGAGGCAACCCCACCCATGCACAATAATAGATGTTGTTCGGCTTTGTGGAGGACGATTCCCATCACCATTCATTTATTAAGCAAATACTTATTTTCTAAAATGTGTCAGGTACTGTGCTAGATTCATTATTCTCATTGAAATTACGGTCTGATGGGACAGACTAAGAAACAAAATGGTGTAGAAAAAGATTAACTGGGGGAGTAGAATGCTCACTTACTCATGCCAGTGGTGGCGAAGTTTATGATAAGCAAAGGGAGTGAGAGATGGAAATTCTAGGCATGTGTGCAGACTCTGAGACAAGAGAGCTTGTGGTGCTGTCAAAGAAATGAGAGTTCAGGAGGCTGGAGTTTGAGGTAGGAGGGCAAAACATGAGACTGGAGGGGGAAACAGGCCAGTTCTTGAAGTCTTGTTAGGGAGTTTGAACTTTATCTTAAAGAGTTCCAGGAAATCGATGGAGCTTATGCCGAGGCCTGACACCATCAAATGTGCATTCAAATTGGGGGTGTGGTGGGGGAGCGGGGATACCTACTGAAAAACACTGGAGGCAAAACTGGCAGCAAGAGACCGTTACTTCTAAACGTGGACAGTCTTTTTCCCATGTTCACCCTAGGCTGCAGGGGACAGCGCTGGACCGTACAGACCTGCCTAACATGCCAGCGCAGCCAACGCTTCCTCAATGATCCCGGGCATTTACTCTGGGGAGACAGGCCTGAGGCCCAGCTCGGGAGCCAAGCAGGTGAGAGGTGAGGGAGAAAATGGAGGACACCCCAGAGGATAGGGACAATGGAGAACGTAGAGTGAAGAGGACACATGGACAGGTTCTGGGTTGGTGTGAGAAGTACCACAGTCAGAAAACTAATTCTGTTTCTCTGATTCTGCTCATTTACTCAGATTCCAAACCACTACAACCCTTGCCAAACACAGCCCACTCCATTTCAGACCGCCTTCCTGAGGAGAAAATGCAGACTCAGGGTTCCAGTAACCAGTGATGGATTCACCCCATCTCCCAAATAAAGTTTACTTGTTTTACATTCCATGATTCTGTTCTGTGGGTATTTCAACTCTTAATTCCATTTTCTTCTGTTTCTGTCTGTGTTTCTTGGTCACCTTTGTAATCCCACCATGCAGGGAGATCGTGATTTCCATAGACCACTTGGCCTCACTCAGCAGCTTGCATTTCCAAGGCCATGGCCCCAGTTCCCTATCAATGTCCTGAGCCACCTTAGGGCATTCCATGTTTGGGCAGCCATAATTGCTGACTGAAGAGCTGGAGAGAATGATGCCACTGCTGCTGTTTTTAAACAAGGGGAGAAATATGGGGCAGCGGAGAGTGTTTGTATCCTCTAGGCCCACTCATAGTCAGAAAAGACTCAGGTCTTTTCCCAGTCTCAAAGTTGTCTTTAATAAAATTCTGATAAAGGAAATGGCGCAAACCTGAACTAACAAAGTCAAAGATGCTAACAAAGGACACCGACAGACATTTTGCAATTATGTCCCATAGGTAAACTCTCAGAGTTTTCTTAAGAATAAACAACTAAAATGTTTTCTTCGATATCCCTAGAAAGCCTACTGAAGTACAGAATTCTTAGACTGACCTTTTTGCTAAATGCCAGCTAATAAGGTTATACCAAAAGCATACAAACAAAATTTACTACTTCCAGAATGCAGTTTTCTTTTATTTCTCTTATAAACCCTGTGTTTGCTTATCGATAGCTGTATAAAAAAATCACTTCATCATGTTGGAGCTTAAAACATAATGATTTATTATTTCCTCTGGTTCTGTGAACTAGGAATTCTGAAAGACTTTGGCTGGGTGGTTCTCCTGTTACATATGAAATCAGCTTAAATAGCTGCATTTAGCTGCTATCTCGTAGGTGGTCTGGAAGACCCAAGAAATTTCACTCACGTGTTTAGCACCTCATTGCTTCTCCAAGTAGCCTTGCTCCCTCGCTAGCTTTGATGTTCCCACAGCATGGCTGACTCAGGGTAGTTGTATTTCTTACATCCCCTCTGGCTTCTACAAAAGCATCCCAATATGTAAGTGTTTGGCTGGATGCTGTGGCTCACACCTGTGATCCCAGCACTTTGTGAGGCCGAGGCAGGTGGATCACTTGAGTTCAGGAGTTTGAGACCAGCCCGGACAACATGGTGGAACCCTGTCTGTACTTAAAATACAAAAAAATTAGCAGGGCGTGGTAGCAGGCACCTGTAATTCCAGCTACTCGGGAGGCTGAGGCAGGAGAATCACCTGAACCCAGGAGGCAGAGTTGCAGTGGGCCAAGATCGCGCCACTGCATTCCAGCCTGTGTGACAGAGTGAGACTGTCTCAAAAAAAAAAAGTGTTTATCGAGCCTCTGTTGGGGTCACACTTGCTAATGTTCCCTTGGCCAAAGCAAGGCACAGTGCCAATGCCAGATTCAATGTGGAAGGGGCTACACTGGAGTTTGAACGCTGGGAGGTTCATTAGTTCCCTGGGGATCACCAGTGTAACAATCTACCACAGGGGTCCCCAACCCCCAGGCCCTGTGGACTGGTACTGGGCTGTGTCCTGTTAGGAACCAGGCTGCCTAGTAGGAGGTGAGCAGTGGTGGAAGGGAGGGATGGGCCAGCATTACTGCCTGAGTAATCAGTGGCAGCATTAGATTCACATAGGAGCATGAACCCTACTGTGAACTGCGCATGCAAGGGATCTGGGTTGCATGCTCCTTATCATAATCTAATTGCTGATGATCTGGGGTGAAATAGTTTCATCCCAGAACCATACCCTTCCTGCTCCATGGAAAAATTGCCTTTCACAAAACCAGTCCCTGGTTAACCTGTCCCTAGTGCCAAAAAGGTTGGGGATCACTCATCTACCACATTCTTGTTTTGCCTTTGTCCCTGACTTGGTCTCTCCACTGCCTCCTTCACATGTCAGTAAATTATTTGCGTAGAAAATACTAAACAGTGTACATGTAAGTAAATGTTTCTGAGTCATCCTTTGACATTTTATTTCTGGAAATAGTGCCTACCTGGGTCAACTTTCAGTCCAACAAAAATGTGTAGCCTGAAAGTAACACCTCGTGCATACCTGGGTCCTTTGCATCCTCAGCTCACCTTCCATGGCTCCTCCAGTAAGTTTAATTTGGGATGACTGAGCTCGACTCTTGCACACTTAATCTGATCTTTGGCTAAGTTTGTCTTGAGTGTGTTATGATTGCATGTGACTGAACATGTCTACAGTGGGATAGCAGTGGGGAAACTGAGTTTCGATTTCATGGCTCAGTCACTAAGTGATTCCTCTCATGTGGGAGATCATGGGAATCAGGTCCCAGTCAGGATGAGCGGCAGACAAAACAGTATCTGGAATCTGGTTCACTTGTGAGTCTTTGTGGTTTCTTTATTTGTTGTGGGTTTCTATCAATATATAACTCTAAAGATCACAGCCCTCTTCCTCTTTCCACAGCCCTCTTCCTCTTTCCTTTTTCATGTTTAATTATAAATATATGATTACATATATAACATTTATATTCTATACATTGATACATGATTCTATGTATTAATACAGATACATCATAAAGATATATAATGTGATAGTGGCATATTATATGCAAAAATGGATTTCCTAGATGAAAGATGAAAATAAACTGAATCCCTGGAATGCAGTAGCTTTCTCAAGTGTTTCTAGAAGTTCAATAACTCAAAATTTATGCCCTTTTAGGACTCTAAATAAAATTAAAGGAGAGAGAAGAAACTTAGGTTATTCAAATCGAATCAAGAAATGAGGTCTTCCAGTAACCATAGAAACTATGCCTTAGTCACTCCCTGAACATTAAGTTCATTTAGCACTTTCAAAACTAGTGAAAACCAGTATCGTTATTGTCAGGAGGCAAAAGAGAGAAGGATTGAGAGACTGTTATTTTGAATTCAAGTAGCAAAAACGTTAGAAAAGACAGGTCTTGAACATTGAGGAATCTGAGTTATTGTCACCATAATAAATCAGTGTGTATCTCTAATTTAAAACAATTATATCACTATGAAGATAGTGCCTATGCTTAGTAACTGCTTAATAAATTTTCAAAACTATTTTGAAATATAGATTCACTGGAAGCTGCAAAGAGCATACTGAAATGTCCCCTACATCCTCACCCAGTGCCCCCCAGTGGTTCCTCTTTTTATTGTGGTAAAATATACTTAACTTAAAATGTATCATTTTAGCCATTTTAAAGTGTACAATTCAGTGGCATTAAGTACATTTGCAATATTATACAATCACCACCACTATTTAGTTCCAGATCTTTTTCATCATCCCAAACAGAAACCTGTTTCCATTAAACAGTCACTTCCAATTTTTCCCTATTCCAGCCCTTAGCAACCACTAATCTGTTTCTGCCTTTACGGATTTGTCTATTCTGTATATTTCATATAAATGGAATCATACAATTTGTAGCTTATTGTGTCTGATTTCTTTCACTTAGCATAATGTTTTCAGGGTTCATCCGTGCTGTAGCAAATGTCAGTATTTCATTCCTTTCTATGGCTGAATAGTAGCCGATTATATGGATATACCACATTTTGTTTATCCATTCAGCCATCAATGGACACTTCCGTTATTTCTGCTTTTTGGCTATTGTGAACAGTGCTGCTATGAACATTTGTGTACAAGGTTCTGTTTCAGTATCTGTTTTTAGTTTTTTTGTTGGAGGATATAGGTGCGGTTCGTTTGATAGTTTTATATTTTAACTTTTTGAGGAACTACCAAACTGCTCTTCATGGCTGCTGCACCATTTTGCACTCCCACCAGCAATGCACATGGTTCTAATTTCTCTCCATCCTAATCTACACTTACTTTCAGTTTGTTTTGTTGTTTATTATAGCCATCCTATAATAACATTCTAGTGGGTATAAAACCGCTAGAAGTCAATCCAAAACACTAGACAAAAACCACAAAACCTCTTTGTGGTTTTGATATACAGTTCTCTAATGAGTAATGATGTTGAGCATCTTATGTGTTTGTTGGCTATTTGTATATTTTCTTTGGAAAAAGGTCCTTTCAAGACCTTTGCCCATTTAAAAAAAATAGGTTGCCTTTATGTTTTGAGTTTTAGGAATTCTTTATATATTCTGAATACTAGACCCTTATCAGATATATGATTTGCAAACATTTTCTTTCATTCCGTGGATTGTCTTTTCACTCTCTTGATAGTATATTTTGATGTATAAAAGCTTTTAATTTTCATGATCTTGCAGCTACTTCCTCAAGAACCAAACTGTCTCTCTCAGACCTTATCTTCTGCCTCCATCCTGATTCTTTTTGGAGCTTGTTCTAACCCTGGCCCTGCCCACTGTGACCTTGACACTACTTAATTAGGACCCCCTCACCTCCTTTCAGACCTGGTGCCTCCAACTATATCCTGCCTCACTCTGCTTTGAAACAGGAAAGTGTTCCCCCTGGACTCTTAGAGTAGATGTGGGTATCTGAGTTTCTCTTCCTAAAATCCTTTCCTTCTTAGAGCGATCAATGAGCCCTGTTGAATGGCCTATGGAAGGGAAATGAATGTTCTAAATTTCCTCTGACCCTTTTCTTCGGACCCCCAAAGGCATTCCCCACCAGCACCCACTATGACCCCATCTCTGACTGTAATACCACCCTGAGGTGCTGGGCCCTGGGCTTCCACCCTGAAGAGATCACATTGATCTGGCAGCAGGATGGGGAGGACTATACCTAGGACATGGAGCTTGCAGAGACCATTTTATCTTTTTGACAACTTTTTTTTTTTTTTTTTTTTTTGAGACAGAGTCTCACTCTTGCCCAAGCTGGAGTGCAGTGGCGCGATCTTGGCTCACTGCAAGCTCCGCCTCCCAGGTTGATGCCATTCTCCTGCCTCAGCCTCCTGAATAGCTGGGACTACAGGCACCCGCCACCATGCCCGGCTAATTTTTTGTATTTTTAGTAGAGACGGGGTTTCACCGTGTTAACCAGGATGGGCTCGATCTCCTGACCTCGTGATCCACCCGCCTCGGCCTCCCAAAGTGCTGGGATTACAGGCGTGAGCCACCGCACCCGGCTGACAACGTTTTTTAAGCTCTCTGTACTGTATATACATCTAATTCAGTGTTTTGGACTGCCATAGATTATGCTTTTAAAACATTTTGTTTATCCCTTTTCTTATGGATAGTCAACTAGTTTGCTTCCAACTATATGTTACCATATATATCTCTGTAGTAGAATTCTAGACCATGGACCTATGAGAGTGGGCCTCTGGAGTACTTAGCCACAATTACAAATTGGATTCTAGGTTTGTGTGTATGGAAATTACCTGAGGAAAGTCAAATTTTCCTTCAGCTTCCACAGTCTATACTCCCTAGCAATATACCAAGTTCATCTTTCTTTACATGCTCAGTTGATTTTAACTGACTTCTTAATCTTTGTCACAATCTAATCAGTATCAACTCTTTCCCTTTCTTGTTGTAACTTGAGTTTCTCTTATTGCCAGTGATACTGTGTAGCTTCAAATAAGTCATCATCATTCATTTTTCTCTTTCTTTGAACTGCCTATTCAAATGTTTCCCCCTATTTTTCCACTAGATTTCATGGTGTTCTTTTCTTTTTGCTTTGAAGGGTGTTATGGGCTAAATGTTTGTGTTCCCCCAAAATTCATATGTTGAAGCCCTAACCCCCAGTGTGGTGGTATCTGGAGGTGGGACCCTGGGGAGGTAATTAAGTTTAGATGAGGTCAGGAGGGGGGGGCCTCCGTGATGGGATTAGTGCTCTTTTAAGAAGAGGGAGATTGGAGCTCTCTTTCCCTACCTTGTGAGGACACCGAAAGAAGGCAGTCATCTGTATGCCAGGAAGAGGATCCTCACTGGAACTGAATCTGCTGTCACCTCCAAAACTGTGAGAGATAAATGTCTGTTGTATAAGCCACCCAGTCTGTGGTATTTGTTATAGCAGCCATGGCTGACTAAGACCTAAGGTTTTGGTTGTTTTGTTTGTTTGTTTGTTTGTTTTCTTGTAATGGAAAAGAATTCTTTTAGAGTTTTACCTGGTACATTTGTGCCTTTAATACATTTTGAGTTGATTTCTACAGATTGTGTGAAGTAATCTGCTGGTTCTCTAAGGCTTCAGTGAATGCCTCCTCTCCAAGCTGCACTTGAGTCCTCCCATCTGCCTGGGCCTGGAGCTTCTTATGAAGCCTCAGCTGCAAGCAGTGGTCAGTGGCAATTTCTTTCAGGAGAGAGCCTGCCTTCAGCCAGTCTCCTGACAAACAGCATGCTGGAAGCATCAGCCCTTCCCACTGCCTTTGCTTTCTGTTGATGACCCATTCTTCATGGAGAGTGGTGTTTCTCTTGTCCTTAACTCAACTATAACTTTTCTCTTTTTACATTTTTCTTATTGCCATGTAATTTGGGGCAGAGAGTCTTTGCCTAAGCATGAACTTATTGTGCCATCCTGACCAAAGCCTGTCATTTAGGGATGTGTCCTGCTTTGTGGTGGGTCATTCTGAAATTACCCGTTTCAGCCCAGTGGAATTTAACCAGAACTGTGGGATTGAAACTGTCTCTTGAAGAGGAACTGTGGGGAAAATGAACAAACCAACATTCAGGCTCAGTTGGAGTATGCTTTTAGGCTTTCCCAGGTTATGGAGTATAAAGCTAATTGTTGATTCATTCCTTCTTGGCTTTACAGTTGTAGAAAGAGATCTGGCCTAAAATCCCTATAACTGGGACAGGCTGAGTCCAGGCTCTGACATTGGCCAGCTGTGCGACTGGGCAATATTTTGTTTCACTCTCTAGCCTCATTTTCAATAGGTAATACATGCAAGTAGCAGGAAATTCAGAAAGTATGCAAATAGATAGGGGAATTAATTTTCCAGCTACCCATTTTATCTTCCAGAGGAGAATACGGTAAAAATATTCTGGATATTTTTGTAAATATATATAAACAAGTTGGTATTGATTTAAATTTTTCTTTCATACAAATGGTAGAATACTATTCTATGGGTCATATACTGCTTTTTATTTAGCAAAAAAACTTAGTGCTCTTACCATTTTAGTATCTAACATCAGCTTCATTATTTTTCATCACTGCATAATATTCTATTGTGTGGGTATACCATAATTTATTTAGTCTGCTCCCTGTTGAGTATTTACCTTCTTTCAAATGTTCTGCCCATAAACAATATGTAAAGCTTAGGTATGGCTATACATCCAGCATGGATGAGTCTTCAAAACATACTATTCAGTGGCTGGGTGTGGTGCCTCACGCCTGTAATCCCAACACTTTGGGAAGCTGAGGCTGGTGGATCACCTGAGGTCAGGAGTTCGAGACCCACCTGACTAACATGGAGAAACCCCATCTCTACTAAAAATACAAAATTAGCCTGGCTTGGTGGCACATGCCTGTAATCCTAGCTACTCAGGAGGCTGAGGCAGGAGAATCGCTTGAACCCGGGAGGCAGAGGTTGCAGTGAGCCGAGATCACGCCATTGCTCTCCAGCCTGGGCAACAAGAGCGAACTGTCTCAAAACAAAAAAAAAAAAAGAAAAAAATCAAACCAAAAAAAACATACTATTCAGCAAAACTCCAGATACAAAAGAACACATATTGTATGATTCCATTTATGTACTGTTCAAAAACAATAAAATATGAATATACATACAGACATATAATTTATTATTTAGTGATTTCTTCTTAGGTGGGAAAACTTTGAAAATAAAGCAAGAAAACATCGCCTGAAAATTCAGGGTAGTAGCCAATTGGGAGGGGATGTGATTGCTGGAGTAGAGGCACCTGGGCTGCCAGCAACGTTTAATTTCTCAAGTAAGATAGTAGGTACATTGCATGTATGCTTCATTTAGCTGTACTTTTTTGCATTTATGTCATGTTATTGTTCACGATAAAAACGACTTTAAAGTGAAGTGAAAAGAGTACTATGCTTAAGCTTTTTGCTCACATTTTATTTTACACCTGGGTCTTTATCCACATGATAAATTTCTAAAGGTTAAGTTGCCAGATCAAATACTTTTGCAGTTAAATTTTGATGGAAAATACCAGTTGCCTTTCACAGAAATTACATCAATTTACTCCCCATACAAAACAAGACACAAAATAGTGTCTGATTACCTTACCTTCACCAGCACAATAAGGCATCATCAAATCTTTGGGTTTTGATCACCTGATAAATAACGGTTTCTGTGTATGTGTGTGTGTGTGTGTTTCTGTTATAGGGCCCTAATAATGATTTATGTAAATGTGTACAGAAGTAACTCTTTCAAGTGGTCAGGCTCCAGTGGGTGGGAAACACCTTTATAAAAAAATTGAGAAATTTTGTAGTCTTATTCCAGCCTAATGTAAAAAAAAAAAAATCAAGAACTGCACAAATGTGATTTATGGGTATTGTATCCCAAACGGTCCCATCTCTACTTAACAAATGGATTGACCCATCCTGATATGTCTATTTTTTCATTTCCTAAAACAAATGAGGCTTAACTTCTCTGACCCAAATTGTCCTTGCTGTGCTTCAAGGGGGACCTAGGCAAGGATGTGGGTCAGGGGCAGATGGACTGAAAACGTGTGCAGTGAGTGAGCCAATCATGTTTTAGGAAGATTAAAGCTCCTGAGACAGAGGACTCCTAGGCAGAGATGGCAGCGAGCTCCCCAGCTCAGGCTTTTAGCACCGCCAACTCTCTGGTAAAAGCAGCTGCACCCACCTCTTCCCTTCACTCTCACCTCCTATGTTCTTGGGCATCAAACGTAATTTTGCTTCAGAGCTCAAGGGCAGTGCAGCCTAAGGAAAACTTGTAAGAATTCCTCAGTCTTGAAGTCCTTTGCCTGAAACCAAGGAGAGATCAAGGCCTAGGGAGAAGAAGGGGAACATTCTCTTTGGAATGCTGGGTATTTCTAAGCAGGAGTAGGGGGCCCTGCCCTGGAGGGAAGGTTTGCCTTGAACTGCTCTGCCTGCACCCTGCCCCAAACTCTGCACTCTCCAGGTCCTAATCCAAACAAGTACAACAGGAGGCTGAGTTTGCAGTGGAGAGTGAAATAGCATGATAGTTACAAAATTGTCAGGACTTGTATGTGGTTGGATGCTATTGTTTTTATCTTCTTTCATTCACTGTTTTCTGCAGTATCACTTTTGCCCAAATATATTTAAAGAAAAGAATTGTATCTCTACTTTCAATTTAAAACTAGTATTTTTCTAATACATTAAAATAACAAAGGAACCAATTATATATTAATATAAACAAAAAACTAAATTAAAAACTAACTTGGGCCATGTGTGTCTATAATCCTAGCACTTTGGGGGGCTGAGGCTAAAGAATCGCTTGAGGCCAGGAGTTTAGAACCAATCTGGGCAACATATTGAGGCGCTATCTCTATAAAAATTAAAAAAAAAATCAGCCGGGCCTAGTGACATGCATAGTCCCAGCTACTTGGGAGGCTGAGGCAGGAGGATCGCTTGAGCCCAGGAGTTCCAGGTTACAGTGAGCTATGATCTCGCCACTGCACTCCAGCCTGGGCAACAGAGTGAAATCCCGTCTTTAAAAATAAGAAAAACTAATCTGTCATTCTGCCAAATAAAGATGCCTCTGGGAAATCCAACTCTGAGTGATGTCTCAGCTATCTTCTACACATCAGTTCTCAAGTGAACCCCCTTCCCTCAGGACATGTGGCAATGTCTGGATATATTTTGATGTTGTCACAATCAGGAAGGTGTTGGTGTTACAGGCATCTAGTGGGTAGAGGCTAGGAATGTTGCTAAACATCCTACAATTTACAGGACAACCTCCACAATAAAGAGTTATGTGGCCTGAAACATCAAGTACTCACTGTAACGCTGAGGTTGAGAATCCCTGCTCTACACAGATCCTCTGAGCCTGATGCTCCAGGCAGGCTTCCTCCCCTGTAATACCCACAACACCTGCATAAATTGCTGTGTTAGCTCTTATCACACTGCAAGGTCATTGCATTTATTGTCTCCTCTTTACAACTGTGGGTTCCTGGAAAGCAGGGGCTCTGTCTGATAGCTATGTTTTGTAACTATGTGTTTTATGCCTTATATTTTTCTCAGCACTTGAACATTGCCTGGCACATAATATTTGCTCCACAAATAACTGCCAGAGGCATGAGTTTAGTTTTGAGACACCTAGGAAACAGCAGAAATTAGCAATGATTAGTGAGATAAAGAGAAGGTTATTAATAAAGCCCTCCCTTTATTACATCGGTCCTTCCTAAAACCCCAGTGTGGATGGTAACATGATTACATCCATTTTATACATAAGTTAATTAATGCTTAGATAATTTACATGACGTGTCTAAGATCTCATGACTGGACAGCGGACTAGTTGAGACTCTCGCACAACTTATCTGACTTTAAAACTTCAATTCTCCTATTATTATGCAAAGACTGCCCCTTAAATATACTCCTACTAAAAGACTATGAGTGGCCGGGTGCGGTGGTTTGTGCCTGTAATCCCAGCACTTTGGAAGGCCAAGGAGGCCGGATCACTTGAGGTCAGGAGTTCGAGACTAGCCTGGCCAACATGATGAAACCCCGTCTCTACTAAAAACACAAAAATCAGCCGGGCGTGGTGGCGCATACCTGTAGTCCCAGTTACCTGAGAGGCTGAGGTGGGAGAATCGCTTGAACCCGGGAGGCAGAGATTGCAGTGAGCCGAGATGGCGCCACTGCACCACAGCCTGGGCGACAGAGCGAGACCCTTTCTCAAGAAAAAAGAGAAAAAGAAAGACCATGACAGACGCCTCTGCCTTCAAGGTGGCCAACTGGGCACAAAATCTTTCCTCCTTGACTCTTAAGATATTGTTAAAACGTTATTAGGGGAACTGAAATCCAAATTGTAAAGAAGGATGAGTCCAGTGGTGAAAATTTTCCACAAATATTAGAAATAGAAAAAAACCCTTACTGACCTATGAAAGAAGGCAGAAGTCCTAGCGCATAAGAAACGCTAGAGGGGGCTGTAGCCCAGAGAAAACCAATCAACCTACCAAATAGAGCCCCAGAAAGAAACCTCCTCCTCGCCCCTCCGCCTTCCTCTGTGTTCCTGCCGCTCCTCCATTCCTTCTTTGGAAGACGCAGCTCCTGCATTCCTTCTTTGGAAGACTCCCCCCTTCACCGAGGTTACCTACCAAATCCGCCATAGGGTGTGGTCCAGGGTCGAGTTATCACAGACCTGTCTCCCCAAGGTCCCCGCGTCGCGTTATCTAGGCAGAAGCGCTGACCCCGCATCCCTCCCGTCGGGACCCCACGCGCTGCCCCAGTGAAATGAAATCCTGGTGCTTGTGGCGTGCGCTGCGCGGTTCCACTCCGCTGTGCCTTCCTTTCCGCCCGCCCCCGACGGCTGGACGCCCCTCTGTCGATTGGAGCGGTCCTTAGTGCTACGTGTCCTGGGATCCCCAAAGTTGACCGCCCCCACAGGGTGTGCCAAAGCTCATCAAGCGCCATTCCAGTCTCAACCTTTATCTTTTACAATTTAAAATTTATTTATTATCCATGTAAGGAGAATAACTGGTACACTCAGCGCAGTTCTGCATATATATAGGCCATAAAAGGAAATGAAGCTTGCGTGACACTTTCCGTGAAAGCAATAGTACCGAACTACAAATCAAACTGCATCTTAGCCGATCTCCTGAAGAAGAGGAAAAGCCTTGCCAAATGCGTCTTCCCAGCAGGATGCAAACCTCCTTCAGCAAACACTGAGTAAATCTGGGAGTGCTGAGACATAGTACAATGCGAGTTTTCAGTGTAATTGAAAAAATTGAAAAAATTGAAAAAAAAATAACTAAATTAAGATTTTCGACTGTTTTCAAGGACAGTACTGAGGCAGCACGTTTGCAGAGTGATATTTTTCAAAAATGCTGTAAGAAACTATAAAATCAGCTGGAGATATTCTGTTGAAATGTGTTTTTCTACAAAGCAGAGTCAAAAATCACACGCTATGTAGTACACAAATAAAGTGGAAGCTGTCGATACACGTATAAATATAAAGGATTTTTGCTTACACAAAAAATATTCCAATGTCCCAATATGCAACATTGCTGAACAAATATGGAGCTAAACAAGTGGCTTCTAATGAATTATTCTAATAAATTTTACTCCGATAAATTACATACTTAAAATATTATATTTAAAAACAAACTGGAGAGCTGTAGAAGAAACCCTATTTATCCTCATGTGAAGTTTGAGATTTGTTTGTAATTTTTTTTAAATTAATGCAGGAGAGAAGTGCGTCGTTGAAACAACCACCTCGAGTAAAACAGCATTTCTTCTCACCACACAACAAAACAAAAACCCCACTTGCTGCATTTCAGTTTAGAATTTATTGTGTTCACTTTAAGCAGGGAATGTATCAAAACTCAAAATTTAGCAGACGTTTTAATGATTTAAGAACTATTATAGAAAATACTTTTTTTCCAGGAATAAGTTGCTATATCTTAATTACTAAGTAACCCCAATTCCTATTGCTTTTAGAACTTCCCAGTTTGCTTCAGAGTTCAACGGCCCAGTGTGCAAAACTGACTCGTGAATTTTGTAGGTGATGTGGATTCACCCTGTCTAGCAGGAGTCTGCAGCACTGGCTGAAAAAACTGTTTCTGTGGTGCCTGATGAGAGACTTATGCTTTTGGCAATTGCATACTTAGATACGTCACCCTGTAGAGCCTTCACTGCTTCCCAATCCACCCCTCACTCCCACCTAATCTCTGACCAGGAGTAAACCCTAAGATGAGCTTAGAGGCTCCTGTGGCTAAGGGCAGTGAAATCCACTAAAGTGTGTCAGGGCTGAGAGAATATCGGAATTCTGCAACTGTGCCCCAAATTCAGGATTCTCTACTTTCAGTTCATCGTGGCTTTTGTGGAGCAGGGCTACACATTGTGGGTAATCTGTGGGGTTTCAGTTACCTATTGCAAGACATTGTTTACTCTTCTCACTCCATGTCCTTTATATGGTGCAGTAAAACTCTAGTGGGGGCTGCTGGTGCTGGGTGTTGGCGGGGGCCTCCTACCCAGCAGCTGCTGCTGCTGAGCTCTGGAAGTTTGCTATGGGCCATGGATTGGGTAATGTGTGTCTAGGTTCTATGTAGGAAGGCTGACCACTTCCACCTGGAGCCATAGCTCAGGAAGGAGGCAGATGAAGCAGATGAATAATCACCAGCGTGTCTGGAAAGAGTGAGACACTCTGGAGACTCAAGGGACAGTGTTGGCGATTTATTGGAGGTTTGCAGTGTCACAATAGGAGGGTGTTTCAATAGGAGGAAAACATGGTCCAATTGAAGAAAGGGCCAGAAGGAAGAAAAGAGGAAGATGGGCTCCAGTGCTAGAAAAGAGAGACCAAATACAGTCGAAAAAGCAGAGAAATGTATTTTTCCTCAAGTTCTTCTGCTGTCACTTTCACTGCAGATCTCAGCTTTGCTCTTCCAGAGTCCCTCCTTTGGCACTGCACTGCAGCCCTCTAGCCGACCGAGGGCGGCTCCTGTTCTCTCTGCAGACTGCACATCCCTGTCCTCGCTCAGCGCTCCCCATCTGCTGTCGCTCCTTCCAAGTGCACGAATACTTAGAGCTTAATCCCCGCAAACCTAGTTTGCGTGACAGTGCCCCAAGCCGGGAGACCCACAGCTCCTTTCCCTCTGGACCTCTAACTGACCTGCAGCAGCGGGCTTAGTACTCAGCTCAGCACGCTTCTGGTCTCTGGTTCAGCCTTCTCTCCCACCTAGGCCTATGGAGCTACTCCATCTCAGGCTTCTGCTCTTGTCTGGGGTGCGAATCGTAGTGTGTGGCCACTTCCCCAGCTCAGATCATCATTGCCTGTCCCTGGGATTTCTGCCAAAATTTCCCAACACATTTCTTTGCCTTCAGTCTTGTTCTCCTCCAAAGACTGCCTGCAACCAGAGAGGTCTTTGTAAAGGAAAATGTCATCTGTCTCTCTCCTACTTCAAAACTTTCATGGTCCACATAATCATCTCGATTGACACAGAAAAGCATTTAACAGAATTCAACACCCTTTCTGATAAAAACATTCAACAACCTAGGAATAGAAGGAAACTACCTCAACACAATAAAGGCGATATATGAGCAGCCCATCACTAACATCATATTCAAGGAGAAAGAATGAGGAAGGCTTTTTCTCTACCATCAGAAACAAGACAAATATACCTATTCACCACATCTGTTCAACTTAGTATTGGAAGTTCTAGCCAGAGTAACTAGGCAAGAAAAATAAAGTAAAACACCCAAAATGGAAAGGAAGAAGTAGAATTATCTTTGTTAGAAGACAGCATGATCATATATGCAGAAAACCCTAAGGATTACACACACACACACACACACACACACACACACACACACAGAGGAAGAGAGAGAGAGAGCACTAATAAACAAATTCAGCAAAGTTGCAGGATACAAAATCAATATGTAGCAGTCAGTTGTATTTCTATACCATGCCTTGCAACATGGTGTTTCTTCTAGTCCTGAAGAGGCAAGTTGACCCAGTCCAGGTAGAGCACCGACTTAGAAAGAGAAAGAAGGAAACAGCTGAAAAAATCTGAGAAGGCATATCAACTTGTGAGCCAAATATAAATCATAATGTGTGTTAGATTAACGAAATGTACTTTCTCATAGTAATACAGTATTTCTAAGTTCTGCTCAGATACTGTTACTGTGTATGTTTCTAGAAAACACAGCCCCAAATGTGCATAGTCTTGAATACAAAAGAATCAAAAGCCATCAATATGTGGTATAAATCCTTAAAGCATTTTAATTGCTAAAAATACATGCCAAAGTCACAGTAAACAACATTGCTCTGCAAACTATAAGATATAAATAATTTGCCTCTCTATAATAATTTTACTCACAAATTACTACCTGAGTAATCTCGTTAATCGTCCCTAATCTCATCCTAATCCCCAGAAACTGTGAGTGTTGCCTTATTTGGGAAAAAGGACTTTGTAAATGTGATTAAGAATCTTGAGAGAGATTATCTTGGATTTGCTGGGTGGGCCCAATATAATCACAGTGGTCCTTATCAGAGGAGGCAGGAAGTGTCAGAGTCAGAGGAGAAGGGAATGTGATGATGCCAGGAGAGACTGAAGTGATTCATTTTGAAGGTGGAGGAAGGGCTTACAAGCCAAGTAACATAAACAGCCTTAGAAGCTGGACAGGATTGGGGAATGGGTTCTCCCCTAGAGCCTACAGAAGGAACCAGCCCATCTGACATCTTGATTTTAGTCCACTGAAAGTAATTTTGAGTGAACTGAAGTCCACTCAAAATTATTTTAATTTGCTGATTTCAAGAGCGGTAAGTGAATACATATGTTTTATATTAAGTCACCAAATTTGTGGTAATTTGTTATAACAGCCATAGGAAACTAATGTACTACTTTGGTAGTCTGGAAGACAACCCTTCCAAGGATATCCATGTCAAATCCTTGGAACATGTAACTATTACTTTATATGACAAAAGAGTGAATATTACTTTGTATGGCAAAAGATATGATTAATTTAAGAATGTTGAGAGGATGAGCTAGCCTGGAGTATCTGGGTGAGCCCTAAATGCAATGACATGTATTTTTATAAAAGACAAGGAGAGGGAATTTTTAAAAACTTTTATTTTAGGTTTGAGGGTACACGTTGAAGGTTTGTTACATAGGTGAACCTGTGTCACAGGGGTTTGTTGTACAAATTATTTCATCACCCAAGTATTAAGCCCAGTACCCATAGGGAATTTGAGGTTCACAGACACACAGAGGAGAAGGTGATGTGAAGACAGAGGCAGAGATTGGAGTGATGCAGCCACAAGCCAAGGAATGCCTGCAGCCACCAGAATATGACAGATGCAAGGAACTGATTCTCCCCTAGATCCTCTGGAAGGGGCATAGCCCTACTGAGATCTTGATTTGGGGCTCCTGGCCTCCAAGGTTGTGAGAAGATAGATTTCTGTTGTTTTAAACCATCAAGTTTATGGCAATTTGTTGCAGCAACCACAGGAAACTAATACAACTATCACAATCTAATGTTTAAAAAGCAATTAATTGGATGGTTGTAAGGCAAAATTATGTATCTCAAATTTAAAAGTTGATACCTGTTTGCAAGAAACTCATTAAATGCCAAAGAAGTACTTGATTCAAACAAGTTCCTTGAATTCAAAATCAATTATTTGTATCTAAAAGTATAAATTGCGTTCTATCTGCATCACCATATGTTAACAAGACAATG